>NC_000017.11:23195018-23506241 GCF_000001405.40 Homo sapiens | reverse complement strand
TCTGTGAGGTGAATGCAATCATCACAAAGCAGTTTCTGAGAATGCTTCCGTTTAGTTAGGTGCAGTTATCCCGTTTCCAACGAAATCCTCAGAGAGGTCCAAATATCCACTTGTAGATTCTACAAAAAGTGTGTCTCAAACCTGCTCCATCCAAAGGAATGGTCAGCTCTGTGATTTAAACTCAATCATCACAAAGTATTTTCTGAGAATGCTTCTGTCTAGATTTTATGCGAAGATATACCCGTTTCGAACGAAGGCCACAGAGTGGTCCAAATAGCCACTTGCAGATCCTACAGAAAGAGTGTTTCAAACCTGAACTATCAAAGGAAGGTTCAACTCTGGGATTTGAATGCAAACATCACCAAGAAGTTTCTGAGAATGCTTCTGTTTAGTTTTTATGTGAAGATATTCCCGTTTCCAAAGACATCTTCGGAGAGGTCCACATATCCACTTGCAGATTCCACAAAAAGAGAGTTTCAACACTGCTCTATCCATAGGAGGGTTCAACTCTGTGAGTTGAATGCAATCATCACAGAGAAGTTTCTGAGAAGGCTTCTCTCCAGTTTTTATGTGACCATAATTCGTTTTCCACCACAGGCCTGAAAGCGCTCCAAATGTCCACTTGCAGACACTACGAAAAGCATGTTTCAGAACTACTCTATGAAAAGCAACGTGAAACTCTGGGAGTTGAACACAAACATCACAGAGAAGTTTCTGAGAATGCTTCTGTTTTAGTTCTGTGCGTTTTATCCCGTTTCCAACGAAATCCTCAGAGAGGCCCAAATATCCACTTGCAGATTCCACAGAAAGAGTGATTGGAAACTGCTGTTTGAAAAGGAACCTTCAACTCTGTGAGTTGAATGCAATCATCACAAAGAAGTTTCTGACAATGCTTCTGTTTTAGTTCTGTGCGGTTTATCCCGTTTCCAACGAAATCCTCAGAGAGGACCAAACATCCACTTGCAGTTTCTACAAAAAGAGTGTTTCAAAGCTGCACTATCAAAGAAAGGTTCAGCACTGTGAGTTGAATGCAAACATCACGAAGAGGGCTCTGAGAATGCTTCTGTTTAGTTCTGTGCGGTTTATCCCGTTTCCAACGAAATCCTCAGAGAGGACCAAATATCCACTTGCAGTTTCTACAAGAAGAGTGTTTCAAAGCTGAACTATCAAAGAAAGGTTCAGCACTGTGAGTTGAATGCAAACATCACGAAGAGGGTTCTGAGAATGCTTCTGTCTTCTTTCTATAGGAAGTTATTTCCTTTACTACGGTAGGCCTCAAAGAAGTGCAATTATCCCCTTGCAGTTTCTACAAAAAGAGTGTTTCAAACCTGAACTATCAAAGAAAGGTTCCACACTGTGAGTTGAATGCAGACATCACGAAGAAGGTTCTGAGAATGCTTCTGTTTAGTCAGCTGAAATTATCCCGTTTCCAACGAATTCCTCAGAGAGGTCCAAATATGCACTTGCAGATTCTGCAGAAAGTGTGTTTCTAAACTGCTCCATCGCAAGGAATGTTCAGCTCTGTGAGTTCCACTCAATCATCCCAAAGAATTTTCTGAGAAAGCTTCTGTCTAGATGTCGTGTGAAGATATACCCGTTTCGAACGAAGGACACAGAGTGGTCCAAATATCCACTTGTAGATCCTGCAAAAAGAGTGTTTCAAACGTGAACTTTGAAAGGAAAGTTCAACTCTGGGATTTGAATGCAAACATCACAAAGAAGATTCTGAGACTGCTTCTGTATAGTTTTTATGTGAAGATGATTCCGTTTCCAACGAAATCTTCAAAGAGGTCTACATGTCCCCTTGCAGATGCCACAGAAAGAGAGTTTCAAAACTGCGCTCTCAAAAGGAGTGTTCAACTCCGTGAGTTGAATGCAGTCATCACAGAGAAGCTTCTGAGAATGCTTCTATCTAGTATTTAGGTGAAGATATTTCCTTTTCCACCACAAACCACAAAGCCCTCCAAACGTCCACTTGCAGATTCTAGAAAAAGAGTGTTTCATAGCTGCTCTTTCCAAAGGAAAGTTCAACTCTGGGAGTTGAATACAAACATCACCAAAAAGTTCCTGAGAATGCATCTGTCTAGTTTTTCTATGAAGCTATTCCCTTTACTACCACAGGCCTCAAAGCGCTCCAAATCTCCACTTGCACATTCCACAACAAGAGTGTTTCCAAACTGCTCTATCAATAGGAATGTTCAACTCTGTGAGGTGAATGCAATCATCACAAAGCAGTTTCTGAGAATGCTTCCGTTTAGTTAGGTGCAGTTATCCCGTTTCCAACGAAATCCTCAGAGAGGTCCAAATATCCACTTGTAGATTCTACAAAAAGTGTGTCTCAAACCTGCTCCATCCAAAGGAATGGTCAGCTCTGTGATTTAAACTCAATCATCACAAAGTATTTTCTGAGAATGCTTCTGTCTAGATTTTATGCGAAGATATACCCGTTTCGAACGAAGGCCACAGAGTGGTCCAAATAGCCACTTGCAGATCCTACAGAAAGAGTGTTTCAAACCTGAACTATCAAAGGAAGGTTCAACTCTGGGATTTGAATGCAAACATCACCAAGAAGTTTCTGAGAATGCTTCTGTTTAGTTTTTATGTGAAGATATTCCCGTTTCCAAAGACATCTTCGGAGAGGTCCACATATCCACTTGCAGATTCCACAAAAAGAGAGTTTCAACACTGCTCTATCCATAGGAGGGTTCAACTCTGTGAGTTGAATGCAATCATCACAGAGAAGTTTCTGAGAAGGCTTCTCTCCAGTTTTTATGTGACCATAATTCGTTTTCCACCACAGGCCTGAAAGCGCTCCAAATGTCCACTTGCAGACACTACGAAAAGCATGTTTCAGAACTACTCTATGAAAAGCAACGTGAAACTCTGGGAGTTGAACACAAACATCACAGAGAAGTTTCTGAGAATGCTTCTGTTTTAGTTCTGTGCGTTTTATCCCGTTTCCAACGAAATCCTCAGAGAGGCCCAAATATCCACTTGCAGATTCCACAGAAAGAGTGATTGGAAACTGCTGTTTGAAAAGGAACCTTCAACTCTGTGAGTTGAATGCAATCATCACAAAGAAGTTTCTGACAATGCTTCTGTTTTAGTTCTGTGCGGTTTATCCCGTTTCCAACGAAATCCTCAGAGAGGACCAAACATCCACTTGCAGTTTCTACAAAAAGAGTGTTTCAAAGCTGCACTATCAAAGAAAGGTTCAGCACTGTGAGTTGAATGCAAACATCACGAAGAGGGCTCTGAGAATTCTTCTGTCTTCTTTTTAGAGGAAGTTATTTCCTTTACTACGGTACTCCTCAAAGAGTGCAATTATCCCCTTGCAGTTTCTACAAAAAGAGTGTTTCAAACCTGAACTATCAAAGAAAGGTTTCCACACTGTGAGTTGAATGCAGACATCACGAAGAAGGTTCTGAGAATGCTTCTGTTTAGTCAGCTGAAATTATCCCGTTTCCAACGAATTCCTCACAGAGGTCCAAATATGCACTTGCAGATTCTGCAGAAAGTGTGTTTCTAAACTGCTACATCGCAAGGAATGCTCAGCTCTGTGAGTTCAACTCAATCATCCCAAAGAATTTTCTGAGAAAGCTTCTGTCTAGATGTCATGTGAAGATATACCCGTTTCGAACGAAGGACACAGAGTGGTCCAAATATCCACTTGTAGATCCTGCAAAAAGAGTGTTTCAAACGTGAACTTTGAAAGGAAAGTTCAACTCGGGGATTTGAATGCAAACATCACAAAGAAGATTCTGAGACTGCTTCTGTATAGTTTTTATGTGAAGATGATTCCGTTTCCAACGAAATCTTCAAAGAGGTCTACATGTCCCCTTGCAGATGCCACAGAAAGAGAGTTTCAAAACTGCGCTCTCAAAAGGAGTGTTCAACTCCGTGAGTTGAATGCAGTCATCACAGAGAAGCTTCTGAGGATGCTTCTATCTAGTATTTAGGTGAAGATATTTCCTTTTCCACCACAAACCACAAAGCCCTCCAAACGTCCACTTGCAGATTCTAGAAAAACAGTGTTTCATAGCTGCTCTTTCCAAAGGAAAGTTCAACTCTGGGAGTTGAATACAAACATCACCAAAAAGTTCCTGAGAATGCATCTGTCTAGTTTTTCTATGAAGCTATTCCCTTTACTACCATAGGCCTCAAAGCGCTCCAAATCTCCACTTGCACATTCCACAACAAGAGTGTTTCCAAACTGCTCTATCAATAGGAATGTTCAACTCTGTGAGGTGAATGCAGTCATCACAAAGCAGTTTCTGAGAATGCTTCCGTTTAGTTAGGTGCAGTTATCCCGTTTCCAACGAAATCCTCAGAGAGGTCCAAATATCCACTTGTAGATTCTACAAAAGGTGTGTCTCAAACCTGCTCCATCCAAAGGAATGTTCAGCTCTGTGAGTTAAACTCAATCATCACAAAGTATTTTCTGAGAATGCTTCTGTCTAGATTTTATGCGAAGATATACCCGTTTCGAACGAAGGCCACAGAGTGGTCCAAATATCCACTTGCAGATCCTACAAAAAGAGTGTTTCAAACCTGAACTATCAAAGGAAGGTTCAACTCTGGGATTTGAATGCAAACATCACCAAGAAGTTTCTGAGAATGCTTCTGTTTAGTTTTTATGTGAAGATATTCCCGTTTCCAAAGACATCTTCGGAGAGGTCCACATATCCACTTGCAGATTCCACAAAAAGAGAGTTTCAACACTGCTCTATCCATAGGAGGGTTCAACTCTGTGAGTTGAATGCAATCATCACAGAGAAGTTTCTGAGAAGGCTTCTCTCCAGTTTTTATGTGACCATAATTCGTTTTCCACCACAGGCCTGAAAGCGCTCCAAATGTCCACTTGTAGACACTACGAAAAGCATGTTTCAGAACTACTCTATGAAAAGCAATGTGAAACTCTGGGAGTTGAACACAAACATCACAGAGAAGTTTCTGAGAATGCTTCTGTTTAGCTTTCCTGTGAAGATTCTCCCGTTTCCAACGAAATCTTCAAAATAGGTCCAAATATCCACTTGCAGATTCCACAGAAAGAGTGATTGGAAACTGCTCTTTGAAAAGGAACCTTCAACTCTGTGAGTTGAATGCAATCATCACAAAGAAGTTTCTGACAATGCTTCTATCTAGCTTTTACGGGAAGATAATTCCTTTTCCACCACAGGCCTCAAAGCCCTCCAAATGTCCACTTGCAGATTCTGGAAAAAGAGTGTTTCAAAGCTTCTCTCTCGAAAGGAAAGTTCAACTCTGTGAGTTGAATGCAAGCATCACAAAGAAGTTTCTGAGAATGCTACTGTCTAGCTTTTATATGAAGCTATTTCCTTTACTACCATAGGCCTCAAAGCGGTCCATATCTCCACTTGCAGATTCTACACAAAGAGAGTTTCCAAACTGCTCTGTCAAAGGGAATGTTCAACTCTGTGACTTGAATGCAATCATCACAAAGTAGTTTCTGAGAATGCTTCTGTTTAGTTCTGTGCGGTTTATCCCGTTTCCAACGAAATCCTCAGAGAGGCCCAAATATCCACTTGCACATTCTACAAATAGTGTGTTTCGAAACTGCTCCATCCAAAGGAATGTTCAGCTCTGTGAGTTAAACTCAGTCGTCACCAAGAGTTTTCTGTGAATGCTTCTGTTTTAGTTCTGTGCGGTTTATCCCGTTTCCAACGAAATCCTCAGAGAGGTCCAAATATCTACTTGCAGTTTCTACAGAAAGACCGTTTCAAACCTGAACTATCAAAGAAAGGTTCAACACTGTGAGTTGAATGCAAACATCACGAAGAAGGTTCTGAGAATGCTTCTGTTTAGTTCTGTGCGGTTTATCCCGTTTCCAACGAAATCCTCAGAGAGGACCAAATATCCACTTGCAGTTTCTACAAGAAGAGTGTTTCAAAGCTGAACTATCAAAGAAAGGTTCAGCACTGTGAGTTGAATGCAAACATCACGAAGAGGGTTCTGAGAATGCTTCTGTCTTCTTTCTATAGGAAGTTATTTCCTTTACTACGGTAGGCCTCAAAGAAGTGCAATTATCCCCTTGCAGTTTCTACAAAAAGAGTGTTTCAAACCTGAACTATCAAAGAAAGGTTCCACACTGTGAGTTGAATGCAGACATCACGAAGAAGGTTCTGAGAATGCTTCTGTTTAGTCAGCTGAAATTATCCCGTTTCCAACGAATTCCTCAGAGAGGTCCAAATATGCACTTGCAGATTCTGCAGAAAGTGTGTTTCTAAACTGCTACATCGCAAGGAATGTTCAGCTCTGTGAGTTCCACTCAATCATCCCAAAGAATTTTCTGAGAAAGCTTCTGTCTAGATGTCGTGTGAAGATATACCCGTTTCGAACGAAGGACACAGAGTGGTCCAAATATCCACTTGTAGATCCTGCAAAAAGAGTGTTTCAAACGTGAACTTTGAAAGGAAAGTTCAACTCTGGGATTTGAATGCAAACATCACAAAGAAGATTCTGAGACTGCTTCTGTATAGTTTTTATGTGAAGATGATTCCGTTTCCAACGAAATCTTCAAAGAGGTCTACATGTCCCCTTGCAGATGCCACAGAAAGAGAGTTTCAAAACTGCGCTCTCAAAAGGAGTGTTCAACTCCGTGAGTTGAATGCAGTCATCACAGAGAAGCTTCTGAGAATGCTTCTATCTAGTATTTAGGTGAAGATATTTCCTTTTCCACCACAAACCACAAAGCCCTCCAAACGTCCACTTGCAGATTCTAGAAAAAGAGTGTTTCATAGCTGCTCTTTCCAAAGGAAAGTTCAACTCTGGGAGTTGAATACAAACATCACCAAAAGGTTCCTGAGAATGCATCTGTCTAGTTTTTCTATGAAGCTATTCCCTTTACTACCATAGGCCTCAAAGCGCTCCAAATCTCCACTTGCACATTCCACAACAAGAGTGTTTCCAAACTGCTCTATCAATAGGAATGTTCAACTCTGTGAGGTGAATGCAACCATCACAAAGCAGTTTCTGAGAATGCTTCCGTTTAGTTAGGTGCAGTTATCCCGTTTCCAACGAAATCCTCAGAGAGGTCCAAATATCCACTTGTAGATTCTACAAAAAGTGTGTCTCAAACCTGCTCCATCCAAAGGAATGGTCAGCTCTGTGATTTAAACTCAATCATCACAAAGTATTTTCTGAGAATGCTTCTGTCTAGATTTTATGCGAAGATATACCCGTTTCGAACGAAGGCCACAGAGTGGTCCAAATAGCCACTTGCAGATCCTACAGAAAGAGTGTTTCAAACCTGAACTATCAAAGGAAGGTTCAACTCTGGGATTTGAATGCAAACATCACCAAGAAGTTTCTGAGAATGCTTCTGTTTAGTTTTTATGTGAAGATATTCCCGTTTCCAAAGACATCTTCGGAGAGGTCCACATATCCACTTGCAGATTCCACAAAAAGAGAGTTTCAACACTGCTCTATCCATAGGAGGGTTCAACTCTGTGAGTTGAATGCAATCATCACAGAGAAGTTTCTGAGAAGGCTTCTCTCCAGTTTTTATGTGACCATAATTCGTTTTCCACCACAGGCCTGAAAGCGCTCCAAATGTCCACTTGCAGACACTACGAAAAGCATGTTTCAGAACTACTCTATGAAAAGCAACGTGAAACTCTGGGAGTTGAACACAAACATCACAGAGAAGTTTCTGAGAATGCTTCTGTTTTAGTTCTGTGCGTTTTATCCCGTTTCCAACGAAATCCTCAGAGAGGCCCAAATATCCACTTGCAGATTCCACAGAAAGAGTGATTGGAAACTGCTGTTTGAAAAGGAACCTTCAACTCTGTGAGTTGAATGCAATCATCACAAAGAAGTTTCTGACAATGCTTCTGTTTTAGTTCTGTGCGGTTTATCCCGTTTCCAACGAAATCCTCAGGGAGGACCAAACATCCACTTGCAGTTTCTACAAAAAGAGTGTTTCAAAGCTGCACTATCAAAGAAAGGTTCAGCACTGTGAGTTGAATGCAAACATCACGAAGAGGGCTCTGAGAATTCTTCTGTTTAGTTCTGTGCGGTTTATCCCGTTTCCAACGAAATCCTCAGAGAGGACCAAATATCCACTTGCAGTTTCTACAAGAAGAGTGTTTCAAAGCTGAACTATCAAAGAAAGGTTCAGCACTGTGAGTTGAATGCAAACATCACGAAGAGGGTTCTGAGAATGCTTCTGTCTTCTTTCTATAGGAAGTTATTTCCTTTACTACGGTAGGCCTCAAAGAAGTGCAATTATCCCCTTGCAGTTTCTACAAAAAGAGTGTTTCAAACCTGAACTATCAAAGAAAGGTTCCACACTGTGAGTTGAATGCAGACATCACGAAGAAGGTTCTGAGAATGCTTCTGTTTAGTCAGCTGAAATTATCCCGTTTCCAACGAATTCCTCAGAGAGGTCCAAATATGCACTTGCAGATTCTGCAGAAAGTGTGTTTCTAAACTGCTACATCGCAAGGAATGTTCAGCTCTGTGAGTTCCACTCAATCATCCCAAAGAATTTTCTGAGAAAGCTTCTGTCTAGATGTCGTGTGAAGATATACCCGTTTCGAACGAAGGACACAGAGTGGTCCAAATATCCACTTGTAGATCCTGCAAAAAGAGTGTTTCAAACGTGAACTTTGAAAGGAAAGTTCAACTCTGGGATTTGAATGCAAACATCACAAAGAAGATTCTGAGACTGCTTCTGTATAGTTTTTATGTGAAGATGATTCCGTTTCCAACGAAATCTTCAAAGAGGTCTACATGTCCCCTTGCAGATGCCACAGAAAGAGAGTTTCAAAACTGCGCTCTCAAAAGGAGTGTTCAACTCCGTGAGTTGAATGCAGTCATCACAGAGAAGCTTCTGAGAATGCTTCTATCTAGTATTTAGGTGAAGATATTTCCTTTTCCACCACAAACCACAAAGCCCTCCAAACGTCCACTTGCAGATTCTAGAAAAAGAGTGTTTCATAGCTGCTCTTTCCAAAGGAAAGTTCAACTCTGGGAGTTGAATACAAACATCACCAAAAAGTTCCTGAGAATGCATCTGTCTAGTTTTTCTATGAAGCTATTCCCTTTACTACCATAGGCCTCAAAGCGCTCCAAATCTCCACTTGCACATTCCACAACAAGAGTGTTTCCAAACTGCTCTATCAATAGGAATGTTCAACTCTGTGAGGTGAATGCAATCATCACAAAGCAGTTTCTGAGAATGCTTCCGTTTAGTTAGGTGCAGTTATCCCGTTTCCAACGAAATCCTCAGAGAGGTCCAAATATCCACTTGTAGATTCTACAAAAAGTGTGTCTCAAACCTGCTCCATCCAAAGGAATGTTCAGCTCTGTGATTTAAACTCAATCGTCACAAAGTATTTTCTGAGAATGCTTCTGTCTAGATTTTATGCGAAGATATACCCGTTTCGAACGAAGGCCACAGAGTGGTCCAAATAGCCACTTCCAGATCCTACAAAAAGAGTGTTTCAAACCTGAACTATCAAAGGAAGGTTCAACTCTGGGATTTGAATGCAAACATCACCAAGAAGTTTCTGAGAATGCTTCTGTTTAGTTTTTATGTGAAGATATTCCCGTTTCCAAAGACATCTTCGGAGAGGTCCACATATCCACTTGCAGATTCCACAAAAAGAGAGTTTCAACACTGCTCTATCCATAGAGGGTTCAACTCTGTGAGTTGAATGCAATCATCACAGAGAAGTTTCTGAGAAGGCTTCTCTCCAGTTTTTATGTGACCATAATTCGTTTTCCACCACAGGCCTGAAAGCGCTCCAAATGTCCACTTGCAGACACTACGAAAAGCATGTTTCAGAACTACTCTATGAGAAGCAACGTGAAACTCTGGGAGTTGAACACAAACATCACAGAGAAGTTTCTGAGAATGCTTCTGTTTAGCTTTTCTGTGAAGATTCTCCCGTTTCCAACGAAATCTTCAAAGAGGTCCAAATATCCACTTGCAGATTCCACAGAAAGAGTGATTGGAAACTGCTCTTTGAAAAGGAACCTTCAACTCTGTGACTTGAATGCAATCATCACAAAGAAGTTTCTGACAATGCTTCTATCTAGCTTTTACGGGAAGATAATTCCTTTTCCACCACAGGCCTCAAAGCCCTCCAAATGTCCACTTGCAGATTCTGGAAAAAGAGTGTTTCAAAGCTTCTCTCTCGAAAGGAAAGTTCAACTCTGTGAGTTGAATGCAAGCATCACAAAGAAGTTTCTGAGAATGCTTACGGTCTGGTTTTATATGAAGCTATTTCCTTTACTACCATAGGCCTCAAAGCGGTCCATATCTCCACTTGCAGATTCTACACAAAGAGAGTTTCCAAACTGCTCTGTCAAAGGGAATGTTCAACTCTGTGACTTGAATGCAATCATCACAAAGTAGTTTCTGAGAATGCTTCTGTTTAGTTCTGTGCGTTTTATCCCGTTTCCAACGAAATCCTCAGAGAGGCCCAAATATCCACTTGCACATTCTACAAATAGTGTGTTTCGAAACTGCTCCATCCAAAGGAATGTTCAGCTCTGTGAGTTAAACTCAGTCGTCACCAAGAGTTTTCTGTGAATGCTTCTGTTTTAGTTCTGTGCGGTTTATCCCGTTACCAACGAAATCCTCAGAGAGGTCCAAATATCTACTTGCAGTTTCTACAGAAAGACCGTTTCCAACCTGAACTATCAAAGAAAGGTTCAACCCTGTGAGTTGAATGCAAACATCACGAAGAAGGTTCTGAGAATGCTTCTGTTTAGTTCTGTGCGGTTTATCCCGTTTCCAACGAAATCCTCAGAGAGGACCAAATATCCACTTGCAGTTTCTACAAGAAGAATGTTTCAAAGCTGAACTATCAAAGAAAGGTTCAGCACTGTGAGTTGAATGCAAACATCTCGAAGAGGGTTCTGAGAATGCTTCTGTCTTCTTTCTATAGGAAGTTATTTCCTTTACTACGGTAGGCCTCAAAGAAGTGCAATTATCCCCTTGCAGTTTCTACAAAAAGAGTGTTTCAAAGCTGAACTATCAAAGAAAGGTTCCACACTGTGAGTTGAATGCAGACATCACGAAGAAGGTTCTGAGAATGCTTCTGTTTAGTCAGCTGAAATTATCCCGTTTCCAACGAATTCCTCAGAGAGGTCCAAATATGCACTTGCAGATTCTGCAGAAAGTGTGTTTCTAAACTGCTACATCGCAAGGAATGTTCAGCTCTGTGAGTTCCACTCAATCATCCCAAAGAATTTTCTGAGAAAGCTTCTGTCTAGATGTCATGTGAAGATATACCCGTTTCGAACGAAGGACACAGAGTGGTCCAAATATCCACTTGTAGATCCTGCAAAAAGAGTGTTTCAAACGTGAACTTTGAAAGGAAAGTTCAACTCTGGGATTTGAATGCAAACATCACAAAGAAGATTCTGAGACTGCTTCTGTATAGTTTTTATGTGAAGATGATTCCGTTTCCAACGAAATCTTCAGAGAGGTCTACATGTCCCCTTGCAGATGACAAAGAAAGAGAGTTTCAAAACTGCGCTCTCAAAAGGAGTGTTCAACTCCGTGAGTTGAATGCAGTCATCACAGAGAAGCTACTGAGAATGCTTCTATCTAGTATTTAGGTGAAGATATTTCCTTTTCCACCACAAACCACAAAGCCCTCCAAACGTCCACTTGCAGATTCTAGAAAAAGAGTGTTTCATAGCTGCTCTTTCCAAAGGAAAGTTCAACTCTGGGAGTTGAATACAAACATCACCAAAAAGTTCTTGAGAATGCATCTGTCTAGTTTTTCTATGAAGCTATTCCCTTTACTACCATAGGCCTCAAAGCGCTCCAAATCTCCACTTGCACATTCCACAACAAGAGTGTTTCCAAACTGCTCTATCAATAGGAATGTTCAACTCTGTGAGGTGAATGCAATCATCACAAAGCAGTTTCTGAGAATGCTTCCGTTTAGTTAGGAGCAGTTATCGCGTTTCCAACGAAATCCTCAGAGAGGTCCAAATATCCACTTGTAGATTCTACAAAAAGTGTGTCTCAAACCTGCTCCATCCAAAGGAATGTTCAGCTCTGTGAGTTAAACTCAATCATCACAAAGTATTTTCTGAGAATGCTTCTGTCTAGATTTTATGTGAAGATGTACCCGTTTCGAACGAAGGCCACAGAGTGGTCCAAATATCCACTTGCAGATCCTACAAAAAGAGTGTTTCAAACCTGAACTATCACAGGAAGGTTCAACTCTGGGATTTGAATGCAAACATCACCAAGAAGTTTCTGAGAATGCTTCTGTTTAGTTTTTATGTGAAGATATTCCCGTTTCCAAAGACATCTTCGGAGAGGTCCACATATCCACTTGCAGATTCCACAAAAAGAGAGTTTCAACAATGCTCTATCCATAGGAGGGTTCAAATCTGTGAGTTGAATGCAATCATCACAGAGAAGTTTCTGAGAAGGCTTCTCTCCAGTTTTTATGGGACCATAATTCGTTTTCCACCACAGGCCTGAAAGCGCTCCAAATGTCCACTTGCAGACACTACGAAAAGCATGTTTCAGAACTACTCTATGAAAAGCAATGTGAAACTCTGGGAGTTGAACACAAACATCACAGAGAAGTTTCTGAGAATGCTTCTGTTTAGCTTTTCTGTGAAGATTCTCCCGTTTCCAACGAAATCTTCAAAGAGGTCCAAATATCCACTTGCAGATTCCACAGAAAGAGTGTTTGGAAACTGCTGTTTGTAAAGGAACCTTCATCTCTGTGAGTTGAATGCAATCATCACAAAGAAGTTTCTGACAATGCTTCTATCTAGCTTTTACGGGAAGTTAATTCCTTTTCCACCACAGGCCTCAAAGCCCTCCAAATGTCCACTTGCAGATTCTGGAAAAAGAGTGTTTCAAAGCTTCTCTCTCGAAAGGAAAGTTCAACTCTGTGAGTTGAATGCAAGCATCACAAAGAAGTTTCTGAGAATGCTACTGTCTAGCTTTTATATGAAGCTATTTCCTTTACTACCATAGGCCTCAAAGCGGTCCATATCTCCACTTGCAGATTCTACACAAAGAGAGTTTCCAAACTGCTCTGTCAAAGGGAATGTTCAACTCTGTGACTTGAATGCAATCATCACAAAGTAGTTTCTGAGAATGCTTCTGTTTAGTTCTGTGCGGTTTATCCCGTTTCCAACGAAATCCTCAGAGAGGCCCAAATATCCACTTGCACATTCTACAAATAGTGTGTTTCGAAACTGCTCCATCCAAAGGAATGTTCAGCTCTGTGAGTTAAACTCAGTCGTCACCAAGAGTTTTCTGTGAATGCTTCTGTTTTAGTTCTGTGCGGTTTATCCCGTTTCCAACGAAATCCTCAGAGAGGTCCAAATATCTACTTGCAGTTTCTACAGAAAGACCGTTTCAAACCTGAACTATCAAAGAAAGGTTCAACACTGTGAGTTGAATGCAAACATCACGAAGAAGGTTCTGAGAATGCTTCTGTTTAGTTCTGTGCGGTTTATCCCGTTTCCAACGAAATCCTCAGAGAGGACCAAATATCCACTTGCAGTTTCTACAAGAAGAGTGTTTCAAAGCTGAACTATCAAAGAAAGGTTCAGCACTGTGAGTTGAATGCAAACATCACGAAGAGGGTTCTGAGAATGCTTCTGTCTTCTTTCTATAGGAAGTTATTTCCTTTACTACGGTAGGCCTCAAAGAAGTGCAATTATCCCCTTGCAGTTTCTACAAAAAGAGTGTTTCAAACCTGAACTATCAAAGAAAGGTTCCACACTGTGAGTTGAATGCAGACATCACGAAGAAGGTTCTGAGAATGCTTCTGTTTAGTCAGCTGAAATTATCCCGTTTCCAACGAATTCCTCAGAGAGGTCCAAATATGCACTTGCAGATTCTGCAGAAAGTGTGTTTCTAAACTGCTACATCACAAGGAATGTTCAGCTCTGTGAGTTCCACTCAATCATCCCAAAGAATTTTCTGAGAAAGCTTCTGTCTAGATGTCGTGTGAAGATATACCCGTTTCGAACGAAGGACACAGAGTGGTCCAAATATCCACTTGTAGATCCTGCAAAAAGAGTGTTTCAAACGTGAACTTTGAAAGGAAAGTTCAACTCTGGGATTTGAATGCAAACATCACAAAGAAGATTCTGAGACTGCTTCTGTATAGTTTTTATGTGAAGATGATTCCGTTTCCAACGAAATCTTCAAAGAGGTCTACATGTCCCCTTGCAGATGCCACAGAAAGAGAGTTTCAAAACTGCGCTCTCAAAAGGAGTGTTCAACTCCGTGAGTTGAATGCAGTCATCACAGAGAAGCTTCTGAGAATGCTTCTATCTAGTATTTAGGTGAAGATATTTCCTTTTCCACCACAAACCACAAAGCCCTCCAAACGTCCACTTGCAGATTCTAGAAAAAGAGTGTTTCATAGCTGCTCTTTCCAAAGGAAAGTTCAACTCTGGGAGTTGAATACAAACATCACCAAAAAGTTCCTGAGAATGCATCTGTCTAGTTTTTCTATGAAGCTATTCCCTTTACTACCACAGGCCTCAAAGCGCTCCAAATCTCCACTTGCACATTCCACAACAAGAGTGTTTCCAAACTGCTCTATCAATAGGAATGTTCAACTCTGTGAGGTGAATGCAATCATCACAAAGCAGTTTCTGAGAATGCTTCCGTTTAGTTAGGTGCAGTTATCCCGTTTCCAACGAAATCCTCAGAGAGGTCCAAATATCCACTTGTAGATTCTACAAAAAGTGTGTCTCAAACCTGCTCCATCCAAAGGAATGGTCAGCTCTGTGATTTAAACTCAATCATCACAAAGTATTTTCTGAGAATGCTTCTGTCTAGATTTTATGCGAAGATATACCCGTTTCGAACGAAGGCCACAGAGTGGTCCAAATAGCCACTTGCAGATCCTACAGAAAGAGTGTTTCAAACCTGAACTATCAAAGGAAGGTTCAACTCTGGGATTTGAATGCAAACATCACCAAGAAGTTTCTGAGAATGCTTCTGTTTAGTTTTTATGTGAAGATATTCCCGTTTCCAAAGACATCTTCGGAGAGGTCCACATATCCACTTGCAGATTCCACAAAAAGAGAGTTTCAACACTGCTCTATCCATAGGAGGGTTCAACTCTGTGAGTTGAATGCAATCATCACAGAGAAGTTTCTGAGAAGGCTTCTCTCCAGTTTTTATGTGACCATAATTCGTTTTCCACCACAGGCCTGAAAGCGCTCCAAATGTCCACTTGCAGACACTACGAAAAGCATGTTTCAGAACTACTCTATGAAAAGCAACGTGAAACTCTGGGAGTTGAACACAAACATCACAGAGAAGTTTCTGAGAATGCTTCTGTTTTAGTTCTGTGCGTTTTATCCCGTTTCCAACGAAATCCTCAGAGAGGCCCAAATATCCACTTGCAGATTCCACAGAAAGAGTGATTGGAAACTGCTGTTTGAAAAGGAACCTTCAACTCTGTGAGTTGAATGCAATCATCACAAAGAAGTTTCTGACAATGCTTCTGTTTTAGTTCTGTGCGGTTTATCCCGTTTCCAACGAAATCCTCAGAGAGGACCAAACATCCACTTGCAGTTTCTACAAAAAGAGTGTTTCAAAGCTGCACTATCAAAGAAAGGTTCAGCACTGTGAGTTGAATGCAAACATCACGAAGAGGGCTCTGAGAATTCTTCTGTTTAGTTCTGTGCGGTTTATCCCGTTTCCAACGAAATCCTCAGAGAGGACCAAATATCCACTTGCAGTTTCTACAAGAAGAGTGTTTCAAAGCTGAACTATCAAAGAAAGGTTCAGCACTGTGAGTTGAATGCAAACATCACGAAGAGGGTTCTGAGAATGCTTCTGTCTTCTTTCTATAGGAAGTTATTTCCTTTACTACGGTAGGCCTCAAAGAAGTGCAATTATCCCCTTGCAGTTTCTACAAAAAGAGTGTTTCAAACCTGAACTATCAAAGAAAGGTTCCACACTGTGAGTTGAATGCAGACATCACGAAGAAGGTTCTGAGAATGCTTCTGTTTAGTCAGCTGAAATTATCCCGTTTCCAACGAATTCCTCAGAGAGGTCCAAATATGCACTTGCAGATTCTGCAGAAAGTGTGTTTCTAAACTGCTACATCGCAAGGAATGTTCAGCTCTGTGAGTTCCACTCAATCATCCCAAAGAATTTTCTGAGAAAGCTTCTGTCTAGATGTCGTGTGAAGATATACCCGTTTCGAACGAAGGACACAGAGTGGTCCAAATATCCACTTGTAGATCCTGCAAAAAGAGTGTTTCAAACGTGAACTTTGAAAGGAAAGTTCAACTCTGGGATTTGAATGCAAACATCACAAAGAAGATTCTGAGACTGCTTCTGTATAGTTTTTATGTGAAGATGATTCCGTTTCCAACGAAATCTTCAAAGAGGTCTACATGTCCCCTTGCAGATGCCACAGAAAGAGAGTTTCAAAACTGCGCTCTCAAAAGGAGTGTTCAACTCCGTGAGTTGAATGCAGTCATCACAGAGAAGCTTCTGAGAATGCTTCTATCTAGTATTTAGGTGAAGATATTTCCTTTTCCACCACAAACCACAAAGCCCTCCAAACGTCCACTTGCAGATTCTAGAAAAAGAGTGTTTCATAGCTGCTCTTTCCAAAGGAAAGTTCAACTCTGGGAGTTGAATACAAACATCACCAAAAAGTTCCTGAGAATGCATCTGTCTAGTTTTTCTATGAAGCTATTCCCTTTACTACCATAGGCCTCAAAGCGCTCCAAATCTCCACTTGCACATTCCACAACAAGAGTGTTTCCAAACTGCTCTATCAATAGGAATGTTCAACTCTGTGAGGTGAATGCAATCATCACAAAGCAGTTTCTGAGAATGCTTCCGTTTAGTTAGGTGCAGTTATCCCGTTTCCAACGAAATCCTCAGAGAGGTCCAAATATCCACTTGTAGATTCTACAAAAAGTGTGTCTCAAACCTGCTCCATCCAAAGGAATGGTCAGCTCTGTGATTTAAACTCAATCATCACAAAGTATTTTCTGAGAATGCTTCTGTCTAGATTTTATGCGAAGATATACCCGTTTCGAACGAAGGCCACAGAGTGGTCCAAATAGCCACTTGCAGATCCTACAGAAAGAGTGTTTCAAACCTGAACTATCAAAGGAAGGTTCAACTCTGGGATTTGAATGCAAACATCACCAAGAAGTTTCTGAGAATGCTTCTGTTTAGTTTTTATGTGAAGATATTCCCGTTTCCAAAGACATCTTCGGAGAGGTCCACATATCCACTTGCAGATTCCACAAAAAGAGAGTTTCAACACTGCTCTATCCATAGGAGGGTTCAACTCTGTGAGTTGAATGCAATCATCACAGAGAAGTTTCTGAGAAGGCTTCTCTCCAGTTTTTATGTGACCATAATTCGTTTTCCACCACAGGCCTGAAAGCGCTCCAAATGTCCACTTGCAGACACTACGAAAAGCATGTTTCAGAACTACTCTATGAAAAGCAACGTGAAACTCTGGGAGTTGAACACAAACATCACAGAGAAGTTTCTGAGAATGCTTCTGTTTTAGTTCTGTGCGTTTTATCCCGTTTCCAACGAAATCCTCAGAGAGGCCCAAATATCCACTTGCAGATTCCACAGAAAGAGTGATTGGAAACTGCTGTTTGAAAAGGAACCTTCAACTCTGTGAGTTGAATGCAATCATCACAAAGAAGTTTCTGACAATGCTTCTGTTTTAGTTCTGTGCGGTTTATCCCGTTTCCAACGAAATCCTCAGAGAGGACCAAACATCCACTTGCAGTTTCTACAAAAAGAGTGTTTCAAAGCTGCACTATCAAAGAAAGGTTCAGCACTGTGAGTTGAATGCAAACATCACGAAGAGGGCTCTGAGAATTCTTCTGTTTAGTTCTGTGCGGTTTATCCCGTTTCCAACGAAATCCTCAGAGAGGACCAAATATCCACTTGCAGTTTCTACAAGAAGAGTGTTTCAAAGCTGAACTATCAAAGAAAGGTTCAGCACTGTGAGTTGAATGCAAACATCACGAAGAGGGTTCTGAGAATGCTTCTGTCTTCTTTCTATAGGAAGTTATTTCCTTTACTACGGTAGGCCTCAAAGAAGTGCAATTATCCCCTTGCAGTTTCTACAAAAAGAGTGTTTCAAACCTGAACTATCAAAGAAAGGTTCCACACTGTGAGTTGAATGCAGACATCACGAAGAAGGTTCTGAGAATGCTTCTGTTTAGTCAGCTGAAATTATCCCGTTTCCAACGAATTCCTCAGAGAGGTCCAAATATGCACTTGCAGATTCTGCAGAAAGTGTGTTTCTAAACTTCTACATCGCAAGGAATGTTCAGCTCTGTGAGTTCCACTCAATCATCCCAAAGAATTTTCTGAGAAAGCTTCTGTCTAGATGTCATGTGAAGATATACCCGTTTCGATCGAAGGACACAGAGTGGTCCAAATATCCACTTGTAGATCCTGCAAAAAGAGTGTTTCAAACGTGAACTTTGAAAGGAAAGTTCAACTCGGGGATTTGAATGCAAACATCACAAAGAAGATTCTGAGATTGCTTCTGTGTAGTTTTTATGTGAAGATGATTCCGTTTCCAACGAAATCTTCAAAGAGGTCTACATGTCCCCTTGCAGATGCCACAGAAAGAGAGTTTCAAAACTGCGCTCTCAAAAGGAGTGTTCAACTCCGTGAGTTGAATGCAGTCATCACAGAGAAGCTTCTGAGGATGCTTCTATCTAGTATTTAGGTGAAGATATTTCCTTTTCCACCACAAACCACAAAGCCCTCCAAACGTCCACTTGCAGATTCTAGAAAAACAGTGTTTCATAGCTGCTCTTTCCAAAGGAAAGTTCAACTCTGGGAGTTGAATACAAACATCACCAAAAAGTTCCTGAGAATGCATCTGTCTAGTTTTTCTATGAAGCTATTCCCTTTACTACCACAGGCCTCAAAGCGCTCCAAATCTCCACTTGCACATTCCACAACAAGAGTGTTTCCAAACTGCTCTATCAATAGGAATGTTCAACTCTGTGAGGTGAATGCAATCATCACAAAGCAGTTTCTGAGAATGCTTCCGTTTAGTTAGGTGCAGTTATCCCGTTTCCAACGAAATCCTCAGAGAGGTCCAAATATCCACTTGTAGATTCTACAAAAAGTGTGTCTCAAACCTGCTCCATCCAAAGGAATGTTCAGCTCTGTGAGTTCAACTCAATCATCACAAAGTATTTTCTGAGAATGCTTCTGTCTAGATTTTATGCGAAGATATACCCGTTTCGAACGAAGGCCACAGAGTGGTCCAAATATCCACTTGCAGATCCTACAAAAAGAGTGTTTCAAACCTGAACTATCAAAGGAAGGTTCAACTCTGGGATTTGAATGCAAACATCACCAAGAAGTTTCTGAGAATGCTTCTGTTTAGTTTTTATGTGAAGATATTCCCGTTTCCAAAGACATCTTCGGAGAGGTCCACGTATCCACTTGCAGATTCCACAAAAAGAGAGTTTCAACACTGCTCTATCCATAGGAGGGTTCAACTCTGTGAGTTGAATGCAATCATCACAGAGAAGTTTCTGAGAAGGCTTCTCTCCAGTTTTTATGTGACCATAATTCGTTTTCCACCACAGGCCTGAAAGCGCTCCAAATGTCCACTTGTAGACACTACGAAAAGCATGTTTCAGAACTACTCTATGAAAAGCAATGTGAAACTCTGGGAGTTGAACACAAACATCACAGAGAAGTTTCTGAGAATGCTTCTGTTTAGCTTTCCTGTGAAGATTCTCCCGTTTCCAACGAAATCTTCAAAATAGGTCCAAATATCCACTTGCAGATTCCACAGAAAGAGTGATTGGAAACTGCTCTTTGAAAAGGAACCTTCAACTCTGTGAGTTGAATGCAATCATCACAAAGAAGTTTCTGACAATGCTTCTATCTAGCTTTTACGGGAAGATAATTCCTTTTCCACCACAGGCCTCAAAGCCCTCCAAATGTCCACTTGCAGATTCTGGAGAAAGAGTGTTTCAAAGCTTCTCTCTCGAAAGGAAAGTTCAACTCTGTGAGTTGAATGCAAGCATCACAAAGAAGTTTCTGAGAATGCTACTGTCTAGCTTTTATATGAAGCTATTTCCTTTACTACCATAGGCCTCAAAGCGGTCCATATCTCCACTTGCAGATTCTACACAAAGAGAGTTTCCAAACTGCTCTGTCAAAGGGAATGTTCAACTCTGTGACTTGAATGCAATCATCACAAAGTAGTTTCTGAGAATGCTTCTGTTTAGTTCTGTGCGGTTTATCCCGTTTCCAACGAAATCCTCAGAGAGGCCTAAATATCCACTTGCACATTCTACAAATAGTGTGTTTCGAAACTGCTCCATCCAAAGGAATGTTCAGCTCTGTGAGTTAAACTCAGTCGTCACCAAGAGTTTTCTGTGAATGCTTCTGTTTTAGTTCTGTGCGGGTTATCCCGTTTCCAACGAAATCCTCAGAGAGGTCCAAATATCTACTTGCAGTTTCTACAGAAAGACCGTTTCAAACCTGAACTATCAAAGAAAGGTTCAACACTGTGAGTTGAATGCAAACATCACGAAGAAGGTTCTGAGAATGCTTCTGTTTTAGTTCTGTGCGGTTTATCCCGTTTCCAACGAAATCCTCAGCAGAGGACCAAACATCCACTTGCAGTTTCTACAAAAAGAGTGTTTCAAAGCTGCACTATCAAAGAAAGGTTCAGCACTGTGAGTTGAATGCAAACATCACGAAGAGGGCTCTGAGAATTCTTCTGTCTTCTTTCTATAGGAAGTTATTTCCTTTACTACGGTAGGCCTCAAAGAAGTGCAATTATCCCCTTGCAGTTTCTACAAAAAGAGTGTTTCAAACCTGAACTATCAAAGAAAGGTTCCACACTGTGAGTTGAATGCAGACATCACGAAGAAGTTCTGAGAATGCTTCTGTTTAGTCAGCTGAAATTATCCCGTTTCCAACGAATTCCTCAGAGAGGTCCAAATATGCACTTGCAGATTCTGCAGAAAGTGTGTTTCTAAACTGCTACATCGCAAGGAATGTTCAGCTCTGTGAGTTCCACTCAATCATCCCAAAGAATTTTCTGAGAAAGCTTCTGTCTAGATGTCGTGTGAAGATATACCCGTTTCGAACGAAGGACACAGAGTGGTCCAAATATCCACTTGTAGATCCTGCAAAAAGAGTGTTTCAAACGTGAACTTTGAAAGGAAAGTTCAACTCTGGGATTTGAATGCAAACATCACAAAGAAGATTCTGAGACTGCTTCTGTATAGTTTTTATGTGAAGATGATTCCGTTTCCAACGAAATCTTCAAAGAGGTCTACATGTCCCCTTGCAGATGCCACAGAAAGAGAGTTTCAAAACTGCGCTCTCAAAAGGAGTGTTCAACTCCGTGAGTTGAATGCAGTCATCACAGAGAAGCTTCTGAGAATGCTTCTATCTAGTATTTAGGTGAAGATATTTCCTTTTCCACCACAAACCACAAAGCCCTCCAAACGTCCACTTGCAGATTCTAGAAAAAGAGTGTTTCATAGCTGCTCTTTCCAAAGGAAAGTTCAACTCTGGGAGTTGAATACAAACATCACCAAAAAGTTCCTGAGAATGCATCTGTCTAGTTTTTCTATGAAGCTATTACCTTTACTACCATAGGCCTCAAAGCGCTCCAAATCTCCACTTGCACATTCCACAACAAGAGTGTTTCCAAACTGCTCTATCAATAGGAATGTTCAACTCTGTGAGGTGAATGCAATCATCACAAAGCAGTTTCTGAGAATGCTTCCGTTTAGTTAGGTGCAGTTATCCCGTTTCCAAAGAAATCCTCAGAGAGGTCCAAATATCCACTTGTAGATTCTACAAAAAGTGTGTCTCAAACCTGCTCCATCCAAAGGAATGTTCAGCTCTGTGAGTTCAACTCAATCATCACAAAGTATTTTCTGAGAATGCTTCTGTCTAGATTTTATGCGAAGATGTACCCGTTTCGAACGAAGGCCACAGAGTGGTGCAAATATACACTTGCAGATCCTACAAAAAGAGTGTTTCAAACCTGAACTCTCAAAGGAAGGTTCAACTCTGGGATTTGAATGCAAACATCACCAAGAAGTTTCTGAGAATGCTTCTGTTTAGTTTTTATGTGAAGATATTCCCGTTTCCAAAGACATCTTCGGAGAGGTCCACATATCCGCTTGCAGATTCCACAAAAAGAGAGTTTCAACACTGCTCTATGCATAGGAGGGTTCAACTCTATGAGTTGAATGCAATCATCACAGAGAAGTTTCTGAGAAGGCTTCTCTCCAGTTTTTATGTGACCATAATTCGTTTTCCACCACAGGCCTGAAAGCGCTCCAAATGTCCACTTGCAGACACTATGAAAAGCATGTTTCAGAACTACTCTATGAGAAGCAATGTGAAACTCTGGGAGTTGAACACAAATATCACAGAGAAGTTTCTGAGAATGCTTCTGTTTAGCTTTTCTGTGAAGATTCTCCCGTTTCCAACGAAATCTTCAAAGAGGTCCAAATATCCACTTGCAGATTCCACAGAAAGAGTGATTGGAAACTGCTCTTTGAAAAGGAACCTTCAACTCTGTGACTTGAATGCAATCATCACAAAGAAGTTTCTGACAATGCTTCCATCTAGGCTTTTACGGGAAGATAATTCCTTTTCCACCACAGGCCTCAAAGCCCTCCAAATGTCCAATTGCAGATTCTGGAAAAAGAGTGTTTCAAAGCTTCTCTCTCGAAAGGAAAGTTCAACTCTGTGAGTTGAATGCAAGCATCACAAAGAAGTTTCTGAGAAGGCTACTGTCTAGCTTTTATATGAAGCTATTTCCTTTACTACCATAGGCCTCAAAGCGGTCCATATCTCCACTTGCAGATTCTACACAAAGAGAGTTTCCAAACTGCTCTGTCAAAGGGAATGTTCAACTCTGTGACTTGAATGCAATCATCACAAAGTAGTTTCTGAGAATGCTTCTGTTTAGTTCTGTGCGGTTTATCCCGTTTCCAACGAAATCCTCAGAGAGGCCCACATATCCACTTGAACATTCTACCAATAGTGTGTTTCGAAACTGCTCCATCCAAAGGAATGTTCAGCTCTGTGAGTTAAACTCAGTCGTCACCAAGAGTTTTCTGTGAATGCTTCTGTTTTAGTTCTGTGCGGGTTATCCCGTTTCCAACGAAATCCTCAGAGAGGTCCAAATATCTACTTGCAGTTTCTACAGAAAGACCGTTTCAAACCTGAACTATCAAAGAAAGGTTCAACACTGTGAGTTGAATGCAAACATCACGAAGAAGGTTCTGAGAATGCTTTCTGTTTAGTTCTGTGCAGTTTATCCCGTTTCCAACGAAATCCTCAGAGAGGACCAAATATCCACTTGCAGTTTCTACAAAAAGAGTGTTTCAAAGCTGAACTATCAAAGAAAGGTTCAGCACTGTGAGTTGAATGCAAACATCACGAAGAGGGTTCTGAGAATGCTTCTGTCTTCTTTTTATAGGAAGTTATTTCCTTTACTACGGTACTCCTCAAAGAGTGCAATTATCCCCTTGCAGTTTCTACAGAAAGAGTGTTTCAAACCTGAACTATCAAAGAAAGGTTCCACACTGTGAGTTGAATGCAGACATCACGAAGAAGGTTCTGAGAATGCTTCTGTTTAGTCAGCTGAAATTATCCCGTTTCCAACGAATTCCTCACAGAGGTCCAAATATGCACTTGCAGATTCTGCAGAAAGTGTGTTTCTAAACTGCTACATCGCAAGGAATGCTCAGCTCTGTGAGTTCAACTCAATCATCCCAAAGAATTTTCTGAGAAAGCTTCTGTCTAGATGTCATGTGAAGATATACCCGTTTCGAACGAAGGACACAGAGTGGTCCAAATATCCACTTGTAGATCCTGCAAAAAGAGTGTTTCAAACGTGAACTTTGAAAGGAAAGTTCAACTCGGGGATTTGAATGCAAACATCACAAAGAAGATTCTGAGACTGCTTCTGTGTAGTTTTTATGTGAAGATGATTCCGTTTCCAACGAAATCTTCAAAGAGGTCTACATGTCCCCTTGCAGATGCCACAGAAAGAGAGTTTCAAAACTGCGCTCTCAAAAGGAGTGTTCAACTCCGTGAGTTGAATGCAGTCATCACAGAGAAGCTTCTGAGGATGCTTCTATCTAGTATTTAGGTGAAGATATTTCCTTTTCCACCACAAACCACAAAGCCCTCCAAACGTCCACTTGCAGATTCTAGAAAAACAGTGTTTCATAGCTGCTCTTTCCAAAGGAAAGTTCAACTCTGGGAGTTGAATACAAACATCACCAAAAAGTTCCTGAGAATGCATCTGTCTAGTTTTTCTATGAAGCTATTCCCTTTACTACCATAGGCCTCAAAGCACTCCAAATCTCCACTTGCACATTCCACAACAAGAGTGTTTCCAAACTGCTCTATCAATAGGAATGTTCAACTCTGTGAGGTGAATGCAATCATCACAAAGCAGTTTCTGAGAATGCTTCCGTTTAGTTAGGTGCAGTTATCC
This sequence comes from Homo sapiens, assembly GCF_000001405.40. Classification (NCBI taxonomy): domain Eukaryota; kingdom Metazoa; phylum Chordata; class Mammalia; order Primates; family Hominidae; genus Homo; species Homo sapiens. The sequence continues at coordinate 23,481,744 of NC_000017.11, read as the reverse complement.
CGTTTCCAACGAAATCCTCAGAGAGGTCCAAATATCCACTTGTAGATTCTACAAAAAGTGTGTCTCAAACCTGCTCCATCCAAAGGAATGTTCAGCTCTGTGAGTTCAACTCAATCATCACAAAGTATTTTCTGAGAATGCTTCTGTCTAGATTTTATGCGAAGATATACCCGTTTTGAAAGAATGCCACAGAGTGGTCCAAATAGCCACTTGCAGATCCTACAAAAAGAGTGTTTCAAACCTGAACTATCAAAGGAAGGTTCAACTCTGGGATTTGAATGCAAACATCACCAAGAAGTTTCTGAGAATCCTTCCGTTTAGTTTTTATGTGAAGATATTCCCGTTTCCAAAGACATCTTCAAAGAGGTCCACATATCCACTTGCAGATTCCACAAAAAGAGAGTTTCAACACTGCTCTATCCATAGGAGGGTTCAACTCTGTGAGTTGAATGCAATCATCACAGAGAAGTTTCTGAGAAGGCTTCTCTCCAGTTTTTATGTGACCATAATTCGTTTTCCACCACAGGCCTGGAAGCGCTCCAAATGTCCACTTGTAGACACTACGAAAAGCATGTTTCAGAACTACTCTATGAAAAGCAATGTGAAACTCTGGGAGTTGAACACAAACATCACAGAGAAGTTTCTGAGAATGCTTCTGTTTAGCTTTTCTGTGAAGATTATCCCGTTTCCAACGAAATCTTCAAAATAGGTCGAAATATCCACTTGCAGATTCCACAGAAAGAGTGATTGGAAACTGCTCTTTGAAAAGGAACCTTCAACTCTGTGAGTTGAATGCAATCATCACAAAGAAGTTTCTGACAATGCTTCTATCTAGCTTTTACGGGAAGATAATTCCTTTTCCACCACAGGCCTCAAAGCCCTCCAAATGTCCACTTGCAGATTCTGGAAAAAGAGTGTTTCAAAGCTTCTCTCTCGAAAGGAAAGTTCAACTCTGTGAGTTGAATGCAAGCATCACAAAGAAGTTTCTGAGAATGCTACTGTCTAGCTTTTATATGAAGCTATTTCCTTTACTACCATAGGCCTCAAAGCGGTCCATATCTCCACTTGCAGATTCTACACAAAGAGAGTTTCCAAACTGCTCTGTCAAAGGGAATGTTCAACTCTGTGACTTGAATGCAATCATCACAAAGTAGTTTCTGAGAATGCTTCTGTTTAGTTCTGTGCGGTTTATCCCGTTTCCAACGAAATCCTCAGGAGAGGCCCAAATATCCACTTGCACATTCTACAAATAGTGTGTTTCGAAACTGCTCCATCCAAAGGAATGTTCAGCTCTGTGAGTTAAACTCAGTCGTCACCAAGAGTTTTCTGTGAATGCTTCTGTTTTAGTTCTGTGCGGGTTATCCCGTTTCCAACGAAATCCTCAGAGAGGTCCAAATATCTACTTGCAGTTTCTACAGAAAGACCGTTTCAAACCTGAACTATCAAAGAAAGGTTCAACACTGTGAGTTGAATGCAAACATCACGAAGAAGGTTCTGAGAATGCTTTCTGTTTAGTTCTGTGCGGTTTATCCCGTTTCCAACGAAATCCTCAGAGAGGACCAAATATACACTTGCAGTTTCTACAAAAAGAGTGTTTCAAAGCTGAACTATCAAAGAAAGGTTCAGCACTGTGAGTTGAATGCAAACATCACGAAGAGGGTTCTGAGAATGCTTCTGTCTTCTTTTTATAGGAAGTTATTTCCTTTACTACGGTACTCCTCAAAGAGTGCAATTATCCCCTTGCAGTTTCTACAAAAAGAGTGTTTCAAACCTGAACTATCAAAGAAAGGTTCCACACTGTGAGTTGAATGCAGACATCACGAAGAAGGTTCTGAGAATGCTTCTGTTTAGTCAGCTGAAATTATCCCGTTTCCAACGAATTCCTCAGAGAGGTCCAAATATGCACTTGCAGATTCTGCAGAAAGTGTGTTTCTAAACTGCTACATCGCAAGGAATGCTCAGCTCTGTGAGTTCAACTCAATCATCCCAAAGAATTTTCTGAGAAAGCTTCTGTCTAGATGTCATGTGAAGATATACCCGTTTCGAACGAAGGACACAGAGTGGTCCAAATATCCACTTGTAGATCCTGCAAAAAGAGTGTTTCAAACGTGAACTTTGAAAGGCAAGTTCAACTCTGGGATTTGAATGCAAACATCACAAAGAAGATTCTGAGACTGCTTCTGTATAGTTTTTATGTGAAGATGATTCCGTTTCCAACGAAATCTTCAAAGAGGTCTACATGTCCCCTTGCAGATGCCACAGAAAGAGAGTTTCAAAACTGCGCTCTCAAAAGGAGTGTTCAACTCCGTGAGTTGAATGCAGTCATCACAGAGAAGCTTCTGAGGATGCTTCTATCTAGTATTTAGGTGAAGATATTTCCTTTTCCCCACAAACCACAAAGCCCTCCAAACGTCCACTTGCAGATTCTAGAAAAACAGTGTTTCATAGCTGCTCTTTCCAAAGGAAAGTTCAACTCTGGGAGTTGAATACAAACATCACCAAAAAGTTCCTGAGAATGCATCTGTCTAGTTTTTCTATGAAGCTATTCCCTTTACTACCACAGGCCTCAAAGCGCTTCCAAATCTCCACTTGCACATTCCACAACAAGAGTGTTTCCAAACTGCTCTATCAATAGGAATGTTCAACTCTGTGAGGTGAATGCAATCATCACAAAGCAGTTTCTGAGAATGCTTCCGTTTAGTTAGGTGCAGTTATCCCGTTTCCAACGAAATCCTCAGAGAGGTCCAAATATCCACTTGTAGATTCTACAAAAAGTGTGTCTCAAACCTGCTCCATCCAAAGGAATGGTCAGCTCTGTGATTTAAACTCAATCATCACAAAGTATTTTCTGAGAATGCTTCTGTCTAGATTTTATGCGAAGATATACCCGTTTCGAACGAAGGCCACAGAGTGGTCCAAATAGCCACTTGCAGATCCTACAGAAAGAGTGTTTCAAACCTGAACTATCAAAGGAAGGTTCAACTCTGGGATTTGAATGCAAACATCACCAAGAAGTTTCTGAGAATGCTTCTGTTTAGTTTTTATGTGAAGATATTCCCGTTTCCAAAGACATCTTCGGAGAGGTCCACATATCCACTTGCAGGTTCCACAAAAAGAGAGTTTCAACACTGCTCTATCCATAGGAGGGTTCAACTCTGTGAGTTGAATGCAATCATCACAGAGAAGTTTCTGAGAAGGCTTCTCTCCAGTTTTTATGTGACCATAATTCGTTTTCCACCACAGGCCTGAAAGCGCTCCAAATGTCCACTTGCAGACACTACGAAAAGCATGTTTCAGAACTACTCTATGAAAAGCAACGTGAAACTCTGGGAGTTGAACACAAACATCACAGAGAAGTTTCTGAGAATGCTTCTGTTTTAGTTCTGTGCGTTTTATCCCGTTTCCAACGAAATCCTCAGAGAGGCCCAAATATCCACTTGCAGATTCCACAGAAAGAGTGATTGGAAACTGCTGTTTGAAAAGGAACCTTCAACTCTGTGAGTTGAATGCAATCATCACAAAGAAGTTTCTGACAATGCTTCTGTTTTAGTTCTGTGCGGTTTATCCCGTTTCCAACGAAATCCTCAGAGAGGACCAAACATCCACTTGCAGTTTCTACAAAAAGAGTGTTTCAAAGCTGCACTATCAAAGAAAGGTTCAGCACTGTGAGTTGAATGTAAACATCACGAAGAGGGCTCTGAGAATGCTTCTGTCTTCTTTCTATAGGAAGTTATTTCCTTTACTACGGTAGGCCTCAAAGAAGTGCAATTATCCCCTTGCAGTTTCTACAAAAAGAGTGTTTCAAACCTGAACTATCAAAGAAAGGTTCCACACTGTGAGTTGAATGCAGACATCACGAAGAAGGTTCTGAGAATGCTTCTGTTTAGTCAGCTGAAATTATCCCGTTTCCAACGAATTCCTCAGAGAGGTCCAAATATGCACTTGCAGATTCTGCAGAAAGTGTGTTTCTAAACTGCTCCATCGCAAGGAATGTTCAGCTCTGTGAGTTCCACTCAATCATCCCAAAGAATTTTCTGAGAAAGCTTCTGTCTAGATGTCGTGTGAAGATATACCCGTTTCGAACGAAGGACACAGAGTGGTCCAAATATCCACTTGTAGATCCTGCAAAAAGAGTGTTTCAAACGTGAACTTTGAAAGGAAAGTTCAACTCTGGGATTTGAATGCAAACATCACAAAGAAGATTCTGAGACTGCTTCTGTATAGTTTTTATGTGAAGATGATTCCGTTTCCAACGAAATCTTCAAAGAGGTCTACATGTCCCCTTGCAGATGCCACAGAAAGAGAGTTTCAAAACTGCGCTCTCAAAAGGAGTGTTCAACTCCGTGAGTTGAATGCAGTCATCACAGAGAAGCTTCTGAGAATGCTTCTGTCTAGTATTTAGGTGAAGATATTTCCTTTTCCACCACAAACCACAAAGCCCTCCAAACGTCCACTTGCAGATTCTAGAAAAAGAGTGTTTCATAGCTGCTCTTTCCAAAGGAAAGTTCAACTCTGGGAGTTGAATACAAACATCACCAAAAAGTTCCTGAGAATGCATCTGTCTAGTTTTTCTATGAAGCTATTCCCTTTACTACCATAGGCCTCAAAGCGCTCCAAATCTCCACTTGCACATTCCACAACAAGAGTGTTTCCAAACTGCTCTATCAATAGGAATGTTCAACTCTGTGAGGTGAATGCAATCATCACAAAGCAGTTTCTGAGAAAGCTTCCGTTTAGTTAGGTGCAGTTATCCCGTTTCCAACGAAATCCTCAGAGAGGTCCAAATATCCACTTGTAGATTCTACAAAAAGTGTGTCTCAAACCTGCTCCATCCAAAGGAATGTTCAGCTCTGTGATTTAAACTCAATCATCACAAAGTATTTTCTGAGAATGCTTGTGTCTAGATTTTATGCGAAGATATACCCGTTTCGAACGAAGGCCACAGAGTGGTCCAAATAGCCACTTGCAGATCCTACAAAAAGAGTGTTTCAAACCTGAACTATCAAAGGAAGGTTCAACTCTGGGATTTGAATGCAAACATCACCAAGAAGTTTCTGAGAATGCTTCTGTTTAGTTTTTATGTGAAGATATTCCCGTTTCCAAAGACATCTTCGGAGAGGTCCACATATCCACTTGCAGATTCCACAAAAAGAGAGTTTCAACACTGCTCTATCCATAGGAGGGTTCAACTCTGTGAGTTGAATGCAATCATCACAGAGAAGTTTCTGAGAAGGCTTCTCTCCAGTTTTTATGTGACCATAATTCGTTTTCCACCACAGGCCTGAAAGCGCTCCAAATGTCCACTTGCAGACACTACGAAAAGCATGTTTCAGAACTACTCTATGAAAAGCAACGTGAAACTCTGGGAGTTGAACACAAACATCACAGAGAAGTTTCTGAGAATGCTTCTGTTTTAGTTCTGTGCGTTTTATCCCGTTTCCAACGAAATCCTCAGAGAGGCCCAAATATCCACTTGCAGATTCCACAGAAAGAGTGATTGGAAACTGCTGTTTGAAAAGGAACCTTCAACTCTGTGAGTTGAATGCAATCATCACAAAGAAGTTTCTGACAATGCTTCTGTTTTAGTTCTGTGCGGTTTATCCCGTTTCCAACGAAATCCTCAGAGAGGACCAAATATCCACTTGCAGTTTCTACAAAAAGAGTGTTTCAAAGCTGCACTATCAAAGAAAGGTTCAGCACTGTGAGTTGAATGCAAACATCACGAAGAGGGCTCTGAGAATTCTTCTGTTTAGTTCTGTGCGGTTTATCCCGTTTCCAACGAAATCCTCAGAGAGGACCAAATATCCACTTGCAGTTTCTACAAGAAGAGTGTTTCAAAGCTGAACTATCAAAGAAAGGTTCAGCACTGTGGGTTGAATGCAAACATCACGAAGAGGGTTCTGAGAATGCTTCTGTCTTCTTTCTATAGGAAGTTATTTCCTTTACTACGGTAGGCCTCAAAAAAGTGCAATTATCCCCTTGCAGTTTCTACAAAAAGAGTGTTTCAAACCTGAACTATCAAAGAAAGGTTCCACACTGTGAGTTGAATGCAGACATCACGAAGAAGGTTCTGAGAATGCTTCTGTTTAGTCAGCTGAAATTATCCCGTTTCCAACGAATTCCTCAGAGAGGTCCAAATATGCACTTGCAGATTCTGCAGAAAGTGTGTTTCTAAACTGCTACATCGCAAGGAATGTTCAGCTCTGTGAGTTCCACTCAATCATCCCAAAGAATTTTCTGAGAAAGCTTCTGTCTAGATGTCATGTGAAGATATACCCGTTTCGAACGAAGGACACAGAGTGGTCCAAATATCCACTTGTAGATCCTGCAAAAAGAGTGTTTCAAACGTGAACTTTGAAAGGAAAGTTCAACTCTGGGATTTGAATGCAAACATCACAAAGAAGATTCTGAGACTGCTTCTGTATAGTTTTTATGTGAAGATGATTCCGTTTCCAACGAAATCTTCAAAGAGGTCTACATGTCCCCTTGCAGATGCCACAGAAAGGGAGTTTCAAAACTGCGCTCTCAAAAGGAGTGTTCAAATCCGTGAGTTGAATGCAGTCATCACAGAGAAGCTTCTGAGAATGCTTCTCTCTAGTATTTAGGTGAAGATATTTCCTTTTCCACCACAAACCACAAAGCCCTCCAAACGTCCACTTGCAGATTCTAGAAAAAGAGTGTTTCATAGCTGCTCTTTCCAAAGGAAAGTTCAACTCTGGGAGTTGAATACAAACATCACCAAAAAGTTCCTGAGAATGCATCTGTCTAGTTTTTCTATGAAGCTATTCCCTTTACTACCATAGGCCTCAAAGCGCTCCAAATCTCCACTTGCACATTCCACAACAAGAGTGTTTCCAAACTGCTCTATCAATAGGAATGTTCAACTCTGTGAGGTGAATGCAATCATCACAAAGCAGTTTCTGAGAATGCTTCCGTTTAGTTAGGTGCAGTTATCCCGTTTCCAACGAAATCCTCAGAGAGGTCCAAATATCCACTTGTAGATTCTACAAAAAGTGTGTCTCAAACCTGCTCCATCCAAAGGAATGTTCAGCTCTGTGAGTTCAACTCAATCATCACAAAGTATTTTCTGAGAATGCTTCTGTCTAGATTTTATGCGAAGATATACCCGTTTCGAACGAAGGCCACAGAGTGGTCCAAATAGCCACTTGCAGATCCTACAAAAAGAGTGTTTCAAACCTGAACTATCAAAGGAAGGTTCAACTCTGGGATTTGAATGCAAACATCACCAAGAAGTTTCTGAGAATGCTTCTGTTTAGTTTTTATGTGAAGATATTCCCGTTTCCAAAGACATCTTCGGAGAGGTCCACATATCCACTTGCAGATTCCACAAAAAGAGAGTTTCAACACTGCTCTATCCATAGGAGGGTTCAACTCTGTGAGTTGAATGCAATCATCACAGAGAAGTTTCTGAGAAGGCTTCTCTCCAGTTTTTCTGTGACCATAATTCGTTTTCCACCACAGGCCTGAAAGCGCTCCAAATGTCCACTTGCAGACACTACGAAAAGCATGTTTCAGAACTACTCTATGAAAAGCAACGTGAAACTCTGGGAGTTGAACACAAACATCACAGAGAAGTTTCTGAGAATGCTTCTGTTTAGCTTTTCTGTGAAGATTCTCCCGTTTCCAACGAAATCTTCAAAGAGGTCGAAATATCCACTTGCAGATTCCACAGAAAGAGTGATTGGAAACTGCTGTTTGAAAAGGAACCTTCAACTCTGTGAGTTGAATGCAATCATCACAAAGAAGTTTCTGACAATGCTTCTATCTAGCTTTTACGGGAAGATAATTCCTTTTCCACCCCAGGCCTCAAAGCTCCCCAAATGTCCACTTGCACATTCTGGAAAAAGAGTGTTTCAAAGCTTCTCTCTCGAAAGGAAAGTTCAACTCTGTGAGTTGAATGCAAGCATCACAAAGAAGTTTCTGAGAATGCTACTGTCTAGCTTTTATATGAAGCTATTTCCTTTACTACCATAGGCCTCAAAGCGGTCCATATCTCCACTTGCAGATTCTACACAAAGAGAGTTTCCAAACTGCTCTGTCAAAGGGAATGTTCAACTCTGTGACTTGAATGCAATCATCACAAAGTAGTTTCTGAGAATGCTTCTGTTTTAGTTCTGTGCGGTTTATCCCGTTTCCAACGAAATCCTCAGAGAGGCCCAAATATCCACTTGCAGATTCTACAAATAGTGTGTTTCGAAACTGCTCCATCCAAAGGAATGTCCAGCTCTGTGAGTTAAACTCAGTCGTCACCAAGAGTTTTCTGTGAATGCTTCTGTTTAGTTCTGTGTGGTTTATCCCGTTTCCAACGAAATCCTCAGAGAGGACCAAATATCCACTTGCAGTTTCTACAAAAAGAGTTTTTCAAAGCTGAACTATCAAAGAAAGTTTCAGCACTGTGAGTTGAATGCAAACATCACGAAGAGGGTTCTGAGAATGCTTCTGTCTTCTTTTTATAGGAAGTTATTTCCTTTACTACGGTAGGCCTCAAAGAAGTGCAATTATCCCCTTGCAGTTTCTACAAAAAGAGTGTTTCAAACCTGAACTATCAAAGAAAGGTTCCACACTGTGAGTTGAATGCAGACATCACGAAGAAGGTTCTGAGAATGCTTCTGTTTAGTCAGCTGAAATTATCCCGTTTCCAACGAATTCCTCAGAGAGGTCCAAATATGCAATTGCAGATTCTGCAGAAAGTGTGTTTCTAAACTGCTCCATCGCAAGAAATGTTCAGCTCTGTGAGTTCAACTCAAACATCCCAAAGAATTTTCTGAGAAAGCTTCTGTCTAGATGTCATGTGAAGATATACCCGTTTCGAACGAAGGACACAGAGTGGTCCAAATATCCACTTGTAGATCCTGCAAAAAGAGTGTTTCAAACGTGAACTTTGAAAGGAAAGTTCAACTCTGGGATTTGAATGCAAACACCACAAAGAAGATTCTGAGACTGCTTCTGTATAGTTTTTATGTGAAGATGATTCCGTTTCCAACGAAATCTTCAAAGAGGTCCACATGTCCCCTTGCGGATGCCACAGAAAGAGAGTTTCAAAACTGCGCTCTCAAAAGGAGTGTTCAACTCCGTGAGTTGAATGCAGTCATCACAGAGAAGCTTCTGAGAATGCTTCTATCTAGTATTTAGGTGAAGATATTTCCTTTTCCACCACAAACCACAAAGCCCTCCAAACGTCCACTTGCAGATTCTAGAAAAAGAGTGTTTCATAGCTGCTCTTTCCAAAGGAAAGTTCAACTCTGGGAGTTGAATACAAACATCACCAAAAAGTTCCTGAGAATGCATCTGTCTAGTTTTTCTATGAAGCTATTCCCTTTACTACCATAGGCCTCAAAGCGCTCCAAATCTCCACTTGCACATTCCACAACAAGAGTGTTTCCAAACTGCTCTATCAATAGGAATGTTCAACTCTGTGAGGTGAATGCAATCATCACAAAGCAGTTTCTGAGAATGCTTCCGTTTAGTTAGGTGCAGTTATCCCGTTTCCAACGAAATCCTCAGAGAGGTCCAAATATCCACTTGTAGATTCTACAAAAAGTGTGTCTCAAACCTGCTCCATCCAAAGGAATGTTCAGCTCTGTGATTTAAACTCAATCATCACAAAGTATTTTCTGAGAATGCTTCTGTCTAGATTTTATGCGAAGATATACCCGTTTCGAAAGAAGGCCACAGAGTGGTCCAAATATCCACTTGCAGATCCTACAAAAAGAGTGTTTCAAACCTGAACTATCAAAGGAAGGTTCAACTCTGGGATTTGAATGCAAACATCACCAAGAAGTTTCTGAGAATGCTTCTGTTTAGTTTTTATGTGAAGATATTCCCGTTTCCAAAGACATCTTCGGAGAGGTCCACATATCCACTTGCAGATTACACAAAAAGAGAGTTTCAACACTGCTCTATCCATAGGAGGGTTCAACTCTGTGAGTTGAATGCAATCATCACAGAGAAGTTTCTGAGAAGGCTTCTCTCCAGTTTTTATGTGACCATAATTCGTTTTCCACCACAGGCCTGAAAGCGCTCCAAATGTCCACTTGCAGACACTACGAAAAGCATGTTTCAGAACTACTCTATGAAAAGCAATGTGAAACTCTGGGAGTTGAACACAAACATCACAGAGAAGTTTCTGAGAATGCTTCTGTTTAGCTTTTCTGTGAAGATTCTCCCGTTTCCAACGAAATCTTCAAAGAGGTCCAAATATCCACTTGCAGATTCCACAGAAAGAGTGTTTGGAAACTGCTGTTTGTAAAGGAACCTTCATCTCTGTGAGTTGAATGCAATCATCACAAAGAAGTTTCTGACAATGCTTCTATCTAGCTTTTACGGGAAGTTAATTCCTTTTCCACCACAGGCCTCAAAGCCCTCCAAATGTCCACTTGCAGATTCTGGAAAAAGAGTGTTTCAAAGCTTCTCTCTCGAAAGGAAAGTTCAACTCTGTGAGTTGAATGCAAGCATCACAAAGAAGTTTCTGAGAATGCTACTGTCTAGCTTTTATATGAAGCTATTTCCTTTACTACCATAGGCCTCAAAGCGGTCCATATCTCCACTTGCAGATTCTACACAAAGAGAGTTTCCAAACTGCTCTGTCAAAGGGAATGTTCAACTCTGTGACTTGAATGCAATCGTCACAAAGTAGTTTCTGAGAATGCTTCTGTTTAGTTCTGTGCGGTTTATCCCGTTTCCAACGAAATCCTCAGAGAGGCCCAAATATCCACTTGCACATTCTACAAATAGTGTGTTTCGAAACTGCTCCATCCAAAGGAATGTTCAGCTCTGTGAGTTAAACTCAGTCGTCACCAAGAGTTTTCTGTGAATGCTTCTGTTTTAGTTCTGTGCGGTTTATCCCGTTTCCAACGAAATCCTCAGAGAGGTCCAAATATCTACTTGCAGTTTCTACAGAAAGACCGTTTCAAACCTGAACTATCAAAGAAAGGTTCAACACTGTGAGTTGAATGCAAACATCACGAAGAAGGTTCTGAGAATGCTTCTGTTTAGTTCTGTGCGGTTTATCCCGTTTCCAACGAAATCCTCAGAGAGGACCAAATATCCACTTGCAGTTTCTACAAGAAGAGTGTTTCAAAGCTGAACTATCAAAGAAAGGTTCAGCACTGTGAGTTGAATGCAAACATCACGAAGAGGGTCCTGAGAATGCTTCTGTCTTCTTTCTATAGGAAGTTATTTCCTTTACTACGGTAGGCCTCAAAGAAGTGCAATTATCCCCTTGCAGTTTCTACAAAAAGAGTGTTTCAAACCTGAACTATCAAAGAAAGGTTCCACACTGTAAGTTGAATGCAGACATCACGAAGAAGGTTCTGAGAATGCTTCTGTTTAGTCAGCTGAAATTATCCCGTTTCCAACGAACTCCTCAGAGAGGTCCAAATATGCACTTGCAGATTCTGCAGAAAGTGTGTTTCTAAACTGCTACATCGCAAGGAATGTTCAGCTCTGTGAGTTCCACTCAATCATCCCAAAGAATTTTCTGAGAAAGCTTCTGTCTAGCTGTCATGTGAAGATATACCCGTTTCGAACGAAGGACACAGAGTGGTCCAAATATCCACTTGTAGATCCTGCAAAAAGAGTGTTTCAAACGTGAACTTTGAAAGGAAAGTTCAACTCTGGGATTTGAATGCAAACATCACAAAGAAGATTCTGAGACTGCTTCTGTATAGTTTTGATGTGAAGATGATTCCGTTTCCAACGAAATCTTCAAAGAGGTCCACATGTCCCCTTGCGGATGCCACAGAAGGAGAGTTTCAAAACTGCGCTCTCAAAAGGAGTGTTCAACTCCGTGAGTTGAATGCAGTCATCACAGAGAAGCTTCTGAGAATGCTTCTATCTAGTATTTAGGTGAAGATATTTCCTTTTCCACCACAAACCACAAAGCCCTCCAAACGTCCACTTGCAGATTCTAGAAAAAGAGTGTTTCATAGCTGCTCTTTCCAAAGGAAAGTTCAACTCTGGGAGTTGAATACAAACATCACCAAAAAGTTCCTGAGAATGCATCTGTCTAGTTTTTCTATGAAGCTATTCCCTTTACTACCATAGACCTCAAAGCGCTCCAAATCTCCACTTGCACATTCCACAACAAGAGTGTTTCCAAACTGCTCTATCAATAGGAATGTTCAACTCTGTGAGGTGAATGCAATCATCACAAAGCAGTTTCTGAGAATGCTTCCGTTTAGTTAGGTGCAGTTATCCCGTTTCCAACGAAATCCTCAGAGAGGTCCAAATATCCACTTGTAGATTCTACAAAAAGTGTGTCTCAAACCTGCTCCATCCAAAGGAATGGTCAGCTCTGTGATTTAAACTCAATCATCACAAAGTATTTTCTGAGAATGCTTCTGTCTAGATTTTATGCGAAGATATACCCGTTTCGAACGAAGGCCACAGAGTGGTCCAAATAGCCACTTGCAGATCCTACAGAAAGAGTGTTTCAAACCTGAACTATCAAAGGAAGGTTCAACTCTGGGATTTGAATGCAAACATCACCAAGAAGTTTCTGAGAATGCTTCTGTTTAGTTTTTATGTGAAGATATTCCCGTTTCCAAAGACATCTTCGGAGAGGTCCACATATCCACTTGCAGATTCCACAAAAAGAGAGTTTCAACACTGCTCTATCCATAGGAGGGTTCAACTGCTGTGAGTTGAATGCAATCATCACAGAGAAGTTTCTGAGAAGGCTTTCTCTCCAGTTTTTATGTGACCATAATTCGTTTTCCACCACAGGCCTGAAAGCGCTCCAAATGTCCACTTGCAGACACTACGAAAAGCATGTTTCAGAACTACTCTATGAAAAGCAACGTGAAACTCTGGGAGTTGAACACAAACATCACAGAGAAGTTTCTGAGAATGCTTCTGTTTTAGTTCTGTGCGTTTTATCCCGTTTCCAACGAAATCCTCAGAGAGGCCCAAATATCCACTTGCAGATTCCACAGAAAGAGTGATTGGAAACTGCTGTTTGAAAAGGAACCTTCAACTCTGTGAGTTGAATGCAATCATCACAAAGAAGTTTCTGACAATGCTTCTGTTTTAGTTCTGTGCGGTTTATCCCGTTTCCAACGAAATCCTCAGAGAGGACCAAACATCCACTTGCAGTTTCTACAAAAAGAGTGTTTCAAAGCTGCACTATCAAAGAAAGGTTCAGCACTGTGAGTTGAATGCAAACATCACGAAGAGGGCTCTGAGAATTCTTCTGTTTAGTTCTGTGCGGTTTATCCCGTTTCCAACGAAATCCTCAGAGAGGACCAAATATCCACTTGCAGTTTCTACAAGAAGAGTGTTTCAAAGCTGAACTATCAAAGAAAGGTTCAGCACTGTGAGTTGAATGCAAACATCACGAAGAGGGTTCTGAGAATGCTTCTGTCTTCTTTCTATAGGAAGTTATTTCCTTTACTACGGTAGGCCTCAAAGAAGTGCAATTATCCCCTTGCAGTTTCTACAAAAAGAGTGTTTCAAACCTGAACTATCAAAGAAAGGTTCCACACTGTGAGTTGAATGCAGACATCACGAAGAAGGTTCTGAGAATGCTTCTGTTTAGTCAGCTGAAATTATCCCGTTTCCAACGAATTCCTCAGAGAGGTCCAAATATGCACTTGCAGATTCTGCAGAAAGTGTGTTTCTAAACTGCTACATCGCAAGGAATGTTCAGCTCTGTGAGTTCCACTCAATCATCCCAAAGAATTTTCTGAGAAAGCTTCTGTCTAGATGTCGTGTGAAGATATACCCGTTTCGAACGAAGGACACAGAGTGGTCCAAATATCCACTTGTAGATCCTGCAAAAAGAGTGTTTCAAACGTGAACTTTGAAAGGAAAGTTCAACTCTGGGATTTGAATGCAAACATCACAAAGAAGATTCTGAGACTGCTTCTGTATAGTTTTTATGTGAAGATGATTCCGTTTCCAACGAAATCTTCAAAGAGGTCTACATGTCCCCTTGCAGATGCCACAGAAAGAGAGTTTCAAAACTGCGCTCTCAAAAGGAGTGTTCAACTCCGTGAGTTGAATGCAGTCATCACAGAGAAGCTTCTGAGAATGCTTCTATCTAGTATTTAGGTGAAGATATTTCCTTTTCCACCACAAACCACAAAGCCCTCCAAACGTCCACTTGCAGATTCTAGAAAAAGAGTGTTTCATAGCTGCTCTTTCCAAAGGAAAGTTCAACTCTGGGAGTTGAATACAAACATCACCAAAAAGTTCCTGAGAATGCATCTGTCTAGTTTTTCTATGAAGCTATTCCCTTTACTACCATAGGCATCAAAGCGCACCAAATCTCCACTTGCACATTCCACAAGAAGAGTGTTTCCAAACTGCTCTATCAATAGGAATGTTTAACTCTGTGAGGTGAATGCAATCATCACAAAGCAGTTTCTGAGAATGCTTCCGTTTAGTTAGGTGCAGTTATCCCGTTTCCAACGAAATCCTCAGAGAGGTCCAAATATCCACTTGTAGATTCTACAAAAAGTGTGTCTCAAACCTGCTCCATCCAAAGGAATGTTCAGCTCTGTGAGTTAAACTCAATCATCACAAAGTATTTTCTGAGAATGCTTCTGTCTAGATTTTATGCGAAGATATACCCGTTTCGAACGAAGGCCACAGAGTGGTCCAAATATCCACTTGCAGATCCTACAAAAAGAGTGTTTCAAACCTGAACTATCAAAGGAAGGTTCAACTCTGGCATTTGAATGCAAACATCACCAAGAAGTTTCTGAGAATGCTTCTGTTTAGTTTTTATGTGAAGATATTCCCGTTTCCAAAGACATCTTCGGAGAGGTCCACATATCCACTTGCAGATTCCACAAAAAGAGAGTTTCAACACTGCTCTATCCATAGGAGGGTTCAACTCTGTGAGTTGAATGCAATCATCACAGAGAAGTTTCTGAGAAGGCTTCTCTCCAGTTTTTATGTGACCATAATTCGTTTTCCACCACAGGCCTGAAAGCGCTCCAAATGTCCACTTGTAGACACTACGAAAAGCATGTTTCAGAACTACTCTATGAAAAGCAATGTGAAACTCTGGGAGTTGAACACAAACATCACAGAGAAGTTTCTGAGAATGCTTCTGTTTAGCTTTTCTGTGAAGATTCTCCCGTTTCCAACGAAATCTTCAAAGAGGTCCAAATATCCACTTTCAGATTCCACAGAAAGAGTGATTGGAAACTGCTCTTTGAAAAGGAACCTTCAACTCTGTGTGTTGAATGCAATCATCACAAAGAAGTTTCTGACAATGCTTCTATCTAGCTTTAACGGGAAGATAATTCCTTTTCCACCACAGGCCTCAAAGCCCTCCAAATGTCCACTTGCAGATTCTGGAAAACGAGTGTTTCAAAGCTTCTCTCTCGAAAGGAAAGTTCAACTCTGTGAGTTGAATGCAAGCATCACAAAGAAGTTTCTGAGAATGCCTACTGTCTAGCTTTTATATGAAGCTATTTCCTTTACTACCATAGGCCTCA
The DNA here is from genome assembly GCF_000001405.40 of Homo sapiens. Classification (NCBI taxonomy): domain Eukaryota; kingdom Metazoa; phylum Chordata; class Mammalia; order Primates; family Hominidae; genus Homo; species Homo sapiens. The sequence goes on along the minus strand of NC_000017.11, from coordinate 23,466,274 downwards.
AAGCGGTCCATATCTCCACTTGCAGATTCTACACAAAGAGAGTTTCCAAACTGCTCTGTCAAAGGGAATGTTCAAATCTGTGACTTGAATGCAATCACCACAAAGCAGTTTCTGAGAATGCTTCTGTTTAGTTCTGTGCGGTTTATCCCGTTTCCAACGAAATCCTCAGAGAGGCCTAAATATCCACTTGCACATTCTACAAATAGTGTGTTTCGAAACTGCTCCATCCAAAGGAATGTTCAGCTCTGTGAGTTAAACTCAGTCGTCACCAAGAGTTTTCTGTGAATGCTTCTGTTTTAGTTCTGTGCGGGTTATCCCGTTTCCAACGAAATCCTCAGAGAGGTCCAAATATCTACTTGCAGTTTCTACAGAAAGACCGTTTCAAACCTGAACTATCAAAGAAAGGTTCAACACTGTGAGTTGAATGCAAACATCACGAAGAAGGTTCTGAGAATGCTTCTGTTTAGTTCTGTGCGGTTTATCCCGTTTCCAACGAAATCCTCAGAGAGGACCAAATATCCACTTGCAGTTTCTACAAGAAGAGTGTTTCAAAGCTGAACTATCAAAGAAAGGTTCAGCACTGTGAGTTGAATGCAAACATCACAGAAGAGGGTTCTGAGAATGCTTCTGTCTTCTTTTTATAGGAAGTTATTTCCTTTACTACGGTACTCCTCAAAGAGTGCAATGATCCCCTTGCAGTTTCTACAAAAAGAGTGTTTCAAACCTGAACTATCAAAGAAAGGTTCCACACTGTGAGTTGAATGCAGACATCACGAAGAAGGTTCTGAGAATGCTTCTGTTTAGTCAGCTGAAATTATCCCGTTTCCAACGAATTCCTCACAGAGGTCCAAATATGCACTTGCAGATTCTGCAGAAAGTGTGTTTCTAAACTGCTACATCGCAAGGAATGCTCAGCTCTGTGAGTTCAACTCAATCATCCCAAAGAATTTTCTGAGAAAGCTTCTGTCTAGATGTCATGTGAAGATATACCCGTTTCGAACGAAGGACACAGAGTGGTCCAAATATCCACTTGTAGATCCTGCAAAAAGAGTGTTTCAAACGTGAACTTTGAAAGGAAAGTTCAACTCGGGGATTTGAATGCAAACATCACAAAGAAGATTCTGAGACTGCTTCTGTATAGTTTTTATGTGAAGATGATTCCGTTTCCAACGAAATCTTCAAAGAGGTCTACATGTCCCCTTGCAGATGTCACAGAAAGAGAGTTTCAAAACTGCACTCTCAAAAGGAGTGTTCAACTCCGTGAGTTGAATGCAGTCATCACAGAGAAGCTTCTGAGAATGCTTCTATGCTAGTATTTAGGTGAAGATATTTCCTTTTCCACCACAAACCACAAAGCCCTCCAAACGTCCACTTGCAGATTCTAGAAAAAGAGTGTTTCATAGCTGCTCTTTCCAAAGGAAAGTTCAACTCTGGGTGTTGAATACAAACATCACCAAAAAGTTCCTGAGAATGCATCTGTCTAGTTTTTCTATGAAGCTATTCCCTTTACTACCATAGGCCTCAAAGCGCTCCAAATCTCCACTTGCACGTTCCACAACAAGAGTGTTTCCAAACTGCTCTATCAATAGGAATGTTCAACTCTGTGAGGTGAATGCAATCATCACAAAGCAGTTTCTGAGAATGCTTCCGTTTAGTTAGGTGCAGTTATCCCGTTTCCAACGAAATCCTCAGAGAGGTCCAAATATCCACTTGTAGATTCTACAAAAAGTGTGTCTCAAACCTGCTCCATCCAAAGGAATGTTCAGCTCTGTGAGTTCAACTCAATCATCACAAAGTATTTTCTGAGAATGCTTCTGTCTAGTATTTTATGCGAAGATGTACCCGTTTCGAACGAAGGCCACAGAGTGGTCCAAATATCCACTTGCAGATCCTACAAAAAGAGTGTTTCAAACCTGAACTCTCAAAGGAAGGTTCAACTCTGGGATTTGAATGCAAACATCACCAAGAAGTTTCTGAGAATGCTTCTGTTTAGTTTTATGTGAAGATATTCCCGTTTCCAAAGACATCTTCGGAGAGGTCCACATATCCACTTGCAGATTCCACAAAAAGAGAGTTTCAACACTGCTCTATCCATAGGAGGGTTCAACTCTGTGAGTTGAATGCAATCATCACAGAGAAGTTTCTGAGAAGGCTTCTCTCCAGTTTTTATGTGACCATAATTCGTTTTCCACCACAGGCCTGAAAGCGCTCCAAATGTCCACTTGCAGACACTACGAAAAGCATGTTTCAGAACTACTCTATGAGAAGCAACGTGAAACTCTGGGAGTTGAACACAAACATCACAGAGAAGTTTCTGAGAATGCTTCTGTTTAGCTTTTCTGGGAAGATTCTCCCGTTTCCAACGAAATCTTCAAAGAGGTCGAAATATCCACTTGCAGATTCCACAGAAAGAGTGATTGGAAACTGCTGTTTGAAAAGGAACCTTCAACTCTGTGAGTTGAATGCAATCATCACAAAGAAGTTTCTGACAATGCTTCTATCTAGCTTTTACGGGAAGATAATTCCTTTTCCACCCCAGGCCTCAAAGCTCCCCAAATGTCCACTTGCACATTCTGGAAAAAGAGTGTTTCAAAGCTTCTCTCTCGAAAGGAAAGTTCAACTCTGTGAGTTGAATGCAAGCATCACAAAGAAGTTTCTGAGAATGCTACTGTCTAGCTTTTATATGAAGCTATTTCCTTTACTACCATAGGCCTCAAAGCGGTCCATATCTCCACTTGCAGATTCTACACAAAGAGAGTTTCCAAACTGCTCTGTCAAAGGGAATGTTCAACTCTGTGACTTGAATGCAATCATCACAAAGTAGTTTCTGAGAATGCTTCTGTTTTAGTTCTGTGCGTTTTATCCCGTTTCCAACGAAATCCTCAGAGAGGCCCAAATATCCACTTGCAGATTCTACAAATAGTGTGTTTCGAAACTGCTCCATCCAAAGGAATGTTCAGCTCTGTGAGTTAAACTCAGTCGTCACCAAGAGTTTTCTGTGAATGCTTCTGTTTTAGTTCTGTGCGGTTTATCCCGTTTCCAACGAAATCCTCAGAGAGGACCAAACATCCACTTGCAGTTTCTACAAAAAGAGTGTTTCAAAGCTGCACTATCAAAGAAAGGTTCAGCACTGTGAGTTGAATGCAAACATCACGAAGAGGGCTCTGAGAATTCTTCTGTTTAGTTCTGTGCGGTTTATCCCGTTTCCAACGAAATCCTCAGAGAGGACCAAATATCCACTTGCAGTTTCTACAAGAAGAGTGTTTCAAAGCTGAACTATCAAAGAAAGGTTCAGCACTGTGAGTTGAATGCAAACATCACGAAGAGGGTTCTGAGAATGCTTCTGTCTTCTTTCTATAGGAAGTTATTTCCTTTACTACGGTAGGCCTCAAAGAAGTGCAATTATCCCCTTGCAGTTTCTACAAAAAGAGTGTTTCAAACCTGAACTATCAAAGAAAGGTTCCACACTGTGAGTTGAATGCAGACATCACGAAGAAGGTTCTGAGAATGCTTCTGTTTAGTCAGCTGAAATTATCCCGTTTCCAACGAATTCCTCAGAGAGGTCCAAATATGCACTTGCAGATTCTGCAGAAAGTGTGTTTCTAAACTGCTACATCGCAAGGAATGTTCAGCTCTGTGAGTTCCACTCAATCATCCCAAAGAATTTTCTGAGAAAGCTTCTGTCTAGATGTCGTGTGAAGATATACCCGTTTCGAACGAAGGACACAGAGTGGTCCAAATATCCACTTGTAGATCCTGCAAAAAGAGTGTTTCAAACGTGAACTTTGAAAGGAAAGTTCAACTCTGGGATTTGAATGCAAACATCACAAAGAAGATTCTGAGACTGCTTCTGTATAGTTTTTATGTGAAGATGATTCCGTTTCCAACGAAATCTTCAAAGAGGTCTACATGTCCCCTTGCAGATGCCACAGAAAGAGAGTTTCAAAACTGCGCTCTCAAAAGGAGTGTTCAACTCCGTGAGTTGAATGCAGTCATCACAGAGAAGCTTCTGAGAATGCTTCTATCTAGTATTTAGGTGAAGATATTTCCTTTTCCACCACAAACCACAAAGCCCTCCAAACGTCCACTTGCAGATTCTAGAAAAAGAGTGTTTCATAGCTGCTCTTTCCAAAGGAAAGTTCAACTCTGGGAGTTGAATACAAACATCACCAAAAAGTTCCTGAGAATGCATCTGTCTAGTTTTTCTATGAAGCTATTCCCTTTACTACCACAGGCCTCAAAGCGCTCCAAATCTCCACTTGCACATTCCACAACAAGAGTGTTTCCAAACTGCTCTATCAATAGGAATGTTCAACTCTGTGAGGTGAATGCAATCATCACAAAGCAGTTTCTGAGAATGCTTCCGTTTAGTTAGGTGCAGTTATCCCGTTTCCAACGAAATCCTCAGAGAGGTCCAAATATCCACTTGTAGATTCTACAAAAAGTGTGTCTCAAACCTGCTCCATCCAAAGGAATGGTCAGCTCTGTGATTTAAACTCAATCATCACAAAGTATTTTCTGAGAATGCTTCTGTCTAGATTTTATGCGAAGATATACCCGTTTCGAACGAAGGCCACAGAGTGGTCCAAATAGCCACTTGCAGATCCTACAGAAAGAGTGTTTCAAACCTGAACTATCAAAGGAAGGTTCAACTCTGGGATTTGAATGCAAACATCACCAAGAAGTTTCTGAGAATGCTTCTGTTTAGTTTTTATGTGAAGATATTCCCGTTTCCAAAGACATCTTCGGAGAGGTCCACATATCCACTTGCAGATTCCACAAAAAGAGAGTTTCAACACTGCTCTATCCATAGGAGGGTTCAACTCTGTGAGTTGAATGCAATCATCACAGAGAAGTTTCTGAGAAGGCTTCTCTCCAGTTTTTATGTGACCATAATTCGTTTTCCACCACAGGCCTGAAAGCGCTCCAAATGTCCACTTGCAGACACTACGAAAAGCATGTTTCAGAACTACTCTATGAAAAGCAACGTGAAACTCTGGGAGTTGAACACAAACATCACAGAGAAGTTTCTGAGAATGCTTCTGTTTAGCTTTCCTGTGAAGATTCTCCCGTTTCCAACGAAATCTTCAAAATAGGTCCAAATATCCACTTGCAGATTCCACAGAAAGAGTGATTGGAAACTGCTCTTTGAAAAGGAACCTTCAACCCTGTGAGTTGAATGCAATCATCACAAAGAAGTTTCTGACAATGCTTCTATCTAGCTTTTACGGGAAGATAATTCCTTTTCCACCACAGGCCTCAAAGCCCTCCAAATGTCCACTTGCAGATTCTGGAAAAAGAGTGTTTCAAAGCTTCTCTCTCGAAAGGAAAGTTCAACTCTGTGAGTTGAATGCAAGCATCACAAAGAAGTTTCTGAGAATGCTACTGTCTAGCTTTTATATGAAGCTATTTCCTTTACTACCATAGGCCTCAAAGCGGTCCATATCTCCACTTGCAGATTCTACACAAAGAGAGTTTCCAAACTGCTCTGTCAAAGGGAATGTTCAACTCTGTGACTTGAATGCAATCATCACAAAGTAGTTTCTGAGAATGCTTCTGTTTAGTTCTGTGCGGTTTATCCCGTTTCCAACGAAATCCTCAGAGAGGCCCAAATATCCACTTGCACATTCTACAAATAGTGTGTTTCGAAACTGCTCCATCCAAAGGAATGTTCAGCTCTATGAGTTAAACTCAGTCGTCACCAAGAGTTTTCTGTGAATGCTTCTGTTTTAGTTCTGTGCGGTTTATCCCGTTTCCAACGAAATCCTCAGAGAGGTCCAAATATCTACTTGCAGTTTCTACAGAAAGACCGTTTCCAACCTGAACTATCAAAGAAAGGTTCAACACTGTGAGTTGAATGCAAACATCACGAAGAAGTTCTGAGAATGCTTCTGTTTTAGTTCTGTGCGGTTTATCCCGTTTCCAACGAAATCCTCAGAGAGGACCAAACATCCAATTGCAGTTTCTACAAAAAGAGTGTTTCAAAGCTGCACTATCAAAGAAAGGTTCAGCACTGTGAGTTGAATGCAAACATCACGAAGAGGGCTCTGAGAATTCTTCTGTCTTCTTTCTATAGGAAGTTATTTCCTTTACTACGGTAGGCCTCAAAGAAGTGCAATTATCCCCTTGCAGTTTCTACAAAAAGAGTGTTTCAAACCTGAACTATCAAAGAAAGGTTCCACACTGTGAGTTGAATGCAGACATCACGAAGAAGTTCTGAGAATGCTTCTGTTTAGTCAGCTGAAATTATCCCGTTTCCAACGAATTCCTCAGAGAGGTCCAAATATGCACTTGCAGATTCTGCAGAAAGTGTGTTTCTAAACTGCTCCATCGCAAGGAATGTTCAGCTCTGTGAGTTCCACTCAATCATCCCAAAGAATTTTCTGAGAAAGCTTCTGTCTAGATGTCGTGTGAAGATATACCCGTTTCGAACGAAGGACACAGAGTGGTCCAAATATCCACTTGTAGATCCTGCAAAAAGAGTGTTTCAAACGTGAACTTTGAAAGGAAAGTTCAACTCTGGGATTTGAATGCAAACATCACAAAGAAGATTCTGAGACTGCTTCTGTATAGTTTTTATGTGAAGATGATTCCGTTTCCAACGAAATCTTCAAAGAGGTCTACATGTCCCCTTGCAGATGCCACAGAAAGAGAGTTTCAAAACTGCGCTCTCAAAAGGAGTGTTCAACTCCGTGAGTTGAATGCAGTCATCACAGAGAAGCTTCTGAGAATGCTTCTATCTAGTATTTAGGTGAAGATATTTCCTTTTCCACCACAAACCACAAAGCCCTCCAAACGTCCACTTGCAGATTCTAGAAAAAGAGTGTTTCATAGCTGCTCTTTCCAAAGGAAAGTTCAACTCTGGGAGTTGAATACAAACATCACCAAAAGGTTCCTGAGAATGCATCTGTCTAGTTTTTCTATGAAGCTATTCCCTTTACTACCATAGGCCTCAAAGCGCTCCAAATCTCCACTTGCACATTCCACAACAAGAGTGTTTCCAAACTGCTCTATCAATAGGAATGTTCAACTCTGTGAGGTGAATGCAATCATCACAAAGCAGTTTCTGAGAATGCTTCCGTTTAGTTAGGTGCAGTTATCCCGTTTCCAACGAAATCCTCAGAGAGGTCCAAATATCCACTTGTAGATTCTACAAAAAGTGTGTCTCAAACCTGCTCCATCCAAAGGAATGGTCAGCTCTGTGATTTAAACTCAATCATCACAAAGTATTTTCTGAGAATGCTTCTGTCTAGATTTTATGCGAAGATATACCCGTTTCGAACGAAGGCCACAGAGTGGTCCAAATAGCCACTTGCAGATCCTACAGAAAGAGTGTTTCAAACCTGAACTATCAAAGGAAGGTTCAACTCTGGGATTTGAATGCAAACATCACCAAGAAGTTTCTGAGAATGCTTCTGTTTAGTTTTTATGTGAAGATATTCCCGTTTCCAAAGACATCTTCGGAGAGGTCCACATATCCACTTGCAGATTCCACAAAAAGAGAGTTTCAACACTGCTCTATCCATAGGAGGGTTCAACTCTGTGAGTTGAATGCAATCATCACAGAGAAGTTTCTGAGAAGGCTTCTCTCCAGTTTTTATGTGACCATAATTCGTTTTCCACCACAGGCCTGAAAGCGCTCCAAATGTCCACTTGCAGACACTACGAAAAGCATGTTTCAGAACTACTCTATGAAAAGCAACGTGAAACTCTGGGAGTTGAACACAAACATCACAGAGAAGTTTCTGAGAATGCTTCTGTTTTAGTTCTGTGCGTTTTATCCCGTTTCCAACGAAATCCTCAGAGAGGCCCAAATATCCACTTGCAGATTCCACAGAAAGAGTGATTGGAAACTGCTGTTTGAAAAGGAACCTTCAACTCTGTGAGTTGAATGCAATCATCACAAAGAAGTTTCTGACAATGCTTCTGTTTTAGTTCTGTGCGGTTTATCCCGTTTCCAACGAAATCCTCAGAGAGGACCAAATATCCACTTGCAGTTTCTACAAAAAGAGTGTTTCAAAGCTGCACTATCAAAGAAAGGTTCAGCACTGTGAGTTGAATGCAAACATCACGAAGAGGGCTCTGAGAATTCTTCTGTTTAGTTCTGTGCGGTTTATCCCGTTTCCAACGAAATCCTCAGAGAGGACCAAATATCCACTTGCAGTTTCTACAAGAAGAGTGTTTCAAAGCTGAACTATCAAAGAAAGGTTCAGCACTGTGAGTTGAATGCAAACATCACGAAGAGGGTTCTGAGAATGCTTCTGTCTTCTTTTTATAGGAAGTTATTTCCTTTACTACGGTAGGCCTCAAAGAAGTGCAATTATCCCCTTGCAGTTTCTACAAAAAGAGTGTTTCAAACCTGAACTATCAAAGAAAGGTTCCACACTGTGAGTTGAATGCAGACATCACGAAGAAGGTTCTGAGAATGCTTCTGTTTAGTCAGCTGAAATTATCCCGTTTCCAACGAATTCCTCAGAGAGGTCCAAATATGCACTTGCAGATTCTGCAGAAAGTGTGTTTCTAAACTGCTACATCACAAGGAATGTTCAGCTCTGTGAGTTCAACTCAATCATCCCAAAGAGTTTTCTGAGAAAGCTTCTGTCTAGATGTCATGTGAAGATATAGCCGTTTCGAACGAAGGACACAGAGTGGTCCAAATATCCACTTGTAGATCCTGCAAAAAGAGTGTTTCAAACGTGAACTTTGAAAGGAAAGTTCAACTCTGGGATTTGAATGCAAACATCACAAAGAAGATTCTGAGACTGCTTCTGTATAGTTTTTATGTGAAGATGATTCCGTTTCCAACGAAATCTTCAAAGAGGTCTACATGTCCCCTTGGAGATGCCACAGAAAGGGAGTTTCAAAACTGCGCTCTCAAAAGGAGTGTTCAACTCCGTGAGTTGAATGCAGTCATCACAGAGAAGCTTCTGAGAATGCTTCTCTCTAGTATTTAGGTGAAGATATTTCCTTTTCCACCACAAACCACAAAGCCCTCCAAACGTCCACTTGCAGATTCTAGAAAAAGAGTGTTTCATAGCTGCTCTTTCCAAAGGAAAGTTCAACTCTGGGAGTTGAATACAAACATCACCAAAAAGTTCCTGAGAATGCATCTGTCTAGTTTTTCTATGAAGCTATTCCCTTTACTACCATAGGCCTCAAAGCGCTCCAAATCTCCACTTGCACATTCCACAACAAGAGTGTTTCCAAACTGCTCTATCAATAGGAATGTTCAACTCTGTGAGGTGAATGCAATCATCACAAAGCAGTTTCTGAGAATGCTTCCGTTTAGTTAGGTGCAGTTATCCCGTTTCCAACGAAATCCTCAGAGAGGTCCAAATATCCACTTGTAGATTCTACAAAAAGTGTGTCTCAAACCTGCTCCATCCAAAGGAATGGTCAGCTCTGTGATTTAAACTCAATCATCACAAAGTATTTTCTGAGAATGCTTCTGTCTAGATTTTATGCGAAGATATACCCGTTTCGAACGAAGGCCACAGAGTGGTCCAAATAGCCACTTGCAGATCCTACAGAAAGAGTGTTTCAAACCTGAACTATCAAAGGAAGGTTCAACTCTGGGATTTGAATGCAAACATCACCAAGAAGTTTCTGAGAATGCTTCTGTTTAGTTTTTATGTGAAGATATTCCCGTTTCCAAAGACATCTTCGGAGAGGTCCACATATCCACTTGCAGATTCCACAAAAAGAGAGTTTCAACACTGCTCTATCCATAGGAGGGTTCAACTCTGTGAGTTGAATGCAATCATCACAGAGAAGTTTCTGAGAAGGCTTCTCTCCAGTTTTTATGTGACCATAATTCGTTTTCCACCACAGGCCTGAAAGCGCTCCAAATGTCCACTTGCAGACACTACGAAAAGCATGTTTCAGAACTACTCTATGAAAAGCAACGTGAAACTCTGGGAGTTGAACACAAACATCACAGAGAAGTTTCTGAGAATGCTTCTGTTTTAGTTCTGTGCGTTTTATCCCGTTTCCAACGAAATCCTCAGAGAGGCCCAAATATCCACTTGCAGATTCCACAGAAAGAGTGATTGGAAACTGCTGTTTGAAAAGGAACCTTCAACTCTGTGAGTTGGAATGCAATCATCACAAAGAAGTTTCTGACAATGCTTCTGTTTTAGTTCTGTGCGGTTTATCCCGTTTCCAACGAAATCCTCAGAGAGGACCAAACATCCACTTGCAGTTTCTACAAAAAGAGTGTTTCAAAGCTGCACTATCAAAGAAAGGTTCAGCACTGTGAGTTGAATGCAAACATCACGAAGAGGGCTCTGAGAATTCTTCTGTTTAGTTCTGTGCGGTTTATCCCGTTTCCAACGAAATCCTCAGAGAGGACCAAATATCCACTTGCAGTTTCTACAAGAAGAGTGTTTCAAAGCTGAACTATCAAAGAAAGGTTCAGCACTGTGAGTTGAATGCAAACATCACGAAGAGGGTTCTGAGAATGCTTCTGTCTTCTTTCTATAGGAAGTTATTTCCTTTACTACGGTAGGCCTCAAAGAAGTGCAATTATCCCCTTGCAGTTTCTACAAAAAGAGTGTTTCAAACCTGAACTATCAAAGAAAGGTTCCACACTGTGAGTTGAATGCAGACATCACGAAGAAGGTTCTGAGAATGCTTCTGTTTAGTCAGCTGAAATTATCCCGTTTCCAACGAATTCCTCAGAGAGGTCCAAATATGCACTTGCAGATTCTGCAGAAAGTGTGTTTCTAAACTGCTACATCGCAAGGAATGTTCAGCTCTGTGAGTTCCACTCAATCATCCCAAAGAATTTTCTGAGAAAGCTTCTGTCTAGATGTCGTGTGAAGATATACCCGTTTCGAACGAAGGACACAGAGTGGTCCAAATATCCACTTGTAGATCCTGCAAAAAGAGTGTTTCAAACGTGAACTTTGAAAGGAAAGTTCAACTCTGGGATTTGAATGCAAACATCACAAAGAAGATTCTGAGACTGCTTCTGTATAGTTTTTATGTGAAGATGATTCCGTTTCCAACGAAATCTTCAAAGAGGTCTACATGTCCCCTTGCAGATGCCACAGAAAGAGAGTTTCAAAACTGCGCTCTCAAAAGGAGTGTTCAACTCCGTGAGTTGAATGCAGTCATCACAGAGAAGCTTCTGAGAATGCTTCTATCTAGTATTTAGGTGAAGATATTTCCTTTTCCACCACAAACCACAAAGCCCTCCAAACGTCCACTTGCAGATTCTAGAAAAAGAGTGTTTCATAGCTGCTCTTTCCAAAGGAAAGTTCAACTCTGGGGGTTGAATACAAACATCACCAAAAAGTTCCTGAGAATGCATCTGTCTAGTTTTTCTATGAAGCTATTCCCTTTACTACCATAGGCCTCAAAGCGCTCCAAATCTCCACTTGCACATTCCACAACAAGAGTGTTTCCAAACTGCTCTATCAATAGGAATGTTCAACTCTGTGAGGTGAATGCAATCATCACAAAGCAGTTTCTGAGAATGCTTCCGTTTAGTTAGGTGCAGTTATCCCGTTTCCAACGAAATCCTCAGAGAGGTCCAAATATCCACTTGTAGATTCTACAAAAAGTGTGTCTCAAACCTGCTCCATCCAAAGGAATGTTCAGCTCTGTGATTTTAACTCAATCATCACAAAGTATTTTCTGAGAATGCTTCTGTCTAGATTTTATGCGAAGATATACCCGTTTCGAACGAAGGCCACAGAGTGGTCCAAATAGCCACTTGCAGATCCTACAAAAAGAGTGTTTCAAACCTGAACTATCAAAGGAAGGTTCAACTCTGGGATTTGAATGCAAACATCACCAAGAAGTTTCTGAGAATGCTTCTGTTTAGTTTTTATGTGAAGATATTCCCGTTTCCAAAGACATCTTTGGAGAGATCCACATATCCACTTGCAGATTCCACAAAAAGAGAGTTTCAACACTGCTCTATCCATAGGAGGGTTCAACTCTGTGAGTTGAATGCAATCATCACAGAGAAGTTTCTGAGAAGGCTTCTCTCCAGTTTTTTTGTGACCATAATTCGTTTTCCACCACAGGCCTGAAAGCGCTCCAAATGTCCACTTGCAGACACTACGAAAAGCATGTTTCAGAACTACTCTATGAAAAGCAACGTGAAACTCTGGGAGTTGAACACAAACATCACAGAGAAGTTTCTGAGAATGCTTCTGTTTTAGTTCTGTGCGTTTTATCCCGTTTCCAACGAAATCCTCAGAGAGGCCCAAATATCCACTTGCAGATTCCACAGAAAGAGTGATTGGAAACTGCTGTTTGAAAAGGAACCTTCAACTCTGTGAGTTGAATGCAATCATCACAAAGAAGTTTCTGACAATGCTTCTGTTTTAGTTCTGTGCGGTTTATCCCGTTTCCAACGAAATCCTCAGAGAGGACCAAATATCCACTTGCAGTTTCTACAAAAAGAGTGTTTCAAAGCTGCACTATCAAAGAAAGGTTCAGCACTGTGAGTTGAATGCAAACATCACGAAGAGGGCTCTGAGAATTCTTCTGTTTAGTTCTGTGCGGTTTATCCCGTTTCCAACGAAATCCTCAGAGAGGACCAAATATCCACTTGCAGTTTCTACAAGAAGAGTGTTTCAAAGCTGAACTATCAAAGAAAGGTTCAGCACTGTGAGTTGAATGCAAACATCACGAAGAGGGTTCTGAGAATGCTTCTGTCTTCTTTTTATAGGAAGTTATTTCCTTTACTACGGTAGGCCTCAAAGAAGTGCAATTATCCCCTTGCAGTTTCTACAAAAAGAGTGTTTCAAACCTGAACTATCAAAGAAAGGTTCCACACTGTGAGTTGAATGCAGACATCACGAAGAAGGTTCTGAGAATGCTTCTGTTTAGTCAGCTGAAATTATCCCGTTTCCAACGAATTCCTCAGAGAGGTCCAAATATGCACTTGCAGATTCTGCAGAAAGTGTGTTTCTAAACTGCTACATCGCAAGGAATGTTCAGCTCTGTGAGTTCAACTCAATCATCCCAAAGAATTTTCTGAGAAAGCTTCTGTCTAGATGTCATGTGAAGATATACCCGTTTCGAACGAAGGACACAGAGTGGTCCAAATATCCACTTGTAGATCCTGCAAAAAGAGTGTTTCAAACGTGAACTTTGAAAGGAAAGTCCAACTCTGGGATTTGAATGCAAACATCACAAAGAAGATTCTGAGACTGCTTCTGTATAGTTTTTATGTGAAGATGATTCCGTTTCCAACGAAATCTTCAAAGAGGTCTACATGTCCCCTTGCAGATGCCACAGAAAGAGAGTTTCAAAACTGCGCTCTAAAAAGGAGTGTTCAACTCCGTGAGTTGAATGCAGTCATCACAGAGAAGCTTCTGAGAATGCTTCTCTCTAGTATTTAGGTGAAGATATTTCCTTTTCCACCACAAACCACAAAGCCCTCCAAACGTCCACTTGCAGATTCTAGAAAAAGAGTGTTTCATAGCTGCTCTTTCCAAAGGAAAGTTCAACTCTGGGAGTTGAATACAAACATCACCAAAAAGTTCCTGAGAATGCATCTGTCTAGTTTTTCTATGAAGCTATTCCCTTTACTACCATAGGCCTCAAAGCGCTCCAAATCTCCACTTGCACATTCCACAACAAGAGTGTTTCCAAACTGCTCTATCAATAGGAATGTTCAACTCTGTGAGGTGAATGCAATCATCACAAAGCAGTTTCTGAGAATGCTTCCGTTTAGTTAGGTGCAGTTATCCCGTTTCCAACGAAATCCTCAGAGAGGTCCAAATATCCACTTGTAGATTCTACAAAAAGTGTGTCTCAAACCTGCTCCATCCAGAGGAATGGTCAGCTCTGTGATTTAAACTCAATCATCCCAAAGTATTTTCTGAGAATGCTTCTGTCTAGATTTTATGCGAAGATATACCCGTTTCGAACGAAGGCCACAGAGTGGTCCAAATAGCCACTTGCAGATCCTACAAAAAGAGTGTTTCAAACCTGAACTATCAAAGGAAGGTTCAACTCTGGGATTTGAATGAAAACATCACCAAGAAGTTTCTGAGAATGCTTCTGTTTAGTTTTTATGTGAAGATATTCCCGTTTCCAAAGACATCTTCGGAGAGGTCCACATATCCACTTGCAGATTCCACAAAAAGAGAGTTTCAACACTGCTCTATCCATAGGAGGGTTCAACTCTGTGAGTTGAATGCAATCATCACAGAGAAGTTTCTGAGAAGGCTTCTCTCCAGTTTTTATGTGACCATAATTCGTTTTCCACCACAGGCCTGAAAGCGCTCCAAATGTCCACTTGCAGACACTACGAAAAGCATGTTTCAGAACTACTCTATGAAAAGCAACGTGAAACTCTGGGAGTTGAACACAAACATCACAGAGAAGTTTCTGAGAATGCTTCTGTTTTAGTTCTGTGCGTTTTATCCCGTTTCCAACGAAATCCTCAGAGAGGCCCAAATATCCACTTGCAGATTCCACAGAAAGAGTGATTGGAAACTGCTGTTTGAAAAGGAACCTTCAACTCTGTGAGTTGAATGCAATCATCACAAAGAAGTTTCTGACAATGCTTCTGTTTTAGTTCTGTGCGGTTTATCCCGTTTCCAACGAAATCCTCAGAGAGGACCAAACATCCACTTGCAGTTTCTACAAAAAGAGTGTTTCAAAGCTGCACTATCAAAGAAAGGTTCAGCACTGTGAGTTGAATGCAAACATCACGAAGAGGGCTCTGAGAATTCTTCTGTTTAGTTCTGTGCGGTTTATCCCGTTTCCAACGAAATCCTCAGAGAGGACCAAATATCCACTTGCAGTTTCTACAAGAAGAGTGTTTCAAAGCTGAACTATCAAAGAAAGGTTCAGCACTGTGAGTTGAATGCAAACATCACGAAGAGGGTTCTGAGAATGCTTCTGTCTTCTTTCTATAGGAAGTTATTTCCTTTACTACGGTAGGCCTCAAAGAAGTGCAATTATCCCCTTGCAGTTTCTACAAAAAGAGTGTTTCAAACGTGAACTATCAAAGAAAGGTTCCACACTGTGAGTTGAATGCAGACATCACGAAGAAGGTTCTGAGAATGCTTCTGTTTAGTCAGCTGAAATTATCCCGTTTCCAACGAATTCCTCAGAGAGGTCCAAATATGCACTTGCAGATTCTGCAGAAAGTGTGTTTCTAAACTGCTACATCGCAAGGAATGTTCAGCTCTGTGAGTTCCACTCAATCATCCCAAAGAATTTTCTGAGAAAGCTTCTGTCTAGATGTCGTGTGAAGATATACCCGTTTCGAACGAAGGACACAGGAGTGGTCCAAATATCCACTTGTAGATCCTGCAAAAAGAGTGTTTCAAACGTGAACTTTGAAAGGAAAGTTCAACTCTGGGATTTGAATGCAAACATCACAAAGAAGATTCTGAGACTGCTCTGTATAGTTTTTATGTGAAGATGATTCCGTTTCCAACGAAATCTTCAAAGAGGTCTACATGTCCCCTTGCAGATGCCACAGAAAGAGAGTTTCAAAACTGCGCTCTCAAAAGGAGTGTTCAACTCCGTGAGTTGAATGCAGTCATCACAGAGAAGCTTCTGAGAATGCTTTCTATCTAGTATTTAGGTGAAGATATTTCCTTTTCCACCACAAACCACAAAGCCCTCCAAACGTCCACTTGCAGATTCTAGAAAAAGAGTGTTTCATAGCTGCTCTTTCCAAAGGAAAGTTCAACTCTGGGAGTTGAATACAAACATCACCAAAAGGTTCCTGAGAATGCATCTGTCTAGTTTTTCTATGAAGCTATTCCCTTTACTACCATAGGCCTCAAAGCGCTCCAAATCTCCACTTGCACATTCCACAACAAGAGTGTTTCCAAACTGCTCTATCAATAGGAATGTTCAACTCTGTGAGGTGAATGCAATCATCACAAAGCAGTTTCTGAGAATGCTTCCGTTTAGTTAGGTGCAGTTATCCCGTTTCCAACGAAATCCTCAGAGAGGTCCAAATATCCACTTGTAGATTCTACAAAAAGTGTGTCTCAAACCTGCTCCATCCAAAGGAATGGTCAGCTCTGTGATTTAAACTCAATCATCACAAAGTATTTTCTGAGAATGCTTCTGTCTAGATTTTATGCGAAGATATACCCGTTTCGAACGAAGGCCACAGAGTGGTCCAAATAGCCACTTGCAGATCCTACAGAAAGAGTGTTTCAAACCTGAACTATCAAAGGAAGGTTCAACTCTGGGATTTGAATGCAAACATCACCAAGAAGTTTCTGAGAATGCTTCTGTTTAGTTTTTATGTGAAGATATTCCCGTTTCCAAAGACATCTTCGGAGAGGTCCACATATCCACTTGCAGATTCCACAAAAAGAGAGTTTCAACACTGCTCTATCCATAGGAGGGTTCAACTCTGTGAGTTGAATGCAATCATCACAGAGAAGTTTCTGAGAAGGCTTCTCTCCAGTTTTTATGTGACCATAATTCGTTTTCCACCACAGGCCTGAAAGCGCTCCAAATGTCCACTTGCAGACACTACGAAAAGCATGTTTCAGAACTACTCTATGAAAAGCAACGTGAAACTCTGGGAGTTGAACACAAACATCACAGAGAAGTTTCTGAGAATGCTTCTGTTTTAGTTCTGTGCGGTTTATCCCGTTTCCAACGAAATCCTCAGAGAGGCCCAAATATCCACTTGCAGATTCCACAGAAAGAGTGATTGGAAACTGCTGTTTGAAAAGGAACCTTCAACTCTGTGAGTTGAATGCAATCATCACAAAGAAGTTTCTGACAATGCTTCTGTTTTAGTTCTGTGCGGTTTATCCCGTTTCCAACGAAATCCTCAGAGAGGACCAAACATCCACTTGCAGTTTCTACAAAAAGAGTGTTTCAAAGCTGCACTATCAAAGAAAGGTTCAGCACTGTGAGTTGAATGCAAACATCACGAATAGGGCTCTGAGAATTCTTCTGTTTAGTTCTGTGCGGTTTATCCCGTTTCCAACGAAATCCTCAGAGAGGACCAAATATCCACTTGCAGTTTCTACAAGAAGAGTGTTTCAAAGCTGAACTATCAAAGAAAGGTTCAGCACTGTGAGTTGAATGCAAACATCACGAAGAGGGTTCTGAGAATGCTTCTGTCTTCTTTCTATAGGAAGTTATTTCCTTTACTACGGTAGGCCTCAAAGAAGTGCAATTATCCCCTTGCAGTTTCTACAAAAAGAGTGTTTCAAACCTGAACTATCAAAGAAAGGTTCCACACTGTGAGTTGAATGCAGACATCACGAAGAAGGTTCTGAGAATGCTTCTGTTTAGTCAGCTGAAATTATCCTGTTTCCAACGAATTCCTCAGAGAGGTCCACATATGCACTTGCAGATTCTGCAGAAAGTGTGTTTCTAAACTGCTACATCGCAAGGAATGCTCAGCTCTGTGAGTTCAACTCAATCATCCCAAAGAATTTTCTGAGAAAGCTTCTGTCTAGATGTCATGTGAAGATATACCCGTTTCGAACGAAAGACACAGAGTGGTCCAAATATCCACTTGTAGATCCTGCAAAAAGAGTGTTTCAAACGTGAACTTTGAAAGGAAAGTTCAACTCTGGGATTTGAATGCAAACATCACAAAGAAGATTATGAGACTGCTTCTGTATAGTTTTTATGTGAAGATGATTCCGTTTCCAACGAAATCTTCAAAGAGGTCTACATGTCCCCTTGCAGATGCCACAGAAAGAGAGTTTCAAAACTGCGCTCTCAAAAGGAGTGTTCAACTCCGTGAGTTGAATGCAGTCATCACAGAGAAGCTTCTGAGAATGCTTCTATCTAGTATTTAGGTGAAGATATTTCCTTTTCCACCACAAACCACAAAGCCCTCCAAACGTCCACTTGCAGATTCTAGAAAAAGAGTGTTTCATAGCTGCTCTTTCCAAAGGAAAGTTCAACTCTGGGAGTTGAATACAAACATCACCAAAAAGTTCCTGAGAATGCATCTGTCTAGTTTTTCTATGAAGCTATTCCCTTTACTTCCACAGGCCTCAAAGCGCTCCAAATCTCCACTTGCACATTCCACAACAAGAGTGTTTCCAAACTGCTCTATCAATAGGAATGTTCAACTCTGTGAGGTGAATGCAATCATCACAAAGCAGTTTCTGAGAATGCTTCCGTTTAGTTAGGTGCAGTTATCCCGTTTCCAACGAAATCCTCAGAGAGGTCCAAATATCCACTTGTAGATTCTACAAAAAGTGTGTCTCAAACCTGCTCCATCCAAAGGAATGGTCAGCTCTGTGATTTAAACTCAATCATCACAAAGTATTTTCTGAGAATGCTTCTGTCTAGATTTTATGCGAAGATATACCCGTTTCGAACGAAGGCCACAGAGTGGTCCAAATAGCCACTTGCAGATCCTACAGAAAGAGTGTTTCAAACCTGAACTATCAAAGGAAGGTTCAACTCTGGGATTTGAATGCAAACATCACCAAGAAGTTTCTGAGAATGCTTCTGTTTAGTTTTTATGTGAAGATATTCCCGTTTCCAAAGACATCTTCGGAGAGGTCCACATATCCACTTGCAGATTCCACAAAAAGAGAGTTTCAACACTGCTCTATCCATAGGAGGGTTCAACTCTGTGAGTTGAATGCAATCATCACAGAGAAGTTTCTGAGAAGGCTTCTCTCCAGTTTTTATGTGACCATAATTCGTTTTCCACCACAGGCCTGAAAGCGCTCCAAATGTCCACTTGCAGACACTACGAAAAGCATGTTTCAGAACTACTCTATGAAAAGCAACGTGAAACTCTGGGAGTTGAACTCAAACATCACAGAGAAGTTTCTGAGAATGCTTCTGTTTAGCTTTTCTGTGAAGATTCTCCCGTTTCCAACGAAATCTTCAAAGAGGTCGAAATATCCACTTGCAGATTCCACAGAAAGAGTGATTGGAAACTGCTGTTTGAAAAGGAACCTTCAACTCTGTGAGTTGAATGCAATCATCACAAAGAAGTTTCTGACAATGCTTCTATCTAGCTTTTACGGGAAGATAATTCCTTTTCCACCACAGGCCTCAAAGCTCCCCAAATGTCCACTTGCACATTCTGGAAAAAGAGTGTTTCAAAGCTTCTCTCTCGAAAGGAAAGTTCAACTCTGTGAGTTGAATGCAAGCATCACAAAGAAGTTTCTGAGAATGCTACTGTCTAGCTTTTATATGAAGCTATTTCCTTTACTACCATAGGCCTCAAAGCGGTCCATATCTCCACTTGCAGATTCTACACAAAGAGAGTTTCCAAACTGCTCTGTCAAAGGGAATGTTCAACTCTGTGACTTGAATGCAATCATCACAAAGTAGTTTCTGAGAATGCTTCTGTTTTAGTTCTGTGCGTTTTATCCCGTTTCCAACGAAATCCTCAGAGAGGCCCAAATATCCACTTGCAGATTCTACAAATAGTGTGTTTCGAAACTGCTCCATCCAAAGGAATGTTCAGCTCTGTGAGTTAAACTCAGTCGTCACCAAGAGTTTTCTGTGAATGCTTCTGTTTTAGTTCTGTGCGGGTTACCCCGTTTCCAACGAAATCCTCAGAGAGGTCCAAATATCTACTTGCAGTTTCTACAGAAAGACCGTTTCAAACCTGAACTATCAAAGAAAGGTTCAACACTGTGAGTTGAATGCAAACATCACGAAGAAGGTTCTGAGAATGCTTCTGTTTAGTTCTGTGCGGTTTATCCCGTTTCCAACGAAATCCTCAGAGAGGACCAAATATCCACTTGCAGTTTCTACAAAAAGAGTGTTTCAAAGCTGAACTATCAAAGAAAGGTTCAGCACCGTGAGTTGAATGCAAACATCACGAAGATGGTTCTGAGAATGCTTCTGTCTTCTTTTTATAGGAAGTTATCTCCTTTACTACGGTAGGCCTCAAAGAAGTGCAATGATCCCCTTGCAGTTTCTACAAAAAGAGTGTTTCAAACCTGAACTATCAAAGAAAGGTTCCACACTGTGAGTTGAATGCAGACATCACGAAGAAGGTTCTGAGAATGCTTCTGTTTAGTCAGCTGAAATTATCCCGTTTCCAACGAATTCCTCAGAGAGGTCCACATATGCACTTGCAGATTCTGCAGAAAGTGTGTTTCTAAACTGCTACATCACAAGGAGTGTTCAGCTCTGTTTGCTCAACTCAATCATCCCAAAGAATTTTCTGAGAAAGCTTCTGTCTAGATGTCATGTGAAGATATACCCGTTTCGAACGAAGGACACAGAGTGGTCCAAATATCCACTTGTAGATCCTGCAAAAAGAGTGTTTCAAACGTGAACTTGGAAAGGAAAGTTCAACTCTGGGATTTGAATGCAAACATCACAAAGAAGATTCTGAGACTGCTTCTGTATAGTTTTTATGTGAAGATGATTCCGTTTCCAACGAAATCTTCAAAGAGGTCTACATGTCCCCTTGCAGATGCCACAGAAAGAGAGTTTCAAAACTGCGCTCTCAAAAGGAGTGTTCAACTCCGTGAGTTGAATGCAGTCATCACAGAGAAGCTTCTGAGAATGCTTCTATCTAGTATTTAGGTGAAGATATTTCCTTTTCCACCACAAACCACAAAGCCCTCCAAACGTCCACTTGCAGATTCTAGAAAAAGAGTGTTTCATAGCTGCTCTTTCCAAAGGAAAGTTCAACTCTGGGAGTTGAATACAAACATCACCAAAAAGTTCCTGAGAATGCATCTGTCTAGTTTTTCTATGAAGCTATTCCCTTTACTACCATAGGCCTCAAAGCGCTCCAAATCTCCACTTGCACATTCCACAACAAGAGTGTTTCCAAACTGCTCTATCAATAGGAATGTTCAACTCTGTGAGGTGAATGCAATCATCACAAAGCAGTTTCTGAGAATGCTTCCGTTTAGTTAGGTGCAGTTATCCCGTTTCCAACGAAATCCTCAGAGAGGTCCAAATATCCACTTGTAGATTCTACAAAAAGTGTGTCTCAAACCTGCTCCATCCAAAGGAATGGTCAGCTCTGTGATTTAAACTCAATCATCACAAAGTATTTTCTGAGAATGCTTCTGTCTAGATTTTATGCGAAGATATACCCGTTTCGAACGAAGGCCACAGAGTGGTCCAAATAGCCACTTGCAGATCCTACAGAAAGAGTGTTTCAAACCTGAACTATCAAAGGAAGGTTCAACTCTGGGATTTGAATGCAAACATCACCAAGAAGTTTCTGAGAATGCTTCTGTTTAGTTTTTATGTGAAGATATTCCCGTTTCCAAAGACATCTTCGGAGAGGTCCACATATCCACTTGCAGATTCCACAAAAAGAGAGTTTCAACACTGCTCTATCCATAGGAGGGTTCAACTCTGTGAGTTGAATGCAATCATCACAGAGAAGTTTCTGAGAAGGCTTCTCTCCAGTTTTTATGTGACCATAATTCGTTTTCCACCACAGGCCTGAAAGCGCTCCAAATGTCCACTTGCAGACACTACGAAAAGCATGTTTCAGAACTACTCTATGAAAAGCAACGTGAAACTCTGGGAGTTGAACACAAACATCACAGAGAAGTTTCTGAGAATGCTTCTGTTTTAGTTCTGTGCGTTTTATCCCGTTTCCAACGAAATCCTCAGAGAGGCCCAAATATCCACTTGCAGATTCCACAGAAAGAGTGATTGGAAACTGCTGTTTGAAAAGGAACCTTCAACTCTGTGAGTTGAATGCAATCATCACAAAGAAGTTTCTGACAATGCTTCTGTTTTAGTTCTGTGCGGTTTATCCCGTTTCCAACGAAATCCTCAGAGAGGACCAAACATCCACTTGCAGTTTCTACAAAAAGAGTGTTTCAAAGCTGCACTATCAAAGAAAGGTTCAGCACTGTGAGTTGAATGCAAACATCACGAAGAGGGCTCTGAGAATTCTTCTGTTTAGTTCTGTGCGGTTTATCCCGTTTCCAACGAAATCCTCAGAGAGGACCAAATATCCACTTGCAGTTTCTACAAGAAGAGTGTTTCAAAGCTGAACTATCAAAGAAAGGTTCAGCACTGTGAGTTGAATGCAAACATCACGAAGAGGGTTCTGAGAATGCTTCTGTCTTCTTTCTATAGGAAGTTATTTCCTTTACTACGGTAGGCCTCAAAGAAGTGCAATTATCCCCTTGCAGTTTCTACAAAAAGAGTGTTTCAAACCTGAACTATCAAAGAAAGGTTCCACACTGTGAGTTGAATGCAGACATCACGAAGAAGGTTCTGAGAATGCTTCTGTTTAGTCAGCTGAAATTATCCCGTTTCCAACGAATTCCTCAGAGAGGTCCAAATATGCACTTGCAGATTCTGCAGAAAGTGTGTTTCTAAACTGCTACATCGCAAGGAATGTTCATCTCTGTGAGTTCCACTCAATCATCCCAAAGAATTTTCTGAGAAAGCTTCTGTCTAGATGTCATGTGAAGATATACCCGTTTCGAACGAAGGACACAGAGTGGTCCAAATATCCACTTGTAGATCCTGCAAAAAGAGTGTTTCAAACGTGAACTTTGAAAGGAAAGTTCAACTCTGGGATTTGAATGCAAACATCACAAAGAAGATTCTGAGACTGCTTCTGTATAGTTTTTATGTGAAGATGATTCCGTTTCCAACGAAATCTTCAAAGAGGTCTACATGTCCCCTTGCAGATGCCACAGAAAGAGTTTCAAAACTGCGCTCTCAAAAGGAGTGTTCAACTCCGTGAGTTGAATGCAGTCATCACAGAGAAGCTTCTGAGAATGCTCCTATCTAGTATTTAGGTGAAAATATTTCCTTTTCCACCACAAACCACATAGCCCTCCAAACGTCCACTTGCAGATTCTAGAAAAAGAGTGTTTCATAGCTGCTCTTTCCAAAGGAAAGTTCAACTCTGGGAGTTGAATACAAACATCACCAAAAAGTTCCTGAGAATGCATCTGTCTAGTTTTTCTATGAAGCTATTCCCTTTACTACCATAGGCCTCAAAGCGCTCCAAATCTCCACTTGCACATTCCACAACAAGAGTGTTTCCAAACTGCTCTATCAATAGGAATGTTCAACTCTGCGAGGTGAATGCAATCATCACAAAGCAGTTTCTGAGAATGCTTCCGTTTAGTTAGGTGCAGTTATCCCGTTTCCAACGAAATCCTCAGAGAGGTCCAAATATCCACTTGTAGATTCTACAAAAAGTGTGTCTCAAACCTGCTCCATCCAAAGGAATGTTCAGCTCTGTGAGTTCAACTCAATCATCACAAAGTATTTTCTGAGAATGCTTCTGTCTAGATTTTATGCGAAGATGTACCCGTTTCGAACGAAGGCCACAGAGTGGTCCAAATATCCACTTGCAGATCCTACAAAAAGAGTGTTTCAAACCTGAACTCTCAAAGGAAGGTTCAACTCTGGGATTTGAATGCAAACATCACCAAGAAGTTTCTGAGAATGCTTCTGTTTAGTTTTTATGTGAAGATATTCCCGTTTCCAAAGACATCTTCGGAGAGGTCCACATATCCGCTTGCAGATTCCACAAAAAGAGAGTTTCAACACTGCTCTATCCATAGGAGGGTTCAACTCTGTGAGTTGAATGCAATCATCACAGAGAAGTTTCTGAGAAGGCTTCTCTCCAGTTTTTATGTGACCATAATTCGTTTTCCACCACAGGCCTGAAAGCGCTCCAAATGTCCACTTGCAGGCACTACGAAAAGCATGTTTCAGAACTACTCTATGAGAAGCAATGTGAAACTCTGGGAGTTGAACACAAACATCACAGAGAAGTTTCTGAGAATGCTTCTGTTTAGCTTTTCTGTGAAGATTCTCCCGTTTCCAACGAAATCTTCAAAGAGGTCCAAATATCCACTTGCAGATTCCACAGAAAGAGTGATTGGAAACTGCTCTTTGAAAAGGAACCTTCAACTCTGTGACTTGAATGCAATCATCACAAAGAAGTTTCTGACAATGCTTCTATCTAGCTTTTACGGGAAGATAATTCCTTTTCCACCACAGGCCTCAAAGCCCTCCAAATGTCCACTTGCAGATTCTGGAAAAAGACTGTTTCAAAGCTTCTCTCTCGAAAGGAAAGTTCAACTCTGTGAGTTGAATGCAAGCATCACAAAGACGTTTCTGAGAATGCTACTGTCTAGCTTTTATATGAAGCTATTTCCTTTACTACCATAGGCCTCAAAGCGGTCCATATCTCCACTTGCAGATTCTACACAAAGAGAGTTTCCAAACTGCTCTGTCAAAGGGAATGTTCAACTCTGTGACTTGAATGAAATCATCACAAAGTAGTTTCTGAGAATGCTTCTGTTTAGTTCTGTGCGGTTTATCCCGTTTCCAACGAAATCCTCAGAGAGGCCCACATATCCACTTGCACATTCTACAAATAGTGTGTTTCGAAACTGCTCCATCCAAAGGAATGTTCAGCTCTGTGAGTTAAACTCAGTCGTCACCAAGAGTTTTCTGTGAATGCTTCTGTCTTCTTTTTATAGGAAGTTATCTCCTTTACTACGGTAGGCCTCAAAGAAGTGCAATGATCCCCTTGCAGTTTCTACAAAAAGAGTGTTTCAAACCTGAACTATCAAAGAAAGGTTCCACACTGTGAGTTGAACGCAGACATCACGAAGAAGGTTCTGAGAATGCTTCTGTTTAGTCAGCTGAAATTATCCCGTTTCCAACGAATTCCTCAGAGAGGTCCACATATGCACTTGCAGATTCTGCAGAAAGTGTGTTTCTAAACTGCTACATCACAAGGAGTGTTCAGCTCTGTTTGCTCAACTCAATCATCCCAAAGAATTTTCTGAGAAAGCTTCTGTCTAGATGTCATGTGAAGATATACCCGTTTCGAACGAAGGACACAGAGTGGTCCAAATATCCACTTGTAGATCCTGCAAAAAGAGTGTTTCAAACGTGAACTTGGAAAGGAAAGTTCAACTCTGGGATTTGAATGCAAACATCACAAAGAAGATTCTGAGACTGCTTCTGTATAGTTTTGATGTGAAGATGATTCCGTTTCCAACGAAATCTTCAAAGAGGTCTACATGTCCCCTTGCAGATGCCACAGAAAGAGAGTTTCAAAACTGCGCTCTCAAAAGGAGTGTTCAACTCCGTGAGTTGAATGCAGTCATCACAGAGAAGCTTCTGAGAATGCTTCTATCTAGTATTTAGGTGAAGATATTTCCTTTTCCACCACAAACCACAAAGCCCTCCAAACGTCCACTTGCAGATTCTAGAAAAAGAGTGTTTCATAGCTGCTCTTTCCAAAGGAAAGTTCAACTCTGGGAGTTGAATACAAACATCACCAAAAAGTTCCTGAGAATGCATCTGTCTAGTTTTTCTATGAAGCTATTCCCTTTACTACCATAGGCCTCAAAGCGCTCCAAATCTCCACTTGCACATTCCACAACAAGAGTGTTTCCAAACTGCTCTATCAATAGGAATGTTCAACTCTGTGAGGTGAATGCAATCATCACAAAGCAGTTTCTGAGAATGCTTCCGTTTAGTTAGGTGCAGTTATCGCGTTTCCAACGAAATCCTCAGAGAGGTCCAAATATCCACTTGTAGATTCTACAAAAAGTGTGTCTCAAACCTGCTCCATCCAAAGGAATGTTCAGCTCTGTGAGTTAAACTCAATCATCACAAAGTATTTTCTGAGAATGCTTCTGTCTAGATTTTATGTGAAGATGTACCCGTTTCGAACGAAGGCCACAGAGTGGTCCAAATATCCACTTGCAGATCCTACAAAAAGAGTGTTTCAAACCTGAACTATCACAGGAAGGTTCAACTCTGGGATTTGAATGCAAACATCACCAAGAAGTTTCTGAGAATGCTTCTGTTTAGTTTTTATGTGAAGATATTCCCGTTTCCAAAGACATCTTCGGAGAGGTCCACATATCCACTTGCAGATTCCACAAAAAGAGAGTTTCAACACTGCTCTATCCATAGGAGGGTTCAAATCTGTGAGTTGAATGCAATCATCACAGAGAAGTTTCTGAGAAGGCTTCTCTCCAGTTTTTATGGGACCATAATTCGTTTTCCACCACAGGCCTGAAAGCGCTCCAAATGTCCACTTGCAGACACTACGAAAATTATGTTTCAGAACTACTCTATGAAAAGCAATGTGAAACTCTGGGAGTTGAACACAAACATCACAGGAAGTTTCTGAGAATGCTTCTGTTTAGCTTTTCTGTGAAGATTCTCCCGTTTCCAACGAAATCTTCAAAGAGGTCCAAATATCCACTTGCAGATTCCACAGAAAGAGTGTTTGGAAACTGCTGTTTGTAAAGGAACCTTCATCTCTGTGAGTTGAATGCAATCATCACAAAGAAGTTTCTGACAATGCTTCTATCTAGCTTTTACGGGAAGTTAATTCCTTTTCCACCACAGGCCTCAAAGCCCTCCAAATGTCCACTTGCAGATTCTGGAAAAAGAGTGTTTCAAAGCTTCTCTCTCGAAAGGAAAGTTCAACTCTGTGAGTTGAATGCAAGCATCACAAAGAAGTTTCTGAGAATGCTACTGTCTAGCTTTTATATGAAGCTATTTCCTTTACTACCATAGGCCTCAAAGCGGTCCATATCTCCACTTGCAGATTCTACAGAAAGAGAGTTTCCAAACTGCTCTGTCAAAGGGAATGTTCAACTCTGTGACTTGAATGCAATCATCACAAAGTAGTTTCTGAGAATGCTTCTGTTTAGTTCTGTGCGGTTTATCCCGTTTCCAACGAAATCCTCAGAGAGGCCCAAATATCCACTTGCACATTCTACAAATAGTGTGTTTCGAAACTGCTCCATCCAAAGGAATGTTCAGCTCTGTGAGTTAAACTCAGTCGTCACCAAGAGTTTTCTGTGAATGCTTCTGTTTTAGTTCTGTGCGGGTTATCCCGTTTCCAACGAAATCCTCAGAGAGGTCCAAATATCTACTTGCAGTTTCTACAGAAAGACCGTTTCAAACCTGAACTATCAAAGAAAGGTTCAACACTGTGAGTTGAATGCAAACATCACGAAGAAGGTTCTGAGAATGCTTCTGTTTAGTTCTGTGCAGTTTATCCCGTTTCCAACGAAATGCTCAGAGAGGACCAAATATCCACTTGCAGTTTCTACAAAAAGAGTGTTTCAAAGCTGAACTATCAAAGAAAGGTTCAGCACTGTGAGTTGAATGCAAACATCACGAAGAGGGTTCTGAGAATGCTTCTGTCTTCTTTTTATAGGAAGTTATTTCCTTTACTACGGTACTCCTCAAAGAGTGCAATTATCCCCTTGCAGTTTCTACAGAAAGAGTGTTTCAAACCTGAACTATCAAAGAAAGGTTCCACACTGTGAGTTGAATGCAGACATCACGAAGAAGGTTCTGAGAATGCTTCTGTTTAGTCAGCTGAAATTATCCCGTTTCCAACGAATTCCTCACAGAGGTCCAAATATGCACTTGCAGATTCTGCAGAAAGTGTGTTTCTAAACTGCTACATCGCAAGGAATGCTCAGCTCTGTGAGTTCAACTCAATCATCCCAAAGAATTTTCTGAGAAAGCTTCTGTCTAGATGTCATGTGAAGATATACCCGTTTCGAACGAAGGACACAGAGTGGTCCAAATATCCACTTGTAGATCCTGCAAAAAGAGTGTTTCAAACGTGAACTTTGAAAGGAAAGTTCAACTCGGGGATTTGAATGCAAACATCACAAAGAAGATTCTGAGACTGCTTCTGTATAGTTTTTATGTGAAGATGATTCCGTTTCCAACGAAATCTTCAAAGAGGTCTACATGTCCCCTTGCAGATGCCACAGAAAGAGAGTTTCAAAACTGCGCTCTCAAAAGGAGTGTTCAACTCCGTGAGTTGAATGCAGTCATCACAGAGAAGCTTCTGAGAATGCTTCTATCTAGTATTTAGGTGAAGATATTTCCTTTTCCACCACAAACCACAAAGCCCTCCAAACGTCCACTTGCAGATTCTAGAGAAACAGTGTCTCATAGCTGCTCTTTCCAAAGGAAAGTTCAACTCTGGGAGTTGAATACAAACATCACCAAAAAGTTCCTGAGAATGCATCTGTCTAGTTTTTCTATGAAGCTATTCCCTTTACTACCATAGGCCTCAAAGCGCTCCAAATCTCCACTTGCACATTCCACAACAAGAGTGTTTCCAAACTGCTCTATCAATAGGAATGTTCAACTCTGTGAGGTGAATGCAATCATCACAAAGCAGTTTCTGAGAATGCTTCCGTTTAGTTAGGTGCAGTTATCGCGTTTCCAACGAAATCCTCAGAGAGGTCCAAATATCCACTTGTAGATTCTACAAAAAGTGTGTCTCAAACCTGCTCCATCCAAAGGAATGTTCAGCTCTGTGAGTTAAACTCAATCATCACAAAGTATTTTCTGAGAATGCTTCTGTCTAGATTTTATGTGAAGATGTACCCGTTTCGAACGAAGGCCACAGAGTGGTCCAAATATCCACTTGAAGATCCTACAAAAAGAGTGTTTCAAACCTGAACTATCACAGGAAGGTTCAACTCTGGGATTTGAATGCAAACATCACCAAGAAGTTTCTGAGAATGCTTCTGTTTAGTTTTTATGTGAAGATATTCCCGTTTCCAAAGACATCTTCAGAGAGGTCCACATATCCACTTGCAGATTCCACAAAAAGAGAGTTTCAACAATGCTCTATCCATAGGAGGGTTCAAATCTGTGAGTTGAATGCAATCATCACAGAGAAGTTTCTGAGAAGGCTTCTCTCCAGTTTTTATGGGACCATAATTCGTTTTGCACCACAGGCCTGAAAGCGCTCCAAATGTCCACTTGCAGACACTACGAAAAGCATGTTTCAGAACTACTCTATGAAAAGCAATGTGAAACTCTGGGAGTTGAACACAAACATCACAGAGAAGTTTCTGAGAATGCTTCTGTTTAGCTTTTCTGTGAAGATTCTCCCGTTTCCAACGAAATCTTCAAAGAGATCCAAATATCCACTTGCAGATTCCACAGAAAGAGTGTTTGGAAACTGCTGTTTGAAAAGGAACCTTCATCTCTGTGAGTTGAATGCAATCATCACAAAGAAGTTTCTGACAATGCTTCTATCTAGCTTTTACGGGAAGTTAATTCCTTTTCTACCACAGGCCTCAAAGCCCTCCAAATGTCCACTTGCAGATTCTGGAAAAAGAGTGTTTCAAAGCTTCTCTCTCGAAAGGAAAGTTCAACTCTGTGAGTTGAATGCAAGCATCACAAAGAAGTTTCTGAGAATGCTACTGTCTAGCTTTTATATGAAGCTATTTCCTTTACTACCATAGGCCTCAAAGCGGTCCATATCTCCACTTGCAGATTCTACAGAAAGAGAGTTTCCAAACTGCTCTGTCAAAGGGAATGTTCAACTCTGTGACTTGAATGCAATCATCACAAAGTAGTTTCTGAGAATGCTTCTGTTTAGTTCTGTGCGGTTTATCCCGTTTCCAACGAAATCCTCAGAGAGGCCCAAATATCCACTTGCACATTCTACAAATAGTGTGTTTCGAAACTGCTCCATCCAAAGGAATGTTCAGCTCTGTGAGTTAAACTCAGTCGTCACCAAGAGTTTTCTGTGAATGCTTCTGTTTTAGTTCTGTGCGGTTTATCCCGTTTCCAACGAAATCCTCAGAGGGGTCCAAATATCTACTTGCAGTTTCTACAGAAAGACCGTTTCAAACCTGAACTATCAAAGAAAGGTTCAACACTGTGAGTTGAATGCAAACATCACGAAGAAGGTTCTGAGAATGCTTCTGTTTAGTTCTGTGCGGTTTATCCCGTTTCCAACGAAATCCTCAGAGAGGACCAAATATCCACTTGCAGTTTCTACAAGAAGAGTGTTTCAAAGCTGAACTATCAAAGAAAGGTTCAGCACTGTGAGTTGAATGCAAACATCACGAAGAGGGTTCTGAGAATGCTTCTGTCTTCTTTCTATAGGAAGTTATTTCCTTTACTACGGTAGGCCTCAAAGAAGTGCAATTATCCCCTTGCAGTTTCTACAAAAAGAGTGTTTCAAACCTGAACTATCAAAGAAAGGTTCCACACTGTGAGTTGAATGCAGACATCACGAAGAAGGTTCTGAGAATGCTTCTGTTTAGTCAGCTGAAATTATCCCGTTTCCAACGAATTCCTCAGAGAGGTCCAAATATGCACTTGCAGATTCTGCAGAAAGTGTGTTTCTAAACTGCTACATCGCAAGGAATGTTCAGCTCTGTGAGTTCCACTCAATCATCCCAAAGAATTTTCTGAGAAAGCTTCTGTCTAGATGTCGTGTGAAGATATACCCGTTTCGAACGAAGGACACAGAGTGGTCCAAATATCCACTTGTAGATCCTGCAAAAAGAGTGTTTCAAACGTGAACTTTGAAAGGAAAGTTCAACTCTGGGATTTGAATGCAAACATCACAAAGAAGATTCTGAGACTGCTTCTGTATAGTTTTTATGTGAAGATGATTCCGTTTCCAACGAAATCTTCAAAGAGGTCTACATGTCCCCTTGCAGATGCCACAGAAAGAGAGTTTCAAAACTGCGCTCTCAAAAGGAGTGTTCAACTCCGTGAGTTGAATGCAGTCATCACAGAGAAGCTTCTGAGAATGCTTCTATCTAGTATTTAGGTGAAGATATTTCCTTTTCCACCACAAACCACAAAGCCCTCCAAACGTCCACTTGCAGATTCTAGAAAAAGAGTGTTTCATAGCTGCTCTTTCCAAAGGAAAGTTCAACTCTGGGAGTTGAATACAAACATCACCAAAAGGTTCCTGAGAATGCATCTGTCTAGTTTTTCTATGAAGCTATTCCCTTTACTACCATAGGCCTCAAAGCGCTCCAAATCTCCACTTGCACATTCCACAACAAGAGTGTTTCCAAACTGCTCTATCAATAGGAATGTTCAACTCTGTGAGGTGAATGCAATCATCACAAAGCAGTTTCTGAGAATGCTTCCCGTTTAGTTAGGTGCAGTTATCCCGTTTCCAACGAAATCCTCAGAGAGGTCCAAATATCCACTTGTAGATTCTACAAAAAGTGTGTCTCAAACCTGCTCCATCCAAAGGAATGGTCAGCTCTGTGATTTAAACTCAATCATCACAAAGTATTTTCTGAGAATGCTTCTGTCTAGATTTTATGCGAAGATATACCCGTTTCGAACGAAGGCCACAGAGTGGTCCAAATAGCCACTTGCAGATCCTACAGAAAGAGTGTTTCAAACCTGAACTATCAAAGGAAGGTTCAACTCTGGGATTTGAATGCAAACATCACCAAGAAGTTTCTGAGAATGCTTCTGTTTAGTTTTTATGTGAAGATATTCCCGTTTCCAAAGACATCTTCGGAGAGGTCCACATATCCACTTGCAGATTCCACAAAAAGAGAGTTTCAACACTGCTCTATCCATAGGAGGGTTCAACTCTGTGAGTTGAATGCAATCATCACAGAGAAGTTTCTGAGAAGGCTTCTCTCCAGTTTTTATGTGACCATAATTCGTTTTCCACCACAGGCCTGAAAGCGCTCCAAATGTCCACTTGCAGACACTACGAAAAGCATGTTTCAGAACTACTCTATGAAAAGCAACGTGAAACTCTGGGAGTTGAACACAAACATCACAGAGAAGTTTCTGAGAATGCTTCTGTTTTAGTTCTGTGCGTTTTATCCCGTTTCCAACGAAATCCTCAGAGAGGCCCAAATATCCACTTGCAGATTCCACAGAAAGAGTGATTGGAAACTGCTGTTTGAAAAGGAACCTTCAACTCTGTGAGTTGAATGCAATCATCACAAAGAAGTTTCCTGACAATGCTTCTGTTTTAGTTCTGTGCGGTTTATCCCGTTTCCAACGAAATCCTCAGAGAGGACCAAACATCCACTTGCAGTTTCTACAAAAAGAGTGTTTCAAAGCTGCACTATCAAAGAAAGGTTCAGCACTGTGAGTTGAATGCAAACATCACGAAGAGGGCTCTGAGAATTCTTCTGTTTAGTTCTGTGCGGTTTATCCCGTTTCCAACGAAATCCTCAGAGAGGACCAAATATCCACTTGCAGTTTCTACAAGAAGAGTGTTTCAAAGCTGAACTATCAAAGAAAGGTTCAGCACTGTGAGTTGAATGCAAACATCACGAAGAGGGTTCTGAGAATGCTTCTGTCTTCTTTCTATAGGAAGTTATTTCCTTTACTACGGTAGGCCTCAAAGAAGTGCAATTATCCCCTTGAAGTTTCTACAAAAAGAGTGTTTCAAACCTGAACTATCAAAGAAAGGTTCCACACTGTGAGTTGAATGCAGACATCACGAAGAAGGTTCTGAGAATGCTTCTGTTTAGTCAGCTGAAATTATCCCGTTTCCAACGAATTCCTCAGAGAGGTCCAAATATGCACTTGCAGATTCTGCAGAAAGTGTGTTTCTAAACTGCTACATCGCAAGGAATGTTCAGCTCTGTGAGTTCCACTCAATCATCCCAAAGAATTTTCTGAGAAAGCTTCTGTCTAGATGTCGTGTGAAGATATACCCGTTTCGAACGAAGGACACAGAGTGGTCCAAATATCCACTTGTAGATCCTGCAAAAAGAGTGTTTCAAACGTGAACTTTGAAAGGAAAGTTCAACTCTGGGATTTGAATGCAAACATCACAAAGAAGATTCTGAGACTGCTTCTGTATAGTTTTTATGTGAAGATGATTCCGTTTCCAACGAAATCTTCAAAGAGGTCTACATGTCCCCTTGCAGATGCCACAGAAAGAGAGTTTCAAAACTGCGCTCTCAAAAGGAGTGTTCAACTCCGTGAGTTGAATGCAGTCATCACAGAGAAGCTTCTGAGAATGCTTCTATCTAGTATTTAGGTGAAGATATTTCCTTTTCCACCACAAACCACAAAGCCCTCCAAACGTCCACTTGCAGATTCTAGAAAAAGAGTGTTTCATAGCTGCTCTTTCCAAAGGAAAGTTCAACTCTGGGAGTTGAATACAAACATCACCAAAAAGTTCCTGAGAATGCATCTGTCTAGTTTTTCTATGAAGCTATTCCCTTTACTACCATAGGCCTCAAAGCGCTCCAAATCTCCACTTGCACATTCCACAACAAGAGTGTTTCCAAACTGCTCTATCAATAGGAATGTTCAACTCTGTGAGGTGAATGCAATCATCACAAAGCAGTTTCTGAGAATGCTTCCGTTTAGTTAGGTGCAGTTATCCCGTTTCCAACGAAATCCTCAGAGAGGTCCAAATATCCACTTGTAGATTCTACAAAAAGTGTGTCTCAAACCTGCTCCATCCAAAGGAATGTTCAGCTCTGTGATTTAAACTCAATCATCACAAAGTATTTTCTGAGAATGCTTCTGTCTGGATTTTATGCGAAGATATACCAGTTTCGAACGAAGGCCACAGAGTGGTCCAAATATCCACTTGCAGATCCTACAAAAAGAGTGTTTCAAACCTGAACTATCAAAGGAAGGTTCAACTCTGGGATTTGAATGCAAACATCACCAAGAAGTTTCTGAGAATGCTTCTGTTTAGTTTTTATGTGAAGATATTCCCGTTTCCAAAGACATCTTCGGAGAGGTCCACATATCCACTTGCAGATTCCACAAAAAGAGAGTTTCAACACTGCTCTATCCATAGGAGGGTTCAACTCTGTGAGTTGAATGCAATCATCACAGAGAAGTTTCTGAGAAGGCTTCTCTCCAGTTTTTATGTGACCATAATTCGTTTTCCACCACAGGCCTGAAAGCGCTCCAAATGTCCACTTGTAGACACTACGAAAAGCATGTTTCAGAACTACTCTATGAAAAGCAATGTGAAACTCTGGGAGTTGAACACAAACATCACAGAGAAGTTTCTGAGAATGCTTCTGTTTAGCTTTCCTGTGAAGATTCTCCCGTTTCCAACGAAATCTTCAAAATAGGTCCAAATATCCACTTGCAGATTCCACAGAAAGAGTGATTGGAAACTGCTCTTTGAAAAGGAACCTTCAACTCTGTGAGTTGAATGCAATCATCACAAAGAAGTTTCTGACAATGCTTCTATCTAGCTTTTACGGGAAGATAATTCCTTTTCCACCACAGGCCTCAAAGCCCTCCAAATGTCCACTTGCAGATTCTGGAAAAAGAGTGTTTCAAAGCTTCTCTCTCGAAAGGAAAGTTCAACTCTGTGAGTTGAATGCAAGCATCACAAAGAAGTTTCTGAGAATGCTACTGTCTAGCTTTTATATGAAGCTATTTCCTTTACTACCATAGGCCTCAAAGCGGTCCATATCTCCACTTGCAGATTCTACACAAAGAGAGTTTCCAAACTGCTCTGTCAAAGGGAATGTTCAACTCTGTGACTTGAATGCAATCATCACAAAGTAGTTTCTGAGAATGCTTCTGTTTAGTTCTGTGCGGTTTATCCCGTTTCCAACGAAATCCTCAGAGAGGCCTAAATATCCACTTGCACATTCTACAAATAGTGTGTTTCAAAACTGCTCCATCCAAAGGAATGTTCAGCTCTGTGAGTTAAACTCAGTCGTCACCAAGAGTTTTCTGTGAATGCTTCTGTTTTAGTTCTGTGCGGGTTATCCCGTTTCCAACGAAATCCTCAGAGAGGTCCAAATATCTACTTGCAGTTTCTACAGAAAGACCGTTTCAAACCTGAACTATCAAAGAAAGGTTCAACACTGTGAGTTGAATGCAAACATCACGAAGAAGGTTCTGAGAATGCTTCTGTTTAGTTCTGTGCAGTTTATCCCGTTTCCAACGAAATGCTCAGAGAGGACCAAATATCCACTTGCAGTTTCTACAAAAAGAGTGTTTCAAAGCTGAACTATCAAAGAAAGGTTCAGCACTGTGAGTTGAATGCAAACATCACGAAGAGGGTTCTGAGAATGCTTCTGTCTTCTTTTTATAGGAAGTTATTTCCTTTACTACGGTACTCCTCAAAGAGTGCAATTATCCCCTTGCAGTTTCTACAAAAAGAGTGTTTCAAACCTGAACTATCAAAGAAAGGTTCCACACTGTGAGTTGAATGCAGACATCACGAAGAAGGTTCTGAGAATGCTTCTGTTTAGTCAGCTGAAATTATCCCGTTTCCAACGAATTCCTCACAGAGGTCCAAATATGCACTTGCAGATTCTGCAGAAAGTGTGTTTCTAAACTGCTACATCACAAGGAATGCTCAGCTCTGTGAGTTCAACTCAATCATCCCAAAGAATTTTCTGAGAAAGCTTCTGTCTAGATGTCATGTGAAGATATACCCGTTTCGAACGAAGGACACAGAGTGGTCCAAATATCCACTTGTAGATCCTGCAAAAAGAGTGTTTCAAACGTGAACTTTGAAAGGAAAGTTCAACTCGGGGATTTGAATGCAAACATCACAAAGAAGATTCTGAGACTGCTTCTGTGTAGTTTTTATGTGAAGATGATTCCGTTTCCAACGAAATCTTCAAAGAGGTCTACATGTCCCCTTGCAGATGCCACAGAAAGAGAGTTTCAAAACTGCGCTCTCAAAAGGAGTGTTCAACTCCGTGAGTTGAATGCAGTCATCACAGAGAAGCTTCTGAGGATGCTTCTATCTAGTATTTAGGTGAAGATATTTCCTTTTCCACCACAAACCACAAAGCCCTCCAAACGTCCACTTGCAGATTCTAGAAAAAGAGTGTTTCATAGCTGCTCTTTCCAAAGGAAAGTTCAACTCTGGGAGTTGAATACAAACATCACCAAAAAGTTCCTGAGAATGCATCTGTCTAGTTTTTCTATGAAGCTATTCCCTTTACTACCATAGGCCTCAAAGCGCTCCAAATCTCCACTTGCACATTCCACAACAAGAGTGTTTCCAAACTGCTCTATCAATAGGAATGTTCAACTCTGTGAGGTGAATGCAATCATCACAAAGCAGTTTCTGAGAATGCTTCCGTTTAGTTAGGTGCAGTTATCCCGTTTCCAACGAAATCCTCTGAGAGGTCCAAATATCCACTTGTAGATTCTACAAAAAGTGTGTCTCAAACCTGCTCCATCCAAAGGAATGTTCAGCTCTGTGATTTAAACTCAATCATCACAAAGTATTTTCTGAGAATGCTTTCTGTCTAGATTTTATGCGAAGATATACCCGTTTCGAACGAAGGCCACAGAGTGGTCCAAATAGCCACTTGCAGATCCTACAAAAAGAGTGTTTCAAACCTGAACTATCAAAGGAAGGTTCAA
The DNA here is from genome assembly GCF_000001405.40 of Homo sapiens. Classification (NCBI taxonomy): domain Eukaryota; kingdom Metazoa; phylum Chordata; class Mammalia; order Primates; family Hominidae; genus Homo; species Homo sapiens. The sequence continues at coordinate 23,430,244 of NC_000017.11, read as the reverse complement.
CTCTGGGATTTGAATGCAAACATCACCAAGAAGTTTCTGAGAATGCTTCTGTTTAGTTTTTATGTGAAGATATTCCCGTTTCCAAAGACATCTTCGGAGAGGTCCACATATCCACTTGCAGATTCCACAAAAAGAGAGTTTCAACACTGCTCTATCCATAGGAGGGTTCAACTCTGTGAGTTGAATGCAATCATCACAGAGAAGTTTCTGAGAAGGCTTCTCTCCAGTTTTTATGTGACCATAATTCGTTTTCCACCACAGGCCTGAAAGCCCTCCAAATGTCCACTTGCAGACACTACGAAAAGCATGTTTCAGAACTACTCTATGAAAAGCAATGTGAAACTCTGGGAGTTGAACACAAACATCACAGAGAAGTTTCTGAGAATGCTTCTGTTTAGCTTTTCTGTGAAGATTATCCCTTTTCCAATGAAATCTTCAAAGAGGTCCAAATATCCACTTGCAGATTCCACAGAAAGAGTGATTGGAAACTGCTGTTTGAAAAGGAACCTTCAACTCTGTGAGTTGAATGCAATCATCACAAAGAAGTTTCTGACAATGCTTCTGTTTTAGTTCTGTGCGGTTTATCCCGTTTCCAACGAAATCCTCAGAGAGGACCAAACATCCACTTGCAGTTTCTACAAAAAGAGTGTTTCAAAGCTGCACTATCAAAGAAAGGTTCAGCACTGTGAGTTGAATGCAAACATCACGAAGAGGGCTCTGAGAATTCTTCTGTTTAGTTCTGTGCGGTTTATCCCGTTTCCAACGAAATCCTCAGAGAGGACCAAATATCCACTTGCAGTTTCTACAAGAAGAGTGTTTCAAAGCTGAACTATCAAAGAAAGGTTCAGCACTGTGAGTTGAATGCAAACATCACGAAGAGGGTTCTGAGAATGCTTCTGTCTTCTTTCTATAGGAAGTTATTTCCTTTACTACGGTAGGCCTCAAAGAAGTGCAATTATCCCCTTGCAGTTTCTACAAAAAGAGTGTTTCAAACCTGAACTATCAAAGAAAGGTTCCACACTGTGAGTTGAATGCAGACATCACGAAGAAGGTTCTGAGAATGCTTCTGTTTAGTCAGCTGAAATTATCCCGTTTCCAACGATTTCCTCAGAGAGGTCCACATATGCACTTGCAGATTCTGCAGAAAGTGTGTTTCTAAACTGCTACATCGCAAGGAGTGTTCAGCTCTGTTTGCTCAACTCAATCATCCCAAAGAATTTTCTGAGAAAGCTTCTGTCTAGATGTCATGTGAAGATATACACGTTTCGAACGAAGGACACAGAGTGGTCCAAATATCCACTTGTAGATCCTGCAAAAAGAGTGTTTCAAACGTGAACTTGGAAAGGAAAGTTCAACTCTGGGATTTGAATGCAAACATCACAAAGAAGATTCTGAGACTGCTTCTGTATAGTTTTGATGTGAAGATGATTCCGTTTCCAACGAAATCTTCAAAGAGGTCTACATGTCCCCTTGCAGATGCCACAGAAAGAGAGTTTCAAAACTGCGCTCTCAAAAGGAGTGTTCAACTCCGTGAGTTGAATGCAGTCATCACAGAGAAGCTTCTGAGAATGCTTCTATCTAGTATTTAGGTGAAGATATTTCCTTTTCCACCACAAACCACAAAGCCCTCCAAACGTCCACTTGCAGATTCTAGAAAAAGAGTGTTTCATAGCTGCTCTTTCCAAAGGAAAGTTCAACTCTGGGAGTTGAATACAAACATCACCAAAAAGTTCCTGAGAATGCATCTGTCTAGTTTTTCTATGAAGCTATTCCCTTTACTACCATAGGCCTCGAAGCGCTCCAAATCTCCACTTGCACATTCCACAACAAGAGTGTTTCCAAACTGCTCTATCAATAGAAATGTTCAACTCTGTGAGGTGAATGCAATCATCACAAAGCAGTTTCTGAGAATGCTCCGTTTAGTTAGGTGCAGTTATCCCGTTTCCAACGAAATCCTCAGAGAGGTCCAAATATCCACTTGTAGATTCTACAAAAAGTGTGTCTCAAACCTGCTCCATCCAAAGGAATGGTCAGCTCTGTGATTTAAACTCAATCATCACAAAGTATTTTCTGAGAATGCTTTCTGTCTAGATTTTATGCGAAGATATACCCGTTTCGAACGAAGGCCACAGAGTGGTCCAAATAGCCACTTGCAGATCCTACAGAAAGAGTGTTTCAAACCTGAACTATCAAAGGAAGGTTCAACTCTGGGATTTGAATGCAAACATCACCAAGAAGTTTCTGAGAATGCTTCTGTTTAGTTTTTATGTGAAGATATTCCCGTTTCCAAAGACATCTTCGGAGAGGTCCACATATCCACTTGCAGGTTCCACAAAAAGAGAGTTTCAACACTGCTCTATCCATAGGAGGGTTCAACTCTGTGAGTTGAATGCAATCATCACAGAGAAGTTTCTGAGAAGGCTTCTCTCCAGTTTTTATGTGACCATAATTCGTTTTCCACCACAGGCCTGAAAGCGCTCCAAATGTCCACTTGCAGACACTACGAAAAGCATGTTTCAGAACTACTCTATGAAAAGCAACGTGAAACTCTGGGAGTTGAACACAAACATCACAGAGAAGTTTCTGAGAATGCTTCTGTTTTAGTTCTGTGCGTTTTATCCCGTTTCCAACGAAATCCTCAGAGAGGCCCAAATATCCACTTGCAGATTCCACAGAAAGAGTGATTGGAAACTGCTGTTTGAAAAGGAACCTTCAACTCTGTGAGTTGAATGCAATCATCACAAAGAAGTTTCTGACAATGCTTCTGTTTTAGTTCTGTGCGGTTTATCCCGTTTCCAACGAAATCCTCAGAGAGGACCAAACATCCACTTGCAGTTTCTACAAAAAGAGTGTTTCAAAGCTGCACTATCAAAGAAAGGTTCAGCACTGTGAGTTGAATGCAAACATCACGAAGAGGGCTCTGAGAATTCTTCTGTTTAGTTCTGTGCGGTTTATCCCGTTTCCAACGAAATCCTCAGAGAGGACCAAATATCCACTTGCAGTTTCTACAAGAAGAGTGTTTCAAAGCTGAACTATCAAAGAAAGGTTCAGCACTGTGAGTTGAATGCAAACATCACGAAGAGGGTTCTGAAGAATGCTTCTGTCTTCTTTCTATAGGAAGTTATTTCCTTTACTACGGTAGGCCTCAAAGAAGTGCAATTATCCCCTTGCAGTTTCTACAAAAAGAGTGTTTCAAACCTGAACTATCAAAGAAAGGTTCCACACTGTGAGTTGAATGCAGACATCACGAAGAAGGTTCTGAGAATGCTTCTGTTTAGTCAGCTGAAATTATCCCGTTTCCAACGAATTCCTCAGAGAGGTCCAAATATGCACTTGCAGATTCTGCAGAAAGTGTGTTTCTAAACTGCTACATCGCAAGGAATGTTCAGCTCTGTGAGTTCCACTCAATCATCCCAAAGAATTTTCTGAGAAAGCTTCTGTCTAGATGTCGTGTGAAGATATACCCGTTTCGAACGAAGGACACAGAGTGGTCCAAATATCCACTTGTAGATCCTGCAAAAAGAGTGTTTCAAACGTGAACTTTGAAAGGAAAGTTCAACTCTGGGATTTGAATGCAAACATCACAAAGAAGATTCTGAGACTGCTTCTGTATAGTTTTTATGTGAAGATGATTCCGTTTCCAACGAAATCTTCAAAGAGGTCTACATGTCCCCTTGCAGATGCCACAGAAAGAGAGTTTCAAAACTGCGCTCTCAAAAGGAGTGTTCAACTCCGTGAGTTGAATGCAGTCATCACAGAGAAGCTTCTGAGAATGCTTCTATCTAGTATTTAGGTGAAGATATTTCCTTTTCCACCACAAACCACAAAGCCCTCCAAACGTCCACTTGCAGATTCTAGAAAAAGAGTGTTTCATAGCTGCTCTTTCCAAAGGAAAGTTCAACTCTGGGAGTTGAATACAAACATCACCAAAAAGTTCCTGAGAATGCATCTGTCTAGTTTTTCTATGAAGCTATTCCCTTTACTACCACAGGCCTCAAAGCGCTCCAAATCTCCACTTGCACATTCCACAACAAGAGTGTTTCCAAACTGCTCTATCAATAGGAATGTTCAACTCTGTGAGGTGAATGCAATCATCACAAAGCAGTTTCTGAGAATGCTTCCGTTTAGTTAGGTGCAGTTATCCCGTTTCCAACGAAATCCTCAGAGAGGTCCAAATATCCACTTGTAGATTCTACAAAAAGTGTGTCTCAAACCTGCTCCATCCAAAGGAATGGTCAGCTCTGTGATTTAAACTCAATCATCACAAAGTATTTTCTGAGAATGCTTCTGTCTAGATTTTATGCGAAGATATACCCGTTTCGAACGAAGGCCACAGAGTGGTCCAAATAGCCACTTGCAGATCCTACAGAAAGAGTGTTTCAAACCTGAACTATCAAAGGAAGGTTCAACTCTGGGATTTGAATGCAAACATCACCAAGAAGTTTCTGAGAATGCTTCTGTTTAGTTTTTATGTGAAGATATTCCCGTTTCCAAAGACATCTTCGGAGAGGTCCACATATCCACTTGCAGATTCCACAAAAAGAGAGTTTCAACACTGCTCTATCCATAGGAGGGTTCAACTCTGTGAGTTGAATGCAATCATCACAGAGAAGTTTCTGAGAAGGCTTCTCTCCAGTTTTTATGTGACCATAATTCGTTTTCCACCACAGGCCTGAAAGCGCTCCAAATGTCCACTTGCAGACACTACGAAAAGCATGTTTCAGAACTACTCTATGAAAAGCAACGTGAAACTCTGGGAGTTGAACACAAACATCACAGAGAAGTTTCTGAGAATGCTTCTGTTTTAGTTCTGTGCGTTTTATCCCGTTTCCAACGAAATCCTCAGAGAGGCCCAAATATCCACTTGCAGATTCCACAGAAAGAGTGATTGGAAACTGCTGTTTGAAAAGGAACCTTCAACTCTGTGAGTTGAATGCAATCATCACAAAGAAGTTTCTGACAATGCTTCTGTTTTAGTTCTGTGCGGTTTATCCCGTTTCCAACGAAATCCTCAGAGAGGACCAAACATCCACTTGCAGTTTCTACAAAAAGAGTGTTTCAAAGCTGCACTATCAAAAGAAAGGTTCAGCACTGTGAGTTGAATGCAAACATCACGAAGAGGGCTCTGAGAATTCTTCTGTTTAGTTCTGTGCGGTTTATCCCGTTTCCAACGAAATCCTCAGAGAGGACCAAATATCCACTTGCAGTTTCTACAAGAAGAGTGTTTCAAAGCTGAACTATCAAAGAAAGGTTCAGCACTGTGAGTTGAATGCAAACATCACGAAGAGGGTTCTGAGAATGCTTCTGTCTTCTTTCTATAGGAAGTTATTTCCTTTACTACGGTAGGCCTCAAAGAAGTGCAATTATCCCCTTGCAGTTTCTACAAAAAGAGTGTTTCAAACCTGAACTATCAAAGAAAGGTTCCACACTGTGAGTTGAATGCAGACATCACGAAGAAGGTTCTGAGAATGCTTCTGTTTAGTCAGCTGAAATTATCCCGTTTCCAACGAATTCCTCAGAGAGGTCCAAATATGCACTTGCAGATTCTGCAGAAAGTGTGTTTCTAAACTGCTACATCGCAAGGAATGTTCAGCTCTGTGAGTTCCACTCAATCATCCCAAAGAATTTTCTGAGAAAGCTTCTGTCTAGATGTCATGTGAAGATATACCCGTTTCGAACGAAGGACACAGAGTGGTCCAAATATCCACTTGTAGATCCTGCAAAAAGAGTGTTTCAAACGTGAACTTTGAAAGGCAAGTTCAACTCTGGGATTTGAATGCAAACATCACAAAGAAGATTCTGAGACTGCTTCTGTATAGTTTTTATGTGAAGATGATTCCGTTTCCAACGAAATCTTCAAAGAGGTCTACATGTCCCCTTGCAGATGCCACAGAAAGAGAGTTTCAAAACTGCGCTCTCAAAAGGAGTGTTCAACTCCGTGAGTTGAATGCAGTCATCACAGAGAAGCTTCTGAGGATGCTTCTATCTAGTATTTAGGTGAAGATATTTCCTTTTCCACCACAAACCACAAAGCCCTCCAAACGTCCACTTGCAGATTCTAGAAAAACAGTGTTTCATAGCTGCTCTTTCCAAAGGAAAGTTCAACTCTGGGAGTTGAATACAAACGTCACCAAAAAGTGCCTGAGAATGCATCTGTCTAGTTTTTCTATGAAGCTATTCCCTTTACTACCATAGGCCTCAAAGCGCTCCAAATCTCCACTTGCACATTCCACAACAAGAGTGTTTCCAAACTGCTCTATCAATAGGAATGTTCAACTCTGTGAGGTGAATGCAATCATCACAAAGCAGTTTCTGAGAATGCTTCCGTTTAGTTAGGTGCAGTTATCCCGTTTCCAACGAAATCCTCAGAGAGGTCCAAATATCCACTTGTAGATTCTACAAAAAGTGTGTCTCAAACCTGCTCCATCCAAAGGAATGTTCAGCTCTGTGAGTTAAACTCAATCATCACAAAGTATTTTCTGAGAATGCTTCTGTCTAGATTTTATGCGAAGATGTACCCGTTTCGAACGAAGGCCACAGAGTGGTCCAAATATCCACTTGCAGATCCTACAAAAAGAGTGTTTCAAACCTGAACTATCAAAGGAAGGTTCGACTCTGGGATTTGAATGCAAACATCACCAAGAAGTTTCTGAGAATGCTTCTGTTTAGTTTTTATGTGAAGATATTCCCGTTTCCAAAGACATCTTCGGAGAGGTCCACATATCCACTTGCAGATTCCACAAAAAGAGAGTTTCAACACTGCTCTATCCATAGGAGGGTTCAACTCTGTGAGTTGAATGCAATCATCACAGAGAAGTTTCTGAGAAGGCTTCTCTCCAGTTTTTATGTGACCATAATTCGTTTTCCACCACAGGCCTGAAAGCGCTCCAAATGTCCACTTGTAGACACTACGAAAAGCATGTTTCAGAACTACTCTATGAAAAGCAATGTGAAACTCTGGGAGTTGAACACAAACATCACAGAGAAGTTTCTGAGAATGCTTCTGTTTAGCTTTCCTGTGAAGATTCTCCCGTTTCCAACGAAATCTTCAAAATAGGTCCAAATATCCACTTGCAGATTCCACACAAAGAGTGATTGGAAACTGCTCTTTGAAAAGGAACCTTCAACTCTGTGAGTTGAATGCAATCATCACAAAGAAGTTTCTGACAATGCTTCTATCTAGCTTTTACGGGAAGATAATTCCTTTTCCACCACAGGCCTCAAAGCCCTCCAAATGTCCACTTGCAGATTCTGGAAAAAGAGTGTTTCAAAGCTTCTCTCTCGAAAGGAAAGTTCAACTCTGTGAGTTGAATGCAAGCATCACAAAGAAGTTTCTGAGAATGCTACTGTCTAGCTTTTATATGAAGCTATTTCCTTTACTACCATAGGCCTCAAAGCGGTCCATATCTCCACTTGCAGATTCTACACAAAGAGAGTTTCCAAACTGCTCTGTCAAAGGGAATGTTCAACTCTGTGACTTGAATGCAATCATCACAAAGTAGTTTCTGAGAATGCTTCTGTTTAGTTCTGTGCGGTTTATCCCGTTTCCAACGAAATCCTCAGAGAGGCCCACATATCCACTTGCACCTTCTAGAAATAGTGTGTTTCGAAACTGCTCCATCCAAAGGAATGTTCAGCTCTGTGAGTTAAACTCAGTCGTCACCAAGAGTTTTCTGTGAATGCTTCTGTTTTAGTTCTGTGCGGTTTATCCCGTTTCCAACGAAATCCTCAGAGAGGTCCAAATATCTACTTGCAGTTTCTACAGAAAGACCGTTTCAAACCTGAACTATCAAAGAAAGGTTCAACACTGTGAGTTGAATGCAAACATCACGAAGAAAGTTCTGAGAATGCTTCTGTTTAGTTCTGTGCGGTTTATCCCGTTTCCAACGAAATCCTCAGAGAGGACCAAATATCCACTTGCAGTTTCTACAAAAAGAGTGTTTCAAAGCTGAACTATCAAAGAAAGGTTCAGCACCGTGAGTTGAATGCAAACATCACCAAGAGGGTTCTGAGAATGCTTCTGTCTTCTTTTTATAGGAAGTTATCTCCTTTACTACGGTAGGCCTCAAAGAAGTGCAATGATCCCCTTGCAGTTTCTACAAAAAGAGTGTTTCAAACCTGAACTATCAAAGAAAGGTTCCACACTGTGAGTTGAATGCAGACATCACGAAGAAGGTTGTGAGAATGCTTCTGTTTAGTCAGCTGAAATTATCCCGTTTCCAACGAATTCCTCAGAGAGGTCCACATATGCACTTGCAGATTCTGCAGAAAGTGTGTTTCTAAACTGCTACATCGCAAGGAATGTTCAGCTTCTGTGAGTTCCACTCAATCATCCCAAAGAATTTTCTGAGAAAGCTTCTGTCTAGATGTCATGTGAAGATATACCCGTTTCGAACGGAGGACACAGAGTGGTCCAAATATCCACTTGTAGATCCTGCAAAAAGAGTGTTTCAAACGTGAACTTTGAAAGGAAAGTTCAACTCTGGGATTTGAATGCAAACATCACAAAGAAGATTCTGAGACTGCTTCTGTATAGTTTTTATGTGAAGATGATTCCGTTTCCAACGAAATCTTCAAAGAGGTCTACATGTCCCCTTGCAGATGCCACAGAAAGAGAGTTTCAAAACTGCGCTCTCAAAAGGAGTGTTCAACTCCGTGAGTTGAATGCAGTCATCACAGAGAAGCTTCTGAGAATGCTTCTATCTAGTATTTAGGTGAAGATATTTCCTTTTCCACCACAAACCACAAAGCCCTCCAAACGTCCACTTGCAGATTCTAGAAAAAGAGTGTTTCATAGCTGCTCTTTCCAAAGGAAAGTTCAACTCTGGGAGTTGAATACAAACATCACCAAAAAGTTCCTGAGAATGCATCTGTCTAGTTTTTCTATGAAGCTATTCCCTTTACTACCATAGGCCTCAAAGCGCTCCAAATCTCCACTTGCACATTCCACAACAAGAGTGTTTCCAAACTGCTCTATCAATAGGAATGTTCAACTCTGTGAGGTGAATGCAATCATCACAAAGCAGTTTCTGAGAATGCTTCCGTTTAGTTAGGTGCAGTTATCCCGTTTCCAACGAAATCCTCAGAGAGGTCCAAATATCCACTTGTAGATTCTACAAAAAGTGTGTCTCAAACCTGCTCCATCCAAAGGAATGGTCAGCTCTGTGATTTAAACTCAATCATCACAAAGTATTTTCTGAGAATGCTTCTGTCTAGATTTTATGCGAAGATATACCCGTTTCGAACGAAGGCCACAGAGTGGTCCAAATAGCCACTTGCAGATCCTACAGAAAGAGTGTTTCAAACCTGAACTATCAAAGGAAGGTTCAACTCTGGGATTTGAATGCAAACATCACCAAGAAGTTTCTGAGAATGCTTCTGTTTAGTTTTTATGTGAAGATATTCCCGTTTCCAAAGACATCTTCGGAGAGGTCCACATATCCACTTGCAGATTCCACAAAAAGAGAGTTTCAACACTGCTCTATCCATAGGAGGGTTCAACTCTGTGAGTTGAATGCAATCATCACAGAGAAGTTTCTGAGAAGGCTTCTCTCCAGTTTTTATGTGACCATAATTCGTTTTCCACCACAGGCCTGAAAGCGCTCCAAATGTCCACTTGCAGACACTACGAAAAGCATGTTTCAGAACTACTCTATGAAAAGCAACGTGAAACTCTGGGAGTTGAACACAAACATCACAGAGAAGTTTCTGAGAATGCTTCTGTTTTAGTTCTGTGCGTTTTATCCCGTTTCCAACGAAATCCTCAGAGAGGCCCAAATATCCACTTGCAGATTCCACAGAAAGAGTGATTGGAAACTGCTGTTTGAAAAGGAACCTTCAACTCTGTGAGTTGAATGCAATCATCACAAAGAAGTTTCTGACAATGCTTCTGTTTTAGTTCTGTGCGGTTTATCCCGTTTCCAACGAAATCCTCAGAGAGGACCAAACATCCACTTGCAGTTTCTACAAAAAGAGTGTTTCAAAGCTGCACTATCAAAGAAAGGTTCAGCACTGTGAGTTGAATGCAAACATCACGAAGAGGGCTCTGAGAATTCTTCTGTTTAGTTCTGTGCGGTTTATCCCGTTTCCAACGAAATCCTCAGAGAGGACCAAATATCCACTTGCAGTTTCTACAAGAAGAGTGTTTCAAAGCTGAACTATCAAAGAAAGGTTCAGCACTGTGAGTTGAATGCAAACATCACGAAGAGGGTTCTGAGAATGCTTCTGTCTTCTTTCTATAGGAAGTTATTTCCTTTACTACGGTAGGCCTCAAAGAAGTGCAATTATCCCCTTGCAGTTTCTACAAAAAGAGTGTTTCAAACCTGAACTATCAAAGAAAGGTTCCACACTGTGAGTTGAATGCAGACATCACGAAGAAGGTTCTGAGAATGCTTCTGTTTAGTCAGCTGAAATTATCCCGTTTCCAACGAATTCCTCAGAGAGGTCCAAATATGCACTTGCAGATTCTGCAGAAAGTGTGTTTCTAAACTGCTACATCGCAAGGAATGTTCAGCTCTGTGAGTTCCACTCAATCATCCCAAAGAATTTTCTGAGAAAGCTTCTGTCTAGATGTCATGTGAAGATATACCCGTTTCGAACGAAGGACACAGAGTGGTCCAAATATCCACTTGTAGATCCTGCAAAAAGAGTGTTTCAAACGTGAACTTTGAAAGGAAAGTTCAACTCTGGGATTTGAATGCAAACACCACAAAGAAGATTCTGAGACTGCTTCTGTATAGTTTTTATGTGAAGATGATTCCGTTTCCAACGAAATCTTCAAAGAGGTCTACATGTCCCCTTGCAGATGCCACAGAAAGAGAGTTTCAAAACTGCGCTCTCAAAAGGAGTGTTCAACTCCGTGAGTTGAATGCAGTCATCACAGAGAAGCTTCTGAGGATGCTTCTATCTAGTATTTAGGTGAAGATATTTCCTTTTCCACCACAAACCACAAAGCCCTCCAAACGTCCACTTGCAGATTCTAGAAAAACAGTGTTTCATAGCTGCTCTTTCCAAAGGAAAGTTCAACTCTGGGAGTTGAATACAAACATCACCAAAAAGTTCCTGAGAATGCATCTGTCTAGTTTTTCTATGAAGCTATTCCCTTTACTACCATAGGCCTCAAAGCGCTCCAAATCTCCACTTGCACATTCCACAACAAGAGTGTTTCCAAACTGCTCTATCAATAGGAATGTTCAACTCTGTGAGGTGAATGCAATCATCACAAAGCAGTTTCTGAGAATGCTTCCGTTTAGTTAGGTGCAGTTATCCCGTTTCCAACGAAATCCTCAGAGAGGTCCAAATATCCACTTGTAGATTCTACAAAAAGTGTGTCTCAAACCTGCTCCATCCAAAGGAATGTTCAGCTCTGTGAGTTAAACTCAATCATCACAAAGTATTTTCTGAGAATGCTTCTGTCTAGATTTTATGCGAAGATGTACCCGTTTCGAACGAAGGCCACAGAGTGGTCCAAATATCCACTTGCAGATCCTACAAAAAGAGTGTTTCAAACCTGAACTATCAAAGGAAGGTTCAACTGCTGGGATTTGAATGCAAACATCACCAAGAAGTTTCTGAGAATGCTTCTGTTAAGTTTTTATGTGAAGATATTCCCGTTTCCAAAGACATCTTCGGAGAGGTCCACATATCCACTTGCAGATTCCACAAAAAGAGAGTTTCAACACTGCTCTATCCATAGGAGGGTTCAACTCTGTGAGTTGAATGCAATCATCACAGAGAAGTTTCTGAGAAGGCTTCTCTCCAGTTTTTATGTGACCATAATTCGTTTTCCACCACAGGCCTGAAAGCGCTCCAAATGTCCACTTGTAGACACTACGAAAAGCATGTTTCAGAACTACTCTATGAAAAGCAATGTGAAACTCTGGGAGTTGAACACAAACATCACAGAGAAGTTTCTGAGAATGCTTCTGTTTAGCTTTCCTGTGAAGATTCTCCCGTTTCCAACGAAATCTTCAAAATAGGTCCAAATATCCACTTGCAGATTCCACACAAAGAGTGATTGGAAACTGCTCTTTGAAAAGGAACCTTCAACTCTGTGAGTTGAATGCAATCATCACAAAGAAGTTTCTGACAATGCTTCTATCTAGCTTTTACGGGAAGATAATTCCTTTTCCACCACAGGCCTCAAAGCCCTCCAAATGTCCACTTGCAGATTCTGGAAAAAGAGTGTTTCAAAGCTTCTCTCTCGAAAGGAAAGTTCAACTCTGTGAGTTGAATGCAAGCATCACAAAGAAGTTTCTGAGAATGCTACTGTCTAGCTTTTATATGAAGCTATTTCCTTTACTACCATAGGCCTCAAAGCGGTCCATATCTCCACTTGCAGATTCTACACAAAGAGAGTTTCCAAACTGCTCTGTCAAAGGGAATGTTCAACTCTGTGACTTGAATGCAATCATCACAAAGTAGTTTCTGAGAATGCTTCTGTTTAGTTCTGTGCGGTTTATCCCGTTTCCAACGAAATCCTCAGAGAGGCCCAAATATCCACTTGCACATTCTACAAATAGTGTGTTTCGAAACTGCTCCATCCAAAGGAATGTTCAGCTCTGTGAGTTAAACTCAGTCGTCACCAAGAGTTTTTTCTGAATGCTTCTGTTTTAGTTCTGTGCGGGTTATCCCGTTTCCAACGAAATCCTCAGAGCGGTCCAAATATCTACTTGCAGTTTCTACAGAAAGACCGTTTCAAACCTGAACTATCAAAGAAAGGTTCAACACTGTTGAGTTGAATGCAAACATCACGAAGAAGGTTCTGAGAATGCTTCTGTTTAGTTCTGTGCGGTTTATCCCGTTTCCAACGAAATCCTCAGAGAGGACCAAATATCCACTTGCAGTTTCTACAAAAAGAGTGTTTCAAAGCTGAACTATCAAAGAAAGGTTCAGCACTGTGAGTTGAATGCAAACATCACGAAGAGGGTTCTGAGAATGCTTCTGTCTTCTTTTTATAGGAAGTTATTTCCTTTACTACGGTACTCCTCAAAGAGTGCAATTATCCCCTTGCAGTTTCTACAAAAAGAGTGTTTCAAACCTGAACTATCAAAGAAAGGTTCCACACTGTGAGTTGAATGCAGACATCACGAAGAAGGTTCTGAGAATGCTTCTGTTTAGTCAGCTGAAATTATCCCGTTTCCAACGAATTCCTCACAGAGGTCCAAATATGCACTTGCAGATTCTGCAGAAAGTGTGTTTCTAAACTGCTACATCGCAAGGAATGCTCAGCTCTGTGAGTTCAACTCAATCATCCCAAAGAATTTTCTGAGAAAGCTTCTGTCTAGATGTCATGTGAAGATATACCCGTTTCGAACGAAGGACACAGAGTGGTCCAAATATCCACTTGTAGATCCTGCAAAAAGAGTGTTTCAAACGTGAACTTTGAAAGGAAAGTTCAACTCGGGGATTTGAATGCAAACATCACAAAGAAGATTCTGAGACTGCTTCCTGTGTAGTTTTTATGTGAAGATGATTCCGTTTCCAACGAAATCTTCAAAGAGGTCTACATGTCCCCTTGCAGATGCCACAGAAAGAGAGTTTCAAAACTGCGCTCTCAAAAGGAGTGTTCAACTCCGTGAGTTGAATGCAGTCATCACAGAGAAGCTTCTGAGGATGCTTCTCTCTAGTATTTAGGTGAAGATATTTCCTTTTCCACCACAAACCACAAAGCCCTCCAAACGTCCACTTGCAGATTCTAGAAAAAGAGTGTTTCATAGCTGCTCTTTCCAAAGGAAAGTTCAACTCTGGGAGTTGAATAGAAACATCACCAAAAAGTTCCTGAGAATGCATCTGTCTAGTTTTTCTATGAAGCTATTCCCTTTACTACCATAGGCCTCAAAGCGCTCCAAATCTCCACTTGCACATTCCACAACAAGAGTGTTTCCAAACTGCTCTATCAATAGGAATGTTCAACTCTGTGAGGTGAATGCAATCATCACAAAGCAGTTTCTGAGAATGCTTCCGTTTAGTTAGGTGCAGTTATCCCGTTTCCAACGAAATCCTCAGAGAGGTCCAAATATCCACTTGTAGATTCTACAAAAAGTGTGTCTCAAACCTGCTCCATCCAAAGGAATGTTCAGCTCTGTGAGTTAAACTCAATCATCACAAAGTATTTTCTGAGAATGCTTCTGTCTAGATTTTATGCGAAGATATACCCGTTTCGAACGAAGGCCACAGAGTGGTCCAAATATCCACTTGCAGATCCTACAAAAAGAGTGTTTCAAACCTGAACTATCAAAGGAAGGTTCAACTCTGGGATTTGAATGTAAACATCACCAAGAAGTTTCTGAGAATGCTTCTGTTTAGTTTTTATGTGAAGATATTCCCGTTTCCAAAGACATCTTCGGAGAGGTCCACATATCCACTTGCAGATTCCACAAAAAGAGAGTTTCAACACTGCTCTATCCATAGGAGGGTTCAACTCTGTGAGTTGAATGCAATCATCACAGAGAAGTTTCTGAGAAGGCTTCTCTCCAGTTTTTATGTGACCATAATTCGTTTTCCACCACAGGCCTGAAAGCGCTCCAAATGTCCACTTGTAGACACTACGAAAAGCATGTTTCAGAACTACTCTATGAAAAGCAATGTGAAACTCTGGGAGTTGAACACAAACATCACAGAGAAGTTTCTGAGAATGCTTCTGTTTAGCTTTCCTGTGAAGATTCTCCCGTTTCCAACGAAATCTTCAAAATAGGTCCAAATATCCACTTGCAGATTCCACACAAAGAGTGATTGGAAACTGCTCTTTGAAAAGGAACCTTCAACTCTGTGAGTTGAATGCAATCATCACAAAGAAGTTTCTGACAATGCTTCTATCTAGCTTTTACGGGAAGATAATTCCTTTTCCACCACAGGCCTCAAAGCCCTCCAAATGTCCACTTGCAGATTCTGGAAAAAGAGTGTTTCAAAGCTTCTCTCTCGAAAGGAAAGTTCAACTCTGTGAGTTGAATGCAAGCATCACAAAGAAGTTTCTGAGAATGCTACTGTCTAGCTTTTATATGAAGCTATTTCCTTTACTACCATAGGCCTCAAAGCGGTCCATATCTCCACTTGCAGATTCTACACAAAGAGAGTTTCCAAACTGCTCTGTCAAAGGGAATGTTCAACTCTGTGACTTGAATGCAATCATCACAAAGTAGTTTCTGAGAATGCTTCTGTTTTAGTTTTGTGCGTTTTATCCCGTTTCCAACGAAATCCTCAGAGAGGCCCAAATATCCACTTGCAGATTCTACAAATAGTGTGTTTCGAAACTGCTCCATCCAAAGGAATGTTCAGCTCTGTGAGTTAAACTCAGTCGTCACCAAGAGTTTTCTGTGAATGCTTCTGTTTTAGTTCTGTGCGGTTTATCCCGTTTCCAACGAAATCCTCAGAGAGGACCAAATATCCACTTGCAGTTTCTACAAAAAGAGTGTTTCAAAGCTGCACTATCAAAGAAAGGTTCAGCACTGTGAGTTGAATGCAAACATCACGAAGAGGGCTCTGAGAATTCTTCTGTTTAGTTCTGTGCGGTTTATCCCGTTTCCAACGAAATCCTCAGAGAGGACCAAATATCCACTTGCAGTTTCTACAAGAAGAGTGTTTCAAAGCTGAACTATCAAAGAAAGGTTCAGCACTGTGAGTTGAATGCAAACATCACGAAGAGGGTTCTGAGAATGCTTCTGTCTTCTTTCTATAGGAAGTTATTTCCTTTACTACGGTAGGCCTCAAAGAAGTGCAATTATCCCCTTGCAGTTTCTACAAAAAGAGTGTTTCAAACCTGAACTATCAAAGAAAGGTTCCACACTGTGAGTTGAATGCAGACATCACGAAGAAGGTTCTGAGAATGCTTCTGTTTAGTCAGCTGAAATTATCCCGTTTCCAACGAATTCCTCAGAGAGGTCCAAATATGCACTTGCAGATTCTGCAGAAAGTGTGTTTCTAAACTGCTACATCGCAAGGAATGTTCAGCTCTGTGAGTTCCACTCAATCATCCCAAAGAATTTTCTGAGAAAGCTTCTGTCTAGATGTCGTGTGAAGATATACCCGTTTCGAACGAAGGACACAGAGTGGTCCAAATATCCACTTGTAGATCCTGCAAAAAGAGTGTTTCAAACGTGAACTTTGAAAGGAAAGTTCAACTCTGGGATTTGAATGCAAACATCACAAAGAAGATTCTGAGACTGCTTCTGTATAGTTTTTATGTGAAGATGATTCCGTTTCCAACGAAATCTTCAAAGAGGTCTACATGTCCCCTTGCAGATGCCACAGAAAGAGAGTTTCAAAACTGCGCTCTCAAAAGGAGTGTTCAACTCCGTGAGTTGAATGCAGTCATCACAGAGAAGCTTCTGAGAATGCTTCTGTCTAGTATTTAGGTGAAGATATTTCCTTTTCCACCACAAACCACAAAGCCCTCCAAACGTCCACTTGCAGATTCTAGAAAAAGAGTGTTTCATAGCTGCTCTTTCCAAAGGAAAGTTCAACTCTGGGAGTTGAATACAAACATCACCAAAAAGTTCCTGAGAATGCATCTGTCTAGTTTTTCTATGAAGCTATTCCCTTTACTACCATAGGCCTCAAAGCGCTCCAAATCTCCACTTGCACATTCCACAACAAGAGTGTTTCCAAACTGCTCTATCAATAGGAATGTTCAACTCTGTGAGGTGAATGCAATCATCACAAAGCAGTTTCTGAGAATGCTTCCGTTTAGTTAGGTGCAGTTATCCCGTTTCCAACGAAATCCTCAGAGAGGTCCAAATATCCACTTGTAGATTCTACAAAAAGTGTGTCTCAAACCTGCTCCATCCAAAGGAATGGTCAGCTCTGTGATTTAAACTCAATCATCACAAAGTATTTTCTGAGAATGCTTCTGTCTAGATTTTATGCGAAGATATACCCGTTTCGAACGAAGGCCACAGAGTGGTCCAAATAGCCACTTGCAGATCCTACAAAAAGAGTGTTTCAAACCTGAACTACCAAAGGAAGGTTCAACTCTGGGATTTGAATGCAAACATCACCAAGAAGTTTCTGAGAATGCTTCTGTTTAGTTTTTATGTGAAGATATTCCCGTTTCCAAAGACATCTTCGGAGAGGTCCACATATCCACTTGCAGATTCCACAAAAAGAGAGTTTCAACACTGCTCTATCCATAGGAGGGTTCAACTCTGTGAGTTGAATGCAATCATCACAGAGAAGTTTCTGAGAAGGCTTCTCTCCAGTTTTTATGTGACCATAATTCGTTTTCCACCACAGGCCTGAAAGCGCTCCAAATGTCCACTTGCAGACACTACGAAAAGCATGTTTCAGAACTACTCTATGAAAAGCAATGTGAAACTCTGGGAGTTGAACACAAACATCACAGAGAAGTTTCTGAGAATGCTTCTGTTTAGCTTTTCTGTGAAGATTCTCCCGTTTCCAACGAAATCTTCAAAGAGGTCCAAATATCCACTTGCGGATTCCACAGAAAGAGTGGTTGGAAACTGCTGTTTGAAAAGGAACCTTCAACTCTGTGAGTTGAATGCAATCATCACAAAGAAGTTTCTGACAATGCTTCTATCTAGCTTTTACGGGAAGATAATTCCTTTTCCACCACAGGCCTCAAAGCCCTCCAAATTTCCACTTGCAGATTCTGGAAAAAGAGTGTTTCAAAGCTTCTCTCTCGAAAGGAAAGTTCAACTCTGTGAGTTGAATGCAAGCATCACAAAGAAGTTTCTGAGAATGCTACTGTCTAGCTTTTATATGAAGCTATTTCCTTTACTACCATAGTCCTCAAAGCGGTCCATATCTCCACTTGCAGATTCTACACAAAGAGAGTTTCCAAACTGCTCTGTCAAAGGGAATGTTCAACTCTGTGACTTGAATGCAATCATCACAAAGTAGTTTCTGAGAATGCTTCTGTTTAGTTCTGTGCGGTTTATCCCGTTTCCAACGAAATCCTCAGAGAGGCCCAAATATCCACTTGCACATTCTACAAATAGTGTGTTTCGAAACTGCTCCATCCAAAGGGATGTTCAGCTCTGTGAGTTAAACTCAGTCGTCACCAAGAGTTTTCTGTGAATGCTTCTGTTTTAGTTCTGTGCTGTTTATCCCGTTTCCAATGAAATCCTCAGAGAGGTCCAAATATCCACTTGCAGTTTCTACAAAAAGAGTGTTTCAAAGCTGAACTATCAAAGAAAGGTTCAGCACTGTGAGTTGAATGCAAACATCACGAAGAAGGTTCTGAGAATGCTTCTGTTTAGTTCTGTGCGGTTTATCCCGTTTCCAACGAAATCCTCAGAGAGGCCCAAATATCCACTTGCAGTTTCTACAAAAAGAGTGTTTCAAACCTGAACTATCAAAGAAAGGTTCAGTACTGTGAGTTGAATGCAAACATCACGAAGAGGGTTCTGAGAATGCTTCTGTTTAGTTCTGTGCGGTTTATCCCGTTTCCAACGAAATCCTCAGAGAGGTCCAAATATCTACTTGCAGTTTCTACAGAAAAACCGTTTCAAACCTGAACTATCAAAGAAAGGTTCAACACTGTGAGTTGAATGCAAACATCACGAAGAGGGTTCTGAGAATGCTTCTGTCTTCTTTTTATACGAAGTTATTTCCTTTACTACGGTAGGCCTCAAAGAAGTGCAATTATCCCCTTGCAGTTTCTACAAAAAGAGTGTTTCAAACCTGAACTACCAAAGAAAGATTCCACACTGTGAGTTGAATGCAGACATCACGAAGAAGGTTCTGAGAATGCTTCGGTTTAGTCAGCTGAAATTATCCCGTTTCCAACGAATTCCTCAGAGAGGTCCAAATATGCACTTGCAGATTCTGCAGAAAGTGTGTTTCTAAACTGCTACATCGCAAGGAATGTTCAGCTCTGTGAGTTCAACTCAATCATCCCAAAGAATTTTCTGAGAAAGCTTCTGTCTAGATGTCATGTGAAGATATACCCGTTTTGAACGAAGGACACAGAGTGGTCCAAATATCCACTTGTAGATCCTGCAAAAAGAGTGTTTCAAACGTGAACTTTGAAAGGAAAGTTCAACTCTGGGATTTGAATGCAAACATCACAAAGAAGATTCTGAGACTGTTTCTGTATAGTTTTTATGTGAAGATGATTCCGTTTCCAACGAAATCTTCAGAGAGGTCTACATGTCCCCTTGCAGATGCCACAGAAAGAGAGTTTCAAAACTGCGCTCTCAAAAGGAGTGTTCAACTCCGTGAGTTGAATGCAGTCATCACAGAGAAGCTTCTGAGAATGCTTCTATCTAGTATTTAGGTGAAGATATTTCCTTTTCCACCACAAACCACAAAGCCCTCCAAACGTCCACTTGCAGATTCTAGAAAAACAGTGTTTCATAGCTGCTCTTTCCAAAGGAAAGTTCAACTCTGGGAGTTGAATACAAACATCACCAAAAAGTTCCTGAGAACGCATCTGTCTAGTTTTTCTATGAAGCTATTCCCTTTACTACCATAGGCCTCAAAGCGCTCCAAATCTCCACTTGCACATTCCACAACAAGAGTGTTTCCAAACTGCTCTATCAATAGGAATGTTCAACTCTGTGAGGTGAATGCAATCATCACAAAGCAGTTTCTGAGAATGCTTCCGTTTAGTTAGGTGCAGTTATCCCGTTTCCAACGAAATCCTCAGAGAGGTCCAAATATCCACTTGTAGATTCTACAAAAAGTGTGTCTCAAACCTGCTCCATCCAAAGGAATGTTCAGCTCTGTGAGTTCAACTCAATCATCACAAAGTATTTTCTGAGAATGCTTCTGTCTAGATTTTATGCGAAGATGTACCCGTTTCGAACGAAGGCCACAGAGTGGTCCAAATATCCACTTGCAGATCCTACAAAAAGAGTGTTTCAAACCTGAACTATCAAAGGAAGGTTCAACTCTGGGATTTGAATGCAAACATCACCAAGAAGTTTCTGAGAATGCTTCTGTTTAGTTTTTATGTGAAGATATTCCCGTTTCCAAAGACATCTTCGGAGAGGTCCACATATCCGCTTGCAGATTCCACAAAAAGAGAGTTTCAACACTGCTCTATCCATAGGAGGGTTCAACTCTGTGAGTTGAATGCAATCATCACAGAGAAGTTTCTGAGAAGGCTTCTCTCCAGTTTTTATGTGACCATAATTCGTTTTCCACCACAGGCCTGAAAGCGCTCCAAATGTCCACTTGCAGACACTACGAAAAGCATGTTTCAGAACTACTCTATGAAAAGCAATGTGAAACTCTGGGAGTTGAACACAAACATCACAGAGAAGTTTCTGAGAATGCTTCTGTTTAGCTTTTCTGTGAAGATTCTCCCGTTTCCAACGAAATCTTCAAAGAGGTCCAAACATCCACTTGCAGATTCCACAGAAAGAGTGTTTGGAAACTGCTGTTTGAAAAGGAACCTTCAACTCTGTGAGTTGAAGGCAATCATCACAAAGAAGTTTCTGACAATGCTTCTATCTAGCTTTTACGGGAAGATAATTCCTTTTCCACCACAGGCCTCAAAGCCCTCCAAATATCCACTTGCAGATTCTGGAAAAAGAGTGTTTCAAAGCTTCTCTCTCGAAAGGAAAGTTCAACTCTGTGAGTTGAATGGAAGCATCACAAAGAAGTTTCTGAGAATGCTGCTGTCTAGCTTTTATATGAAGCTATTTCCTTTACTACCATAGGCCTCAAAGCGGTCCATATCTCCACTTGCAGATTCTACGCAAAGAGAGTTTCCAAACTGCTCTGTCAAAGGGAATGTTCAACTCTGTGACTTGAATGCAATCATCACAAAGTAGTTTCTGAGAATGCTTCTGTTTAGTTCTGTGCGGTTTATCCCGTTTCCAACGAAATCCTCAGAGAGGCCCACATATCCACTTGCACATTCTACAAATAGTGTGTTTCGAAACTGCTCCATCCAAAGGAATGTTCAGCTCTGTGAGTTAAACTCAGTCGTCACCAAGAGTTTTCTGTGAATGCTTCTGTTTTAGTTCTGTGCGGTTTATCCCGTTTCCAACGAAATCCTCAGAGAGGTCCAAATATCTACTTGCAGTTTCTACAGAAAGACCGTTTCAAACCTGAACTATCAAAGAAAGGTTCAACACTGTGAGTTGAATGCAAACATCACGAAGAAAGTTCTGAGAATGCTTCTGTTTAGTTCTGTGCGGTTTATCCCGTTTCCAACGAAATCCTCAGAGAGGACCAAATATCCACTTGCAGTTTCTACAAAAAGAGTGTTTCAAAGCTGAACTATCAAAGAAAGGTTCAGCACCGAGAGTTGAATGCAAACATCACCAAGAGGGTTCTGAGAATGCTTCTGTCTTCTTTTTATAGCAAGTTATCTCCTTTACTACGGTAGGCCTCAAAGAAGTGCAATGATCCCCTTGCAGTTTCTACAAAAAGAGTGTTTCAAACCTGAACTATCAAAGAAAGGTTCCACACTGTGAGTTGAATGCAGACATCACGAAGAAGGTTCTGAGAATGCTTCTGTTTAGTCAGCTGAAATTATCCCGTTTCCAACGAATTCCTCAGAGGAGGTCCACATATGCACTTGCAGATTCTGCAGAAAGGGTGTTTCTAAACTGCTACATCGCAAGGAGTGTTCAGCTCTGTTTGCTCCACTCAATCATCCCAAAGAATTTTCTGAGAAAGCTTCTGTCTAGATGTCATGTGAAGATATACCCGTTTCGAACGAAGGACACAGAGTGGTCCAAATATCCACTTGTAGATCCTGCAAAAAGAGTGTTTCAAACGTGAACTTGGAAAGGAAAGTTCAACTCAGGGATTTGAATGCAAACATCACAAAGAAGATTCTGAGACTGCTTCTGTATAGTTTTTATGTGAAGATGATTCCGTTTCCAACGAAATCTTCAAAGAGGTCTACATGTCCCCTTGCAGATGCCACAGAAAGAGAGTTTCAAAACTACGCTCTCAAAAGGAGTGTTCAACTCCGTGAGTTGAATGCAGTCATCACAGAGAAGCTTCTGAGAATGCTTCTATCTAGTATTTAGGTGAAGATATTTCCTTTTCCACCACAAACCACAAAGCCCTCCAAACGTCCACTTGCAGATTCTAGAAAAAGAGTGTTTCATAGCTGCTCTTTCCAAAGGAAAGTTCAACTCTGGGAGTTGAATACAAACATCACCAAAAAGTTCCTGAGAATGCATCTGCCTTGTTTTTCTATGAAGCTATTCCCTTTACTACCATAGGCCTCAAAGCGCTCCAAATCTCCACTTGCACATTCCACAACAAGAGTGTTTCCAAACTGCTCTATCAATAGGAATGTTCAACTCTGTGAGGTGAATGCAATCATCACAAAGCAGTTTCTGAGAATGCTTCCGTTTAGTTAGGTGCAGTTATCGCGTTTCCAACGAAATCCTCAGAGAGGTCCAAATATCCACTTGTAGATTCTACAAAAAGTGTGTCTCAAACCTGCTCCATCCAAAGGAATGTTCAGCTCTGTGAGTTAAACTCAATCATCACAAAGTATTTTCTGAGAATGCTTCTGTCTAGATTTTATGCGAAGATATACCCGTTTCGAACGAAGGCCACAGAGTGGTCCAAATATCCACTTGCAGATCCTACAAAAAGAGTGTTTCAAACCTGAACTATCAAAGGAAGGTTCAACTCTGGGATTTGAATGCAAACATCACCAAGAAGTTTCTGAGAATGCTTCTGTTTAGTTTTTATGTGAAGATATTCCCGTTTCCAAAGACATCTTCGGAGAGGTCCACATATCCACTTGCAGATTCCACAAAAAGAGAGTTTCAACACTGCTCTATCCATAGGAGGGTTCAACTCTGTGAGTTGAATGCAATCATCACAGAGAAGTTTCTGAGAAGGCTTCTCTCCAGTTTTTATGTGACCATAATTCGTTTTCCACCACAGGCCTGAAAGCGCTCCAAATGTCCACTTGCAGACACTACGAAAAGCATGTTTCAGAACTACTCTATGAAAAGCAACGTGAAACTCTGGGAGTTGAACACAAACATCACAGAGAAGTTTCTGAGAATGCTTCTGTTTTAGTTCTGTGCGTTTTATCCCGTTTCCAACGAAATCCTCAGAGAGGCCCAAATATCCACTTGCAGATTCCACAGAAAGAGTGATTGGAAACTGCTGTTTGAAAAGGAACCTTCAACTCTGTGAGTTGAATGCAATCATCACAAAGAAGTTTCTGACAATGCTTCTGTTTTAGTTCTGTGCGGTTTATCCCGTTTCCAACGAAATCCTCAGAGAGGACCAAACATCCACTTGCAGTTTCTACAAAAAGAGTGTTTCAAAGCTGCACTATCAAAGAAAGGTTCAGCACTGTGAGTTGAATGCAAACATCACGAAGAGGGCTCTGAGAATTCTTCTGTTTAGTTCTGTGCGGTTTATCCCGTTTCCAACGAAATCCTCAGAGAGGACCAAATATCCACTTGCAGTTTCTACAAGAAGAGTGTTTCAAAGCTGAACTATCAAAGAAAGGTTCAGCACTGTGAGTTGAATGCAAACATCACGAAGAGGGTTCTGAGAATGCTTCTGTCTTCTTTCTATAGGAAGTTATTTCCTTTACTACGGTAGGCCTCAAAGAAGTGCAATTATCCCCTTGCAGTTTCTACAAAAAGAGTGTTTCAAACCTGAACTATCAAAGAAAGGTTCCACACTGTGAGTTGAATGCAGACATCACGAAGAAGGTTCTGAGAATGCTTCTGTTTAGTCAGCTGAAATTATCCCGTTTCCAACGAATTCCTCAGAGAGGTCCAAATATGCACTTGCAGATTCTGCAGAAAGTGTGTTTCTAAACTGCTACATCGCAAGGAATGTTCAGCTCTGTTGAGTTCCACTCAATCATCCCAAAGAATTTTCTGAGAAAGCTTCTGTCTAGATGTCATGTGAAGATATACCCGTTTCGAACGAAGGCCACAGAGTGGTCCAAATATCCACTTGTAGATCCTGCAAAAAGAGGGTTTCAAACCTGAACTTTCAAACGAAGGTTCAACTCTGGGATTCGAATGCAAACATCACAAAGAAGATTCTGAGACTGCTTCTGTATAGTTTTTATGTGAAGATGATTCCGTTTCCAACGAAATCTTCAAAGAGGTCTACATGTCCCCTTGCAGATGCCACAGAAAGAGAGTTTCAAAACTGCGCTCTCAAAAGGAGTGTTCAACTCCGTGAGTTGAATGCAGTCATCACAGAGAAGCTTCTGAGAATGCTTCTATCTAGTATTCAGGTGAAGATATTTCCTTTTCCACCACAAACCACAAAGCCCTCCAAACGTCCACTTGCAGATTCTAGAAAAAGAGTGTTTCATAGCTGCTCTTTCCAAAGGAAAGTTCAACTCTGGGAGTTGAATACAAACATCACCAAAAAGTTCCTGAGAATGCATCTGTCTAATTTTTCTATGAAGCTATTCCCTTTACTACCATAGGCCTCAAAGCGCTCCAAATCTCCACTTGCACATTCCACAACAAGAGTGTTTCCAACCTGCTCTATCAATAGGAATGTTCAACTCTGTGAGGTGAATGCAATCATCACAAAGCAGTTTCTGAGAATGCTTCCGTTTAGTTAGGTGCAGTTATCCCGTTTCCAACGAAATCCTCAGAGAGGTCCAAATATCCACTTGTAGATTCTACAAAAAGTGTGTCTCAAACCTGCTCCATCCAAAGGAATGTTCAGCTCTGTGAGTTCAACTCAATCATCACAAAGTATTTTCTGAGAATGCTTCTGTCTAGATTTTATGCGAAGATGTACCCGTTTCGAACGAAGGCCACAGAGTGGTCCAAATATCCACTTGCAGATCCTACAAAAAGAGTGTTTCAAACCTGAACTGTCAAAGGAAGGTTCAACTCTGGGATTTGAATGCAAACATCACCAAGAAGTTTCTGAGAATGCTTCTGTTTAGTTTTTATGTGAAGATATTCCCGTTTCCAAAGACATCTTCGGAGAGGTCCACATATCCACTTGCAGATTCCACAAAAAGAGAGTTTCAACACTGCTCTATCCATAGGAGGGTTCAACTCTGTGAGTTGAATGCAATCATCACAGAGAAGTTTCTGAGAAGGCTTCTCTCCAGTTTTTATGTGACCATAATTCGTTTTCCACCACAGGCCTGAAAGCGCTCCAAATGTCCACTTGCAGACACTACGAAAAGCATGTTTCAGAACTACTCTATGAAAAGCAACGTGAAACTCTGGGAGTTGAACACAAACATCACAGAGAAGTTTCTGAGAATGCTTCTGTTTTAGTTCTGTGCGTTTTATCCCGTTTCCAACGAAATCCTCAGAGAGGCCCAAATATCCACTTGCAGATTCCACAGAAAGAGTGATTGGAAACTGCTGTTTGAAAAGGAACCTTCAACTCTGTGAGTTGAATGCAATCATCACAAAGAAGTTTCTGACAATGCTTCTGTTTTAGTTCTGTGCGGTTTATCCCGTTTCCAACGAAATCCTCAGAGAGGACCAAACATCCACTTGCAGTTTCTACAAAAAGAGTGTTTCAAAGCTGCACTATCAAAGAAAGGTTCAGCACTGTGAGTTGAATGCAAACATCACGAAGAGGGCTCTGAGAATTCTTCTGTTTAGTTCTGTGCGGTTTATCCCGTTTCCAACGAAATCCTCAGAGAGGACCAAATATCCACTTGCAGTTTCTACAAGAAGAGTGTTTCAAAGCTGAACTATCAAAGAAAGGTTCAGCACTGTGAGTTGAATGCAAACATCACGAAGAGGGTTCTGAGAATGCTTCTGTCTTCTTTCTATAGGAAGTTATTTCCTTTACTACGGTAGGCCTCAAAGAAGTGCAATTATCCCCTTGCAGTTTCTACAAAAAGAGTGTTTCAAACCTGAACTATCAAAGAAAGGTTCCACACTGTGAGTTGAATGCAGACATCACGAAGAAGGTTCTGAGAATGCTTCTGTTTAGTCAGCTGAAATTATCCCGTTTCCAACGAATTCCTCAGAGAGGTCCAAATATGCACTTGCAGATTCTGCAGAAAGTGTGTTTCTAAACTGCTACATCGCAAGGAATGTTCAGCTCTGTGAGTTCCACTCAATCATCCCAAAGAATTTTCTGAGAAAGCTTCTGTCTAGATGTCGTGTGAAGATATACCCGTTTCGAACGAAGGACACAGAGTGGTCCAAATATCCACTTGTAGATCCTGCAAAAAGAGTGTTTCAAACGTGAACTTTGAAAGGAAAGTTCAACTCTGGGATTTGAATGCAAACATCACAAAGAAGATTCTGAGACTGCTTCTGTATAGTTTTTATGTGAAGATGATTCCGTTTCCAACGAAATCTTCAAAGAGGTCTACATGTCCCCTTGCAGATGCCACAGAAAGAGAGTTTCAAAACTGCGCTCTCAAAAGGAGTGTTCAACTCCGTGAGTTGAATGCAGTCATCACAGAGAAGCTTCTGAGAATGCTTCTATCTAGTATTTAGGTGAAGATATTTCCTTTTCCACCACAAACCACAAAGCCCTCCAAACGTCCACTTGCAGATTCTAGAAAAAGAGTGTTTCATAGCTGCTCTTTCCAAAGGAAAGTTCAACTCTGGGAGTTGAATACAAACATCACCAAAAAGTTCCTGAGAATGCATCTGTCTAGTTTTTCTATGAAGCTATTCCCTTTACTACCACAGGCCTCAAAGCGCTCCAAATCTCCACTTGCACATTCCACAACAAGAGTGTTTCCAAACTGCTCTATCAATAGGAATGTTCAACTCTGTGAGGTGAATGCAATCATCACAAAGCAGTTTCTGAGAATGCTTCCGTTTAGTTAGGTGCAGTTATCCCGTTTCCAACGAAATCCTCAGAGAGGTCCAAATATCCACTTGTAGATTCTACAAAAAGTGTGTCTCAAACCTGCTCCATCCAAAGGAATGGTCAGCTCTGTGATTTAAACTCAATCATCACAAAGTATTTTCTGAGAATGCTTCTGTCTAGATTTTATGTGAAGATATACCCGTTTCGAACGAAGGCCACAGAGTGGTCCAAATAGCCACTTGCAGATCCTACAGAAAGAGTGTTTCAAACCTGAACTATCAAAGGAAGGTTCAACTCTGGGATTTGAATGCAAACATCACCAAGAAGTTTCTGAGAATGCTTCTGTTTAGTTTTTATGTGAAGATATTCCCGTTTCCAAAGACATCTTCGGAGAGGTCCACATATCCACTTGCAGATTCCACAAAAAGAGAGTTTCAACACTGCTCTATCCATAGGAGGGTTCAACTCTGTGAGTTGAATGCAATCATCACAGAGAAGTTTCTGAGAAGGCTTCTCTCCAGTTTTTATGTGACCATAATTCGTTTTCCACCACAGGCCTGAAAGCGCTCCAAATGTCCACTTGCAGACACTACGAAAAGCATGTTTCAGAACTACTCTATGAAAAGCAACGTGAAACTCTGGGAGTTGAACACAAACATCACAGAGAAGTTTCTGAGAATGCTTCTGTTTTAGTTCTGTGCGTTTTATCCCGTTTCCAACGAAATCCTCAGAGAGGCCCAAATATCCACTTGCAGATTCCACAGAAAGAGTGATTGGAAACTGCTGTTTGAAAAGGAACCTTCAACTCTGTGAGTTGAATGCAATCATCACAAAGAAGTTTCTGACAATGCTTCTGTTTTAGTTCTGTGCGGTTTATCCCGTTTCCAACGAAATCCTCAGAGAGGACCAAACATCCACTTGCAGTTTCTACAAAAAGAGTGTTTCAAAGCTGCACTATCAAAGAAAGGTTCAGCACTGTGAGTTGAATGCAAACATCACGAAGAGGGCTCTGAGAATGCTTCTGTTTAGTTCTGTGCGGTTTATCCCGTTTCCAACGAAATCCTCAGAGAGGACCAAATATCCACTTGCAGTTTCTACAAGAAGAGTGTTTCAAAGCTGAACTATCAAAGAAAGGTTCAGCACTGTGAGTTGAATGCAAACATCACGAAGAGGGTTCTGAGAATGCTTCTGTCTTCTTTCTATAGGAAGTTATTTCCTTTACTACGGTAGGCCTCAAAGAAGTGCAATTATCCCCTTGCAGTTTCTACAAAAAGAGTGTTTCAAACCTGAACTATCAAAGAAAGGTTCCACACTGTGAGTTGAATGCAGACATCACGAAGAAGGTTCTGAGAATGCTTCTGTTTAGTCAGCTGAAATTATCCCGTTTCCAACGAATTCCTCAGAGAGGTCCAAATATGCACTTGCAGATTCTGCAGAAAGTGTGTTTCTAAACTGCTACATCGCAAGGAATGTTCAGCTCTGTGAGTTCCACTCAATCATCCCAAAGAATTTTCTGAGAAAGCTTCTGTCTAGATGTCGTGTGAAGATATACCCGTTTCGAACGAAGGACACAGAGTGGTCCAAATATCCACTTGTAGATCCTGCAAAAAGAGTGTTTCAAACGTGAACTTTGAGAGGAAAGTTCAACTCTGGGATTTGAATGCAAACATCACAAAGAAGATTCTGAGACTGCTTCTGTATAGTTTTTATGTGAAGATGATTCCGTTTCCAACGAAATCTTCAAAGAGGTCTACATGTCCCCTTGCAGATGCCACAGAAAGAGAGTTTCAAAACTGCGCTCTCAAAAGGAGTGTTCAGACTCCGTGAGTTGAATGCAGTCATCACAGAGAAGCTTCTGAGAATGCTTCTATCTAGTATTTAGGTGAAGATATTTCCTTTTCCACCACAAACCACAAAGCCCTCCAAACGTCCACTTGCAGATTCTAGAAAAAGAGTGTTTCATAGCTGCTCTTTCCAAAGGAAAGTTCAACTCTGGGAGTTGAATACAAACATCACCAAAAAGTTCCTGAGAATGCATCTGTCTAGTTTTTCTATGAAGCTATTCCCTTTACTACCATAGACCTCAAAGCGCTCCAAATCTCCACTTGCACATTCCACAACAAGAGTGTTTCCAAACTGCTCTATCAATAGGAATGTTCAACTCTGTGAGGTGAATGCAATCATCACAAAGCAGTTTCTGAGAATGCTTCCGTTTAGTTAGGTGCAGTTATCCCGTTTCCAACGAAATCCTCAGAGAGGTCCAAATATCCACTTGTAGATTCTACAAAAAGTGTGTCTCAAACCTGCTCCATCCAAAGGAATGTTCAGCTCTGTGATTTTAACTCAATCATCACAAAGTATTTTCTGAGAATGCTTCTGTCTAGATTTTATGCGAAGATATACCCGTTTTGAACGAATGCCACAGGAGTGGTCCAAATAGCCACTTGCAGATCCTACAAAAAGAGTGTTTCAAACCTGAACTATCAAAGGAAGGTTCAACTCTGGGATTTGAATGCAAACATCACCAAGAAGTTTCTGAGAATCCTTCTGTTTAGTTTTTATGTGAAGATATTCCCGTTTCCAAAGACATCTTCGGAGAGGTCCACATATCCACTTGCAGATTCCACAAAAAGAGAGTTTCAACACTGCTCTATCCATAGGAGGGTTCAACTCTGTGAGTTGAATGCAATCATCACAGAGAAGTTTCTGAGAAGGCTTCTCTCCAGTTTTTATGTGACCATAATTCGTTTTCCACCACAGGCCTGAAAGCGCTCCAAATGTCCACTTGCAGACACTACGAAAAGCATGTTTCAGAACTACTCTATGAAAAGCAATGTGAAACTCTGGAAGTTGAACACAAACATCACAGAGAAGTTTCTGAGAATGCTTCTGTTTAGCTTTTCTGTGAAGATTCTCCCGTTTCCAACGAAATCTTCAAAGAGGTCCAAATATCCACTTGCAGATTCCACAGAAAGAGTGATTGGAAACTGCTCTTTGAAAAGGAACCTTCAACTCTGTGAGTTGAATGCAATCATCACAAAGAAGTTTCTGACAATGCTTCTATCTAGCTTTTACAGGAAGATAATTCCTTTTCCACCACAGGCCTCAAAGCCCTCCAAATGTCCACTTGCAGATTCTGGAAAAAGAGTATTTCAAAGCTTCTCTCTCGAAAGGATAGTTCAACTCTGTGAGTTGAATGCAAGCATCACAAAGAAGTTTCTGAGAATGCTACTGTCTAGCTTTTATATGAAGCTATTTCCTTTACTACCATAGGCCTCAAAGCGGTCCATATCTCCACTTGCAGATTCTACACAAAGAGAGTTTCCAAACTGCTCTGTCAAAGGGAATGTTCAACTCTGTGACTTGAATGCAATCATCACAAAGTAGTTTCTGAGAATGCTTCTGTTTTAGTTCTGTGCGGTTTATCCCGTTTCCAACGAAATCCTCAGAGAGGCCCACATATCCACTTGCACATTCTACAAATAGTGTGTTTTGAAACTGCTCCATCCAAAGGAATGTTCAGCTCTGTGAGTTAAACTCAGTCGTCACCAAGAGTTTTCTGTGAATGCTTCTGTTTAGTTCTGTGCGTTTTATCCCTTTTCCAACGAAATCCTCAGAGAGGACCAAATATCCATTTGCAGTTTCTACAAAAGGAGAGTTTCAAAGCTGAACTATCAAAGAAAGGTTCAGCACTGTGAGTTGAATGCAAACATCACGAAGAGGGTTCTGAGAATGCTTCTGTCTTCTTTTTATAGGAAGTTATTTCCTTTACTACGGTACTCCTCAAAGAGTGCAATGATCCCCTTGCAGTTTCTACAAAAAGAGTGTTTCAAACCTGAACTATCAAAGAAAGGTTCCACACTGTGAGTTGAATGCAGACATCACGAAGAAGGTTCTGAGAATGCTTCTGTTTAGTCAGCTGAAATTATCCCGTTTCCAACGAATTCCTCACAGAGGTCCAAATATGCACTTGCAGATTCTGCAGAAAGTGTGTTTCTAAACTGCTACATCGCAAGGAATGCTCAGCTCTGTGAGTTCAACTCAATCATCCCAAAGAATTTTCTGAGAAAGCTTCTGTCTAGATGTCATGTGAAGATATACCCGTTTCGAACGAAGGACACAGAGTGGTCCAAATATCCACTTGTAGAACCTGCAAAAAGAGTGTTTCAAACGTGAACTTTGAAAGGAAAGTTCAACTCGGGGATTTGAATGCAAACATCACAAAGAAGATTCTGAGACTGCTTCTGTATAGTTTTTATGTGAAGATGATTCCGTTTCCAACGAAATCTTCAAAGAGGTCTACATGTCCCCTTGCAGATGCCACAGAAAGAGAGTTTCAAAACTGCGCTCTCAAAAGGAGTGTTCAACTCCGTGAGTTGAATGCAGTCATCACAGAGAAGCTTCTGAGGATGCTTCTATCTAGTATTTAGGTGAAGATATTTCCTTTTCCACCACAAACCACAAAGCCCTCCAAACGTCCACTTGCAGATTCTAGAAAAAGAGTGTTTCATAGCTGCTCTTTCCAAAGGAAAGTTCAACTCTGGGAGTTGAATACAAACATCACCAAAAAGTTCCTGAGAATGCATCTGTCTAGTTTTTCTATGAAGCTATTCCATTTACTACCATAGGCCTCAAAGCGCTCCAAATCTCCACTTGCACATTCCACAACAAGAGTGTTTCCAAACTGCTCTATCAATAGGAATGTTCAACTCTGTGAGGTGAATGCAATCATCACAAAGCAGTTTCTGAGAATGCTTCCGTTTAGTTAGGTGCAGTTATCCCGTTTCCAACGAAATCCTCAGAGAGGTCCAAATATCCACTTGTAGATTCTACAAAAAGTGTGTCTCAAACCTGCTCCATCCAAAGGACTGTTCAGCTCTGTGATTTAAACTCAATCATCACAAAGTATTTTCTGAGAATGCTTCTGTCTAGATTTTATGTGAAGGTATACCCGTTTCGAACGAAGGCCACAAAGTGGTCCAAATATCCACTGGCAGATCCTACAAAAAGAGGGTTTCAAACCTGAACTATCAAAGGAAGGTTCAAGTCTGGGATTTGAATGCAAACATCACAAAGAAGTTTCTGAGACTGCTTCTGTTTAGTTTTTATGTGAAGATATTCCCGTTTCCAAAGAAATCTTCAAAGAGGTCCACATATCCACTTGCAGATTCTACAAAAAGAGAGTTTCAAAAATGCTCTATCAAAAGGAGTGTTCAACTCCGTGACTTGAATGCAATCATCACAGAGAAGTTTCTGAGAAGGCTTCTCTCTAGTTTTTATGTGACGATAATTCGTTTTCCACCACAGGCCTGAAAGCGCTCCAAATGTCCACTTGCCGACACTAAGAAAAGAATGTTTCAAAACTGCTCTATGGAAAGCAATGTTAAACTCTGTGAGTTGAAAACAAACATCACAAAGGAGTTTCTGAGAATGCTTCTGTTTAGCTTTTCTGTGAAGATTCTCCCGTTTCCAACGAAATCTTCAAAGAGGTCCAAATATCCACTTGCAAATTCCACAGAAAGAGTGTTTGGAAACTGCTGTTTGTAAAGGAACCTTCATCTCCGTGAGTTGAATGCAATCATCACAAAGAAGTTTCTGACAATGCTTCTATCTAGCTTTTACGGGAAGTTAATTCCTTTTCCACCACAGGCCTCAAAGCCCTCCAAATGTCCACTTGCAGATTCTGGAAAAAGAGTGTTTCAAAGCTTCTCTCTCGAAAGGAAAGTTCAACTCTGTGAGTTGAATGCAAGCATCACAAAGAAGTTTCTGAGAATGCTACTGTCTAGCTTTTATATGAAGCTATTTCCTTTACTACCATAGGCCTCAAAGCGGTCCATATCTCCACTTGCAGATTCTACACAAAGAGAGTTTCCAAACTGCTCTGTCAAAGGGAATGTTCAACTCTGTGACTTGAATGCAATCATCACAAAGTAGTTTCTGAGAATGCTTCTGTTTAGTTCTGTGCGGTTTATCCCGTTTCCAACGAAATCCTCAGAGAGGCCCAAATATCCACTTGCACATTCTACAAATAGTGTGTTTCGAAACTGCTCCATCCAAAGGAATGTTCAGCTCTGTGAGTTAAACTCAGTCGTCACCAAGAGTTTTCTGTGAATGCTTCTGTTTTAGTTCTGTGCGGTTTATCCCGTTTCCAACGAAATCCTCAGAGAGGTCCAAATATCTACTTGCAGTTTCTACAGAAAGACCGTTTCAAACCTGAACTATCAAAGAAAGGTTCAACAGTGTGAGTTGAATGCAAACATCACGAAGAAGGTTCTGAGAATGCTTCTGTTTAGTTCTGTGCGGTTTATCCCGTTTCCAACGAAATCCTCAGAGAGGACCAAATATCCACTTGCAGTTTCTACAAGAAGAGTGTTTCAAAGCTGAACTATCAAAGAAAGGTTCAGCACTGTGAGTTGAATGCAAACATCACGAAGAGGGTTCTGAGAATGCTTCTGTCTTCTTTCTATAGGAAGTTATTTCCTTTACTACGGTAGGCCTCAAAGAAGTGCAATTATCCCCTTGCAGTTTCTACAAAAAGAGTGTTTCAAACCTGAACTATCAAAGAAAGGTTCCACACTGTGAGTTGAATGCAGACATCACGAAGAAGGTTCTGAGAATGCTTCTGTTTAGTCAGCTGAAATTATCCCGTTTCCAACGAATTCCTCAGAGAGGTCCAAATATGCACTTGCAGATTCTGCAGAAAGTGTGTTTCTAAACTGCTACATCGCAAGGAATGTTCAGCTCTGTGAGTTCCACTCAATCATCCCAAAGAATTTTCTGAGAAACCTTCTGTCTAGATGTCGTGTGAAGTTATACCCGTTTCGAACGAAGGACACAGAGTGGTCCAAATATCCACTTGTAGATCCTGCAAAAAGAGTGTTTCAAACGTGAACTTTGAAAGGAAAGTTCAACTCTGGGATTTGAATGCAAACATCACAAAGAAGATTCTGAGACTGCTTCTGTATAGTTTTTATGTGAAGATGATTCCGTTTCCAACGAAATCTTCAAAGAGGTCTACATGTCCCCTTGCAGATGCCACAGAAAGAGAGTTTCAAAACTGCGCTCTCAAAAGGAGTGTTCAACTCCGTGAGTTGAATGCAGTCATCACAGAGGAGCTTCTGAGAATGCTTCTATCTAGTATTTAGGTGAAGATATTTCCTTTTCCACCACAAACCACAAAGCCCTCCAAACGTCCACTTGCAGATTCTAGAAAAAGAGTGTTTCATAGCTGCTCTTTCCAAAGGAAAGTTCAACTCTGGGAGTTGAATACAAACATCACCAAAAAGTTCCTGAGAATGCACTGTCTAGTTTTTCTATGAAGCTATTCCCTTTACTACCATAGGCCTCAAAGCGCTCCAAATCTCCACTTGCACATTCCACAACAAGAGTGTTTCCAAACTGCTCTATCAATAGGAATGTTCAACTCTGTGAGGTGAATGCAATCATCACAAAGCAGTTTCTGAGAATGCTTTCCGTTTAGTTAGGTGCAGTTATCCCGTTTCCAACGAAATCCTCAGAGAGGTCCAAATATCCACTTGTAGATTCTACAAAAGGTGTGTCTCAAACCTGCTCCATCCAAAGGAATGTTCAGCTCTGTGAGTTAAACTCAATCATCACAAAGTATTTTCTGAGAATGCTTCTGTCTAGATTTTATGCGAAGATATACCCGTTTCGAACGAAGGCCACAGAGTGGTCCAAATAGCCACTTGCAGATCCTACAGAAAGAGTGTTTCAAACCTGAACTATCAAAGGAAGGTTCAACTCTGGGATTTGAATGCAAACATCACCAAGAAGTTTCTGAGAATGCTTCTGTTTAGTTTTTATGTGAAGATATTCCCGTTTCCAAAGACATCTTCGGAGAGGTCCACATATCCACTTGCAGATTCCACAAAAAGAGAGTTTCAACACTGCTCTATCCATAGGAGGGTTCAACTCTGTGAGTTGAATGCAATCATCACAGAGAAGTTTCTGAGAAGGCTTCTCTCCAGTTTTTATGTGACCATAATTCGTTTTCCACCACAGGCCTGAAAGCGCTCCAAATGTCCACTTGCAGACACTACGAAAAGCATGTTTCAGAACTACTCTATGAAAAGCAACGTGAAACTCTGGGAGTTGAACACAAACATCACAGAGAAGTTTCTGAGAATGCTTCTGTTTTAGTTCTGTGCGTTTTATCCCGTTTCCAACGAAATCCTCAGAGAGGCCCAAATATCCACTTGCAGATTCCACAGAAAGAGTGATTGGAAACTGCTGTTTGAAAAGGAACCTTCAACTCTGTGAGTTGAATGCAATCATCACAAAGAAGTTTCTGACAATGCTTCTATCTAGCTTTTACGGGAAGATAATTCCTTTTCCACCACAGGCCTCAAAGCCCTCAAAATGTCCACTTGCAGATTCTGGAAAAAGAGTGTTTCAAAGCTTCTCTCTCGAAAGGAAAGTTCAACTCTGTGAGTTGAATGCAAGCATCACAAAGAAGTTTCTGAGAATGCTAAGGTCTAGCTTTTATATGAAGCTATTTCCTTTACTAACATAGTCCTCAAAGCCTTCCATATCTCCACTTGCAGATTCTACACAAAGAGAGTTTCCAAACTGCTCTGTCAAAGGGAATGTTCAGCTCTGTGACTTGAATGCAATCATCACAAAGTAGTTTCTGAGAATGCTTCTGTTTTAGTTCTGTGCGGTTTATCCCGTTTCCAACGAAATCCTCAGAGAGGCCCACATATCCACTTGCCGATCCTACAAATAGTGTGTTTAGAAACTGCTCCATCCAAAGGAATATTCAGCTCTGTGTGTTAAACTCAGTCGTCACCAAGAGTTTTCTGTGAATGCTTCTGTTTAGTTCTGTGCGGTTTATCCCGTTTCCAACGAAATCCTCAGAGAGGACCAAATATCCACTTGCAGTTTCTACAAGAAGAGTGTTTCAAAGCTGAACTATCAAAGAAAGGTTCAGCACTGTGAGTTGAATGCAAACATCACGAAGAGGGTTCTGAGAATGCTTCTGTCTTCTTTCTATAGGAAGTTATTTCCTTTACTACGGTAGGCCTCAAAGAAGTGCAATTATCCCCTTGCAGTTTCTACAAAAAGAGTGTTTCAAACCTGAACTATCAAAGAAAGGTTCCACACTGTGAGTTGAATGCAGACATCACGAAGAAGGTTCTGAGAATGCTTCTGTTTAGTCAGCTGAAATTATCCCGTTTCCAACGAATTCCTCAGAGAGGTCCAAATATGCACTTGCAGATTCTGCAGAAAGTGTGTTTCTAAACTGCTACATCGCAAGGAATGTTCAGCTCTGTGAGTTCCACTCAATCATCCCAAAGAATTTTCTGAGAAAGCTTCTGTCTAGATGTCGTGTGAAGATATACCCGTTTCGAACGAAGGACACAGAGTGGTCCAAATATCCACTTGTAGATCCTGCAAAAAGAGTGTTTCAAACGTGAACTTTGAAAGGAAAGTTCAACTCTGGGATTTGAATGCAAACATCACAAAGAAGATTCTGAGACTGCTTCTGTATAGTTTTTATGTGAAGATGATTCCGTTTCCAACGAAATCTTCAAAGAGGTCTACATGTCCCCTTGCAGATGCCACAGAAAGAGAGTTTCAAAACTGCGCTCTCAAAAGGAGTGTTCAACTCCGTGAGTTGAATGCAGTCATCACAGAGAAGCTTCTGAGAATGCTTCTATCTAGTATTTAGGTGAAGATATTTCCTTTTCCACCACAAACCACAAAGCCCTCCAAACGTCCACTTGCAGATTCTAGAAAAAGAGTGTTTCATAGCTGCTCTTTCCAAAGGAAAGTTCAACTCTGGGAGTTGAATACAAACATCACCAAAAAGTTCCTGAGAATGCATCTGTCTAGTTTTTCTATGAAGCTATTCCCTTTACTACCACAGGCCTCAAAGCGCTCCAAATCTCCACTTGCACATTCCACAACAAGAGTGTTTCCAAACTGCTCTATCAATAGGAATGTTCAACTCTGTGAGGTGAATGCAATCATCACAAAGCAGTTTCTGAGAATGCTTCCGTTTAGTTAGGTGCAGTTATCCCGTTTCCAACGAAATCCTCAGAGAGGTCCAAATATCCACTTGTAGATTCTACAAAAAGTGTGTCTCAAACCTGCTCCATCCAAAGGAATGGTCAGCTCTGTGATTTAAACTCAATCATCACAAAGTATTTTCTGAGAATGCTTCTGTCTAGATTTTATGCGAAGATATACCCGTTTCGAACGAAGGCCACAGAGTGGTCCAAATAGCCACTTGCAGATCCTACAGAAAGAGTGTTTCAAACCTGAACTATCAAAGGAAGGTTCAACTCTGGGATTTGAATGCAAACATCACCAAGAAGTTTCTGAGAATGCTTCTGTTTAGTTTTTATGTGAAGATATTCCCGTTTCCAAAGACATCTTCGGAGAGGTCCACATATCCACTTGCAGGTTCCACAAAAAGAGAGTTTCAACACTGCTCTATCCATAGGAGGGTTCAACTCTGTGAGTTGAATGCAATCATCACAGAGAAGTTTCTGAGAAGGCTTCTCTCCAGTTTTTATGTGACCATAATTCGTTTTCCACCACAGGCCTGAAAGCGCTCCAAATGTCCACTTGCAGACACTACGAAAAGCATGTTTCAGAACTACTCTATGAAAAGCAACGTGAAACTCTGGGAGTTGAACACAAACATCACAGAGAAGTTTCTGAGAATGCTTCTGTTTTAGTTCTGTGCGTTTTATCCCGTTTCCAACGAAATCCTCAGAGAGGCCCAAATATCCACTTGCAGATTCCACAGAAAGAGTGATTGGAAACTGCTGTTTGAAAAGGAACCTTCAACTCTGTGAGTTGAATGCAATCATCACAAAGAAGTTTCTGACAATGCTTCTGTTTTAGTTCTGTGCGGTTTATCCCGTTTCCAACGAAATCCTCAGAGAGGACCAAACATCCACTTGCAGTTTCTACAAAAAGAGTGTTTCAAAGCTGCACTATCAAAGAAAGGTTCAGCACTGTGAGTTGAATGCAAACATCACGAAGAGGGCTCTGAGAATTCTTCTGTTTAGTTCTGTGCGGTTTATCCCGTTTCCAACGAAATCCTCAGAGAGGACCAAATATCCACTTGCAGTTTCTACAAGAAGAGTGTTTCAAAGCTGAACTATCAAAGAAAGGTTCAGCACTGTGAGTTGAATGCAAACATCACGAAGAGGGTTCTGAGAATGCTTCTGTCTTCTTTCTATAGGAAGTTATTTCCTTTACTACGGTAGGCCTCAAAGAAGTGCAATTATCCCCTTGCAGTTTCTACAAAAAGAGTGTTTCAAACCTGAACTATCAAAGAAAGGTTCCACACTGTGAGTTGAATGCAGACATCACGAAGAAGGTTCTGAGAATGCTTCTGTTTAGTCAGCTGAAATTATCCCGTTTCCAACGAATTCCTCAGAGAGGTCCAAATATGCACTTGCAGATTCTGCAGAAAGTGTGTTTCTAAACTGCTACATCGCAAGGAATGTTCAGCTCTGTGAGTTCCCCTCAATCATCCCAAAGAATTTTCTGAGAAAGCTTCTGTCTAGATGTCATGTGAAGATATACCCGTTTCGAACGAAGGACACAGAGTGGTCCAAATATCCACTTGTAGATCCTGCAAAAAGAGTGTTTCAAACGTGAACTTTGAAAGGAAAGTTCAACTCTGGGATTTGAATGCAAACATCACAAAGAAGATTCTGAGACTGCTTCTGTATAGTTTTTATGTGAAGATGATTCCGTTTCCAACGAAATCTTCAAAGAGGTCTACATGTCCCCTTGCAGATGCCACAGAAAGAGAGTTTCAAAACTGCGCTCTCAAAAGGAGTGTTCAACTCCGTGAGTTGAATGCAGTCATCACAGAGAAGCTTACTGAGAATGCTTTCTATCTAGTATTTAGGTGAAGATATTTCCTTTTCCACCACAAACCACAAAGCCCTCCAAACGTCCACTTGCAGATTCTAGAAAAAGAGTGTTTCATAGCTGCTCTTTCCAAAGGAAAGTTCAACTCTGGGAGTTGAATACAAACATCACCAAAAAGTTCCTGAGAATGCATCTGTCTAGTTTTTCTATGAAGCTATTCCCTTTACTACCATAGGCCTCAAAGCGCTCCAAATCTCCACTTGCACATTCCACAACAAGAGTGTTTCCAAACTGCTCTATCAATAGGAATGTTCAACTCTGTGAGGTGAATGCAATCATCACAAAGCAGTTTCTGAGAATGCTTCCGTTTAGTTAGGTGCAGTTATCCCGTTTCCAACGAAATCCTCAGAGAGGTCCAAGTATCCACTTGTAGATTCTACAAAAGGTGTGTCTCAAACCTGCTCCATCCAAAGGAATGTTCAGCTCTGTGAGTTAAACTCAATCATCACAAAGTATTTTCTGAGAATGCTTCTGTCTAGATTTTATGCGAAGATATACCCGTTTCGAACGAAGGCCACAGAGTGGTCCAAATATCCACTTGCAGATCCTACAAAAAGAGTGTTTCAAACCTGAACTATCAAAGGAAGGTTCAACTCTGGGATTTGAATGCAAACATCACCAAGAAGTTTCTGAGAATGCTTCTGTTTAGTTTTTATGTGAAGATATTCCCGTTTCCAAAGACATCTTCGGAGAGGTCCACATATCCACTTGCAGATTCCACAAAAAGAGAGTTTCAACACTGCTCTATCCATAGGAGGGTTCAACTCTGTGAGTTGAATGCAATCATCACAGAGAAGTTTCTGAGAAGTCTTCTCTCCAGTTTTTATGTGACCATAATTCGTTTTCCACCACAGGCCTGAAAGCGCTCCAAATGTCCACTTGTAGACACTACGAAAAGCATGTTTCAGAACTACTCTATGAAAAGCAATGTGAAACTCTGGGAGTTGAACACAAACATCACAGAGAAGTTTCTGAGAATGCTTCTGTTTAGCTTTCCTGTGAAGATTCTCCCGTTTCCAACGAAATCTTCAAAATAGGTCCAAATATCCACTTGCAGATTCCACACAAAGAGTGATTGGAAACTGCTCTTTGAAAAGGAACCTTCAACTCTGTGAGTTGAATGCAATCATCACAAAGAAGTTTCTGACAATGCTTCTATCTAGCTTTTACGGGAAGATAATTCCTTTTCCACCACAGGCCTCAAAGCCCTCCAAATGTCCACTTGCAGATTCTGGAAAAAGAGTGTTTCAAAGCTTCTCTCTCGAAAGGAAAGTTCAACTCTGTGAGTTGAATGCAAGCATCACAAAGAAGTTTCTGAGAATGCTACTGTCTAGCTTTTATATGAAGCTATTTCCTTTACTACCATAGGCCTCAAAGCGGTCCATATCTCCACTTGCAGATTCTACACAAAGAGAGTTTCCAAACTGCTCTGTCAAAGGGAATGTTCAACTCTGTGACTTGAATGCAATCATCACAAAGTAGTTTCTGAGAATGCTTCTGTTTAGTTCTGTGCGGTTTATCCCGTTTCCAACGAAATCCTCAGAGAGGCCTAAATATCCACTTGCACATTCTACAAATAGTGTGTTTCGAAACTGCTCCATCCAAAGGAATGTTCAGCTCTGTGAGTTAAACTCAGTCGTCACCAAGAGTTTTCTGTGAATGCTTCTGTTTTAGTTCTGTGCGGGTTATCCCGTTTCCAACGAAATCCTCAGAGCGGTCCAAATATCTACTTGCAGTTTCTACAGAAAGACCGTTTCAAACCTGAACTATCAAAGAAAGGTTCAACACTGTGAGTTGAATGCAAACATCACGAAGAAGGTTCTGAGAATGCTTCTGTTTAGTTCTGTGCAGTTTATCCCGTTTCCAACGAAATCCTCAGAGAGGACCAAATATCCACTTGCAGTTTCTACAAAAAGAGTGTTTCAAAGCTGAACTATCAAAGAAAGGTTCAGCACTGTGAGTTGAATGCAAACATCACGAAGAGGGTTCTGAGAATGCTTCTGTCTTCTTTTTATAGGAAGTTATTTCCTTTACTACGGGTACTCCTCAAAGAGTGCAATTATCCCCTTGCAGTTTCTACAAAAAGAGTGTTTCAAACCTGAACTATCAAAGAAAGGTTCCACACTGTGAGTTGAATGCAGACATCACGAAGAAGGTTCTGAGAATGCTTCTGTTTAGTCAGCTGAAATTATCCCGTTTCCAACGAATTCCTCAGATAGGTCCAAATATGCATTTGCAGATTCTGCAGAAAGTGTGTTTCTAAACTGCTACATCGCAAGGAATGTTCAGCTCTGTGAGTTCAACTCAATCATCGCAAAGAATTTTCTGAGAAAGCTTCTGTCTAGATGTCATGTGAAGATATACCCGTTTCGAACGAAGGACACAGAGTGGTCCAAATATCCACTTGTAGATCCTGCAAAAAGAGTGTTTCAAACGTGAACTTTGAAAGGAAAGTTCAACTCTGGGATTTGAATGCAAACATCACAAAGAAGATTCTGAGACTGCTTCTGTATAGTTTTTATGTGAAGATGATTCCGTTTCCAACGAAATCTTCAGAGAGGTCTACATGTCCCCTTGCAGATCCCACAGAAAGAGAGTTTCAAAACTGCACTCTCAAAAGGAGTGTTCAACTCCGTGAGTTGAATGCAGTCATCACAGAGAAGCTTCTGAGAATGCTTCTATCTAATATTTAGGTGAAGATATTTCCTTTTCCACCACAAACCACAAAGCCCTCCAAACGTCCACTTGCAGATTCTAGAAAAAGAGTTTCATAGCTGCTCTTTCCAAAGGAAAGTTCAACTCTGGGAGTTGAATACAAACATCACCAAAAAGTTCCTGAGAATGCATCTGTCTAGTTTTTCTATGAAGCTATTCCCTTTACTACCATAGGCCTCAAAGCGCTCCAAATCTCCACTTGCACATTCCACAACAAGAGTGTTTCCAAACTGCTCTATCAATAGGAATGTTCAACTCTGTGAGGTGAATGCAATCATCACAAAGCAGTTTCTGAGAATGCTTCCGTTTAGTTAGGTGCAGTTATCGCGTTTCCAACGAAATCCTCAGAGAGGTCCCAATATCCACTTGTAGATTCTACAAAAAGTGTGTCTCAAACCTGCTCCATCCAAAGGAATGTTCAGCTCCGTGAGTTAAACTCAATCATCACAAAGTATTTTCTGAGAATGCTTCTGTCTAGATTTTATGTGAAGATGTACCCGTTTCGAACGAAGGCCACAGAGTGGTCCAAATATCCACTTGCAGATCCTACAAAAAGAGTGTTTCAAACCTGAACTATCACAGGAAGGTTCAACTCTGGGATTTGAATGCAAACATCACCAAGAAGTTTCTGAGAATGCTTCTGTTTAGTTTTTATGTGAAGATATTCCCGTTTCCAAAGACATCTTCGGAGAGGTCCACATATCCACTTGCAGATTCCACAAAAAGAGAGTTTCAACAATGCTCTATCCATAGGAGGGTTCAAATCTGTGAGTTGAATGCAATCATCACAGAGAAGTTTCTGAGAAGGCTTCTCTCCAGTTTTTATGGGACCATAATTCGTTTTGCACCACAGGCCTGAAAGCGCTCCAAATGTCCACTTGCAGACACTACGAAAAGCATGTTTCAGAACTACTCTATGAAAAGCAACGTGAAACTCTGGGAGTTGAACACAAACATCACAGAGAAGTTTCTGAGAATGCTTCTGTTTAGCTTTTCTGTGAAGATTCTCCCGTTTCCAACGAAATCTTCAAAGAGGTCCAAATATCCACTTGCAGATTCCACAGAAAGACTGTTTGGAAACTGCTGTTTGAAAAGGAACCTTCATCTCTGTGAGTTGAATGCAATCATCACAAAGAAGTTTCTGACAATGCTTCTATCTAGCTTTTACGGGAAGATAATTCCTTTTCCACCACAGGCCTCAAAGCCCTCCAAATGTCCACTTGCAGATTCTGGAAAAAGAGTGTTTCAAAGCTTCTCTCTCGAAAGGAAAGTTCAACTCTGTGAGTTGAATGCAAGCATCACAAAGAAGTTTCTGAGAATGCTACTGTCTAGCTTTTATATGAAGCTATTTCCTTTACTACCATAGGCCTCAAAGCGGTCCATATCTCCACTTGCAGATTCTACACAAAGAGAGTTTCCAAACTGCTCTGTCAAAGGGAATGTTCAACTCTGTGACTTGAATGCAATCATCACAAAGTAGTTTCTGAGAATGCTTCTGTTTAGTTCTGTGCGGTTTATCCCGTTTCCAACGAAATCCTCAGAGAGGCCTAAATATCCACTTGCACATTCTACAAATAGTGTGTTTCGAAACTGCTCCATCCAAAGGAATGTTCAGCTCTGTGAGTTAAACTCAGTCGTCACCAAGAGTTTTCTGTGAATGCTTCTGTTTTAGTTCTGTGCGGGTTATCCCGTTTCCAACGAAATCCTCAGAGCGGTCCAAATATCTACTTGCAGTTTCTGCAGAAAGACCGTTTCAAACCTGAACTATCAAAGAAAGGTTCAACACTGTGAGTTGAATGCAAACATCACGAAGAAGGTTCTGAGAATGCTTCTGTTTAGTTCTGTGCAGTTTATCCCGTTTCCAACGAAATCCTCAGAGAGGACCAAATATCCACTTGCAGTTTCTACAAAAAGAGTGTTTCAAAGCTGAACTATCAAATAAAGGTTCAGCACTGTGAGTTGAATGCAAACATCACGAAGAGGGTTCTGAGAATGCTTCTGTCTTCTTTTTATAGGAAGTTATTTCCTTTACTA
The DNA here is from genome assembly GCF_000001405.40 of Homo sapiens. NCBI lineage: Eukaryota > Metazoa > Chordata > Mammalia > Primates > Hominidae > Homo > Homo sapiens. Next base: position 23,386,897 of record NC_000017.11, on the reverse strand, counting down.
CGGTACTCCTCAAAGAGTGCAATTATCCCCTTGCAGTTTCTACAAAAAGAGTGTTTCAAACCTGAACTATCAAAGAAAGGTTCCACACTGTGAGTTGAATGCAGACATCACGAAGAAGGTTCTGAGAATGCTTCTGTTTAGTCAGCTGAAATTATCCCGTTTCCAACGAATTCCTCACAGAGGTCCAAATATGCACTTGCAGATTCTGCAGAAAGTGTGTTTCTAAACTGCTACATCGCAAGGAATGCTCAGCTCTGTGAGTTCAACTCAATCATCCCAAAGAATTTTCTGAGAAAGCTTCTGTCTAGATGTCATGTGAAGATATACCCGTTTCGATCGAAGGACACAGAGTGGTCCAAATATCCACTTGTAGATCCTGCAAAAAGAGTGTTTCAAACGTGAACTTTGAAAGGAAAGTTCAACTCGGGGATTTGAATGCAAACATCACAAAGAAGATTCTTGAGACTGCTTCTGTGTAGTTTTTATGTGAAGATGATTCCGTTTCCAACGAAATCTTCAAAGAGGTCTACATGTCCCCTTGCAGATGCCACAGAAAGAGAGTTTCAAAACTGCGCTCTCAAAAGGAGTGTTCAACTCCGTGAGTTGAATGCAGTCATCACAGAGAAGCTTCTGAGGATGCTTCTATCTAGTATTTAGGTGAAGATATTTCCTTTTCCACCACAAACCACAAAGCCCTCCAAACGTCCACTTGCAGATTCTAGAAAAACAGTGTTTCATAGCTGCTCTTTCCAAAGGAAAGTTCAACTCTGGGAGTTGAATACAAACATCACCAAAAAGTTCCTGAGAATGCATCTGTCTAGTTTTTCTATGAAGCTATTCCCTTTACTACCATAGGCCTCAAAGCGCTCCAAATCTCCACTTGCACATTCCACAACAAGAGTGTTTCCAAACTGCTCTATCAATAGGAATGTTCAACTCTGTGAGGTGAATGCAATCATCACAAAGCAGTTTCTGAGAATGCTTCCGTTTAGTTAGGTGCAGTTATCCCGTTTCCAACGAAATCCTCAGAGAGGTCCAAATATCCACTTGTAGATTCTACAAAAAGTGTGTCTCAAACCTGCTCCATCCAAAGGAATGTTCAGCTCTGTGAGTTAAACTCAATCATCACAAAGTATTTTCTGAGAATGCTTCTGTCTAGATTTTATGCGAAGATATACCCGTTTCGAACGAAGGCCACAGAGTGGTCCAAATATCCACTTGCAGATCCTACAAAAAGAGTGTTTCAAACCTGAACTATCAAAGGAAGGTTCGACTCTGGGATTTGAATGCAAACATCACCAAGAAGTTTCTGAGAATGCTTCTGTTTAGTTTTTATGTGAAGATATTCCCGTTTCCAAAGACATCTTCGGAGAGGTCCACATATCCACTTGCAGATTCCACAAAAAGAGAGTTTCAACACTGCTCTATCCATAGGAGGGTTCAACTCTGTGAGTTGAATGCAATCATCACAGAGAAGTTTCTGAGAAGGCTTCTCTCCAGTTTTTATGTGACCATAATTCGTTTTCCACCACAGGCCTGAAAGCGCTCCAAATGTCCACTTGTAGACAGTACGAAAAGCATGTTTCAGAACTACTCTATGAAAAGCAATGTGAAACTCTGGGAGTTGAACTCAAACATCACAGAGAAGTTTCTGAGAATGCTTCTGTTTAGCTTTTCTGTGAAGATTCTCCCGTTTCCAACAAAATCTTCAAAGAGGTCCAAATATCCACTTGCAGATTCCACGGAAAGAGTGATTTGAAACTGCTCTTTGAAAAGGAACCTTCAACTCTGTGAGTTGAATGCAATCATCACAAAGAAGTTTCTGACAATGCTTCTATCTAGCTTTTACGGGAAGATAATTCCTTTTCCACCACAGGCCTCAAAGCCCTCCAAATGTCCACTTGCAGATTCTGGAAAAGGAGTGTTTCAAAGTTTCTCTCTCGAAAGGAAAGTTCAACTCTGTGAGTTGAATGCAAGCATCACAAAGAAGTTTCTGAGAATGCTACTGTCTAGCTTTTATATGAAGCTATTTCCTTTACTACCATAGGCCTCAAAGCGGTCCATATCTCCACTTGCAGATTCTACACAAAGAGAGTTTCCAAACTGCTCTGTCAAAGGGAATGTTCAACTCTGTGACTTGAATGCAATCATCACAAAGTAGTTTCTGAGAATGCTTCTGTTTAGTTCTGTGCGGTTTATCCCGTTTCCAACGAAATCCTCAGAGAGGCCCAAATATCCACTTGCACATTCTACAAATAGTGTGTTTCGAAACTGCTCCATCCAAAGGAATGTTCAGCTCTGTGAGTTAAACTCAGTCGTCACCAAGAGTTTTCTGTGAATGCTTCTGTTTTAGTTCTGTGCGGGTTATCCCGTTTCCAACGAAATCCTCAGAGAGGTCCAAATATCTACTTGCAGTTTCTACAGAAAGACCGTTTCAAACCTGAACTATCAAAGAAAGGTTCAACACTGTGAGTTGAATGCAAACATCACGAAGAAGGTTCTGAGAATGCTTCTGTTTTAGTTCTGTGCGGTTTATCCCGTTTCCAACGAAATCCTCAGAGAGGACCAAACATCCACTTGCAGTTTCTACAAAAAGAGTGTTTCAAAGCTGCACTATCAAAGAAAGGTTCAGCACTGTGAGTTGAATGCAAACATCACGAAGAGGGCTCTGAGAATTTCTGTTTAGTTCTGTGCGGTTTATCCCGTTTCCAACGAAATCCTCAGAGAGGACCAAATATCCACTTGCAGTTTCTACAAGAAGAGTGTTTCAAAGCTGAACTATCAAAGAAAGGTTCAGCACTGTGAGTTGAATGCAAACATCACGAAGAGGGTTCTGAGAATGCTTCTGTCTTCTTTCTATAGGAAGTTATTTCCTTTACTACGGTAGGCCTCAAAGAAGTGCAATTATCCCCGTGCAGTTTCTACAAAAAGAGTGTTTCAAACCTGAACTATCAAAGAAAGGTTCCACACTGTGAGTTGAATGCAGACATCACGAAGAAGGTTCTGAGAATGCTTCTGTTTAGTCAGCTGAAATTATCCCGTTTCCAACGAATTCCTCAGAGAGGTCCAAATATGCACTTGCAGATTCTGCAGAAAGTGTGTTTCTAAACTGCTACATCGCAAGGAATGTTCAGCTCTGTGAGTTCCACTCAATAATCCCAAAGAATTTTCTGAGAAAGCTTCTGACTAGATGTCATGTGAAGATATACCCGTTTCGAACGAAGGACACAAAGTGGTCCAAATATCCAATTGTAGATCCTGCAAAAAGAGTGTTTCAAACGTGAACTTTGAAAGGAAAGTTCAACTCTGGGATTTGAATGCAAACATCACAAAGAAGATTCTGAGACTGCTTCTGTATAGTTTTTATGTGAAGATGATTCCGTTTCCAACGAAATCTTCAAAGAGGTCTACATGTCCCCTTGCAGATGCCACAGAAAGAGAGTTTCAAAACTGCGCTCTCAAAAGGAGTGTTCAACTCCGTGAGTTGAATGCAGTCATCACAGAGAAGCTTCTGAGAATGCTTCTATCTAGTATTTAGGTGAAGATATTTCCTTTTCCACCACAAACCACAAAGCCCTCCAAACGTCCACTTGCAGATTCTAGAAAAAGAGTGTTTCATAGCTGCTCTTTCCAAAGGAAAGTTCAACTCTGGGAGTTGAATACAAACATCACCAAAAAGTTCCTGAGAATGCATCTGTCTAGTTTTTCTATGAAGCTATTCCCTTTACTACCATAGGCCTCAAAGCGCTCCAAATCTCCACTTGCACATTCCACAACAAGAGTGTTTCCAAACTGCTCTATCAATAGGAATGTTCAACTCTGTGAGGTGAATGCAATCATCACAAAGCAGTTTCTGAGAATGCTTCCGTTTAGTTAGGTGCAGTTATCCCGTTTCCAACGAAATCCTCAGAGAGGTCCAAATATCCACTTGTAGATTCTACAAAAAGTGTGTCTCAAACCTGCTCCATCCAAAGGAATGTTCAGCTCTGTGATTAAAACTCAATCATCACAAAGTATTTTCTGAGAATGCTTCTGTCTAGATTTTATGCGAAGATATACCCGTTTCAAACGAAGGCCACAGAGTGGTCCAAATAGCCACTTGCAGATCCTACAAAAAGAGTGTTTCAAACCTGAACTATCAAAGGAAGGTTCAACTCTGGGATTTGAATGCAAACATCACCAAGAAGTTTCTGAGAATGCTTCTGTTTAGTTTTTATGTGAAGATATTCCCGTTTCCAAAGACATCTTCGGAGAGGTCCACATATCCACTTGCAGATTCCACAAAAAGAGAGTTTCAACACTGCTCTATCCATAGGAGGGTTCAACTCTGTGAGTTGAATGCAATCATCACAGAGAAGTTTCTGAGAAGGCTTCTCTCCAGTTTTTATGTGACCATAATTCGTTTTCCACCACAGGCCTGAAAGCGCTCCAAATGTCCACTTGCAGACACTACGAAAAGCATGTTTCAGAACTACTCTATGAAAAGCAACGTGAAACTCTGGGAGTTGAACACAAACATCACAGAGAAGTTTCTGAGAATGCTTCTGTTTTAGTTCTGTGCGTTTTATCCCGTTTCCAACGAAATCCTCAGAGAGGCCCAAATATCCACTTGCAGATTCCACAGAAAGAGTGATTGGAAACTGCTGTTTGAAAAGGAACCTTCAACTCTGTGAGTTGAATGCAATCATCACAAAGAAGTTTCTGACAATGCTTCTGTTTTAGTTCTGTGCGGTTTATCCCGTTTCCAACGAAATCCTCAGAGAGGACCAAACATCCACTTGCAGTTTCTACAAAAAGAGTGTTTCAAAGCTGCACTATCAAAGAAAGGTTCAGCACTGTGAGTTGAATGCAAACATCACGAAGAGGGCTCTGAGAATTCTTCTGTTTAGTTCTGTGCGGTTTATCCCGTTTCCAACGAAATCCTCAGAGAGGACCAAATATCCACTTGCAGTTTCTACAAGAAGAGTGTTTCAAAGCTGAACTATCAAAGAAAGGTTCAGCACTGTGAGTTGAATGCAAACATCACGAAGAGGGTTCTGAGAATGCTTCTGTCTTCTTTCTATAGGAAGTTATTTCCTTTACTACGGTAGGCCTCAAAGAAGTGCAATTATCCCCTTGCAGTTTCTACAAAAAGAGTGTTTCAAACCTGAACTATCAAAGAAAGGTTCCACACTGTGAGTTGAATGCAGACATCACGAAGAAGGTTCTGAGAATGCTTCTGTTTAGTCAGCTGAAATTATCCCGTTTCCAACGAATTCCTCAGAGAGGTCCAAATATGCACTTGCAGATTCTGCAGAAAGTGTGTTTCTAAACTGCTACATCGCAAGGAATGTTCAGCTCTGTGAGTTCCACTCAATCATCCCATAGAATTTTCTGAGAAAGCTTCTGTCTAGATGTCATGTGAAGATATACCCGTTTCGAACGAAGGACACAGAGTGGTCCAAATATCCACTTGTAGATCCTGCAAAAAGAGTGTTTCAAACGTGAACTTTGAAAGGAAAGTTCAACTCTGGGATTTGAATGCAAACACCACAAAGAAGATTCTGAGACTGCTTCTGTATAGTTTTTATGTGAAGATGATTGCGTTTCCAATGAAATCTTCAAAGAGGTTTACATGTCCCCTTGCGGATGCCACAGAAAGAGAGTTTCAAAACTGCGCTCTCAAAAGGAGTGTTCAACTCCGTGAGTTGAATGCAGTCATCACAGAGAAGCTTCTGAGAATGCTTCTATCTAGTATTTAGGTGAAGATATTTCCTTTTCCACCACAAACCACAAAGCCCTCCAAACGTCCACTTCCAGATTCTAGAAAAAGAGTGTTTCATAGCTGCTCTTTCCAAAGGAAAGTTCAACTGCTGGGAGTTGAATACAAACATCACCAAAAAGTTCCTGAGAATGCATCTGTCTAGTTTTTCTATGAAGCTATTCCCTTTACTACCATAGGCCTCAAAGCGCTCCAAATCTCCACTTGCACATTCCACAACAAGAGTGTTTCCAAACTGCTCTATCAATAGGAATGTTCAACTCTGGTGAGGTGAATGCAATCATCACAAAGCAGTTTCTGAGAATGCTTCCGTTTAGTTAGGTGCAGTTATCCCGTTTCCAACGAAATCCTCAGAGAGGTCCAAATATCCACTTGTAGATTCTACAAAAGGTGTGTCTCAAACCTGCTCCATCCAAAGGAATGTTCAGCTCTGTGAGTTAAACTCAATCATCACAAAGTATTTTCTGAGAATGCTTCTGTCTAGATTTTATGCGAAGATATACCCGTTTCGAACGAAGGCCACAGAGTGGTCCAAATATCCACTTGCAGATCCTACAAAAAGAGTGTTTCAAACCTGAACTATCAAAGGAAGGTTCAACTCTGGGATTTGAATGCAAACATCACCAAGAAGTTTCTGAGAATGCTTGTGTTTAGTTTTTATGTGAAGATATTCCCGTTTCCAAAGACATCTTCGGAGAGGTCCACATATCCACTTGCAGATTCCACAAAAAGAGAGTTTCAACACTGCTCTATCCATAGGAGGGTTCAACTCTGTGAGTTGAATGCAATCATCACAGAGAAGTTTCTGAGAAGGCTTCTCTCCAGTTTTTATTTGACCATAATTCGTTTTCCACCACAGGTCTGAAAGCGCTCCAAACCTCCACTTGCAGACAGTACGAAAAGCATGTTTCAGAACTACTCTATGAAAAGCAATGTGAAACTCTGGGAGTTGAACACAAACGTCACAGAGAAGTTTCTGAGAAAGCTTCTGTTTAGCTTTTCTGTGAAGATTCTCCCGTTTCCAACGAAATCTTCCAAGAGGTCCAAACATCCACTTGCAGATTCCACAGAAAGGGTGTTTGGAAACTGCTGTTTGAAAAGGAACCTTCAACTCTGTGAGTTGAATGCAATCATCACAAAGAAGTTTCTGACAATGCTTCTATCTAGCTTTTACGGGAAGATAATTCCTTTTCCACCACAAGCCTCAAAGCCCTCCAAATGTCCACTTGCAGATTCTGGAAAAAGAGTGTTTCAAAGCTTCTCTCTCGAAAGGAAAGTTCAACTCTGTGAGTTGAATGCAAGCATCACAAAGAAGTTTCTGAGAATGCTACTGTCTAGCTTTTATATGAAGCTATTTCCTTTACTACCATAGTCCTCAAAGCATTCCATATCTCCACTTGCAGATTCTACACAAAGAGAGTTTCCAAACTGCTCTGTCAAAGGGAATGTTCAGCTCTGTGACTTGAATGCAATCATCACAAACTAGTTTCTGAGAATGCTTCTGTTTTAGTTCTGTGCGGTTTATCCCGTTTCCATCGAAATCCTCAGAGAGGCCCAAATATCCACTTGCAGATTCTACAAATAGTGTGTTTCGAAACTGCTCCATCCAAAGGAATGTTCAGCTCTGTGAGTTAAACTCAGTCGTCACCAAGAGTTTTCTGTGAATGCTTCTGTTTAGTTCTGTGCGGTTTATCCCTTTTCCAACGAAATCCTCAGAGAGGACCAAGTATCCACTTGCAGTTTCTACAAAAAGAGTGTTTCAAAGCTGAACTATCAAAGAAAGTTTCAGCACTGTGAGTTGAATGCAAACATCACGAAGAGGGTTCTGAGAATGCTTCTGTCTTCTTTTTATAGGAAGTTATTTCCTTTACTATGGTAGGCCTCAAAGAAGTGCAATTATCCCCTTGCAGTCTCTACAAAAAGAGTGTTTCAAACCTGAACTATCAAAGAAAGGTTCCACACTGTGAGTTGAATGCAGACATCACGAAGAAGGTTCTGAGAATGCTTCCGTTTAGTTAGGTGCAGTTATCCCGTTTCCAACGAATTCCTCAGAGAGGTCCAAATATGCACTTGCAGATTCTGCAGAAAGTGTGTTTCTAAACTGCTCCATCGCAAGGAATGTTCAGCTCTGTGAGTTCAACTCAATCATCCCAAAGAATTTTCTGAGAAAGCTTCTGTCTAGATTTTTTGCGAAGATGTACCCGTTTCGAACGAAGGCCACAGAGTGGTCCAAATATCCACTTGCAGATCCTACAAAAAGAGAGTTTCAAACCTGAACTATCAAAGGAAGGTTCAACTCTGGGATTTGAATGCAAACATCACCAAGAAGTTTCTGAGAATGCTTCTGTATAGTTTTTATGTGAAGATGATTCCGTTTCCAACGAAATCTTCAAAGAGGTCAACATGTCCCCTTGCAGATGCCACAGAAAGAGAGTTTCAAAACTGCGCTCTCAAAAGGAGTGTTCAACTCCGTGAGTTGAATGCAGTCATCACAGAGAAGCTTCTGAGAATGCTTCTATCTAGTATTTAGGTGAAGATATTTCCTTTTCCACCACAAACCACAAAGCCCTCCAAACGTCCACTTGCAGATTCTAGAAAAAGAGTGTTTCATAGCTGCTCTTTCCAAAGGAAAGTTCAACTCTGGGAGTTGAATACAAACATCACCAAAAAGTTCCTGAGAATGCATCTGTCTAGTTTTTCTATGAAGCTATTCCCTTTACTACCATAGGCCTCAAAGCGCTCCAAATCTCCACTTGCACATTCCACAACAAGAGTGTTTCCAAACTGCTCTATCAATAGGAATGTTCAACTCTGTGAGGTGAATGCAATCATCACAAAGCAGTTTCTGAGAATGCTTCCGTTTAGTTAGGTGCAGTTATCCCGTTTCCAACGAAATCCTCAGAGAGGTCCAAATATCCACTTGTAGATTCTACAAAAAGTGTGTCTCAAACCTGCTCCATCCAAAGGAATGGTCAGCTCTGTGATTTAAACTCAATCATCACAAAGTATTTTCTGAGAATGCTTCTGTCTAGATTTTATGCGAAGATATACCCGTTTCGAACGAAGGCCACAGAGTGGTCCAAATAGCCACTTGCAGATCCTACAGAAAGAGTGTTTCAAACCTGAACTATCAAAGGAAGGTTCAACTCTGGGATTTGAATGCAAACATCACCAAGAAGTTTCTGAGAATGCTTCTGTTTAGTTTTTATGTGAAGATATTCCCGTTTCCAAAGACATCTTCGGAGAGGTCCACATATCCACTTGCAGATTCCACAAAAAGAGAGTTTCAACACTGCTCTATCCATAGGAGGGTTCAACTCTGTGAGTTGAATGCAATCATCACAGAGAAGTTTCTGAGAAGGCTTCTCTCCAGTTTTTATGTGACCATAATTCGTTTTCCACCACAGGCCTGAAAGCGCTCCAAATGTCCACTTGCAGACACTACGAAAAGCATGTTTCAGAACTACTCTATGAAAAGCAACGTGAAACTCTGGGAGTTGAACACAAACATCACAGAGAAGTTTCTGAGAATGCTTCTGTTTCAGTTCTGTGCGTTTTATCCCGTTTCCAACGAAATCCTCAGAGAGGCCCAAATATCCACTTGCAGATTCCACAGAAAGAGTGATTGGAAAGTGCTGTTTGAAAAGGAACCTTCAACTCTGTGAGTTGAATGCAATCATCACAAAGAAGTTTCTGACAATGCTTCTGTTTTAGTTCTGTGCGGTTTATCCCGTTTCCAACGAAATCCTCAGAGAGGACCAAACATCCACTTGCAGTTTCTACAAAAAGAGTGTTTCAAAGCTGCACTATCAAAGAAAGGTTCAGCACTGTGAGTTGAATGCAAACATCACGAAGAGGGCTCTGAGAATTCTTCTGTTTAGTTCTGTGCGGTTTATCCCGTTTCCAACGAAATCCTCAGAGAGGACCAAATATCCACTTGCAGTTTCTACAAGAAGAGTGTTTCAAAGCTGAACTATCAAAGAAAGGTTCAGCACTGTGAGTTGAATGCAAACATCACGAAGAGGGTTCTGAGAATGCTTCTGTCTTCTTTCTATAGGAAGTTATTTCCTTTACTACGGTAGGCCTCAAAGAAGTGCAATTATCCCCTTGCAGTTTCTACAAAAAGAGTGTTTCAAACCTGAACTATCAAAGAAAGGTTCCACACTGTGAGTTGAATGCAGACATCACGAAGAAGGTTCTGAGAATGCTTCTGTTTAGTCAGCTGAAATTATCCCGTTTCCAACGAATTCCTCAGAGAGGTCCAAATATGCACTTGCAGATTCTGCAGAAAGTGTGTTTCTAAACTGCTACATCGCAAGGAATGTTCAGCTCTGTGAGTTCCACTCAATCATCCCAAAGAATTTTCTGAGAAAGCTTCTGTCTAGATGTCGTGTGAAGATATACCCGTTTCGAACGAAGGACACAGAGTGGTCCAAATATCCACTTGTAGATCCTGCAAAAAGAGTGTTTCAAACGTGAACTTTGAAAGGAAAGTTCAACTCTGGGATTTGAATGCAAACATCACAAAGAAGATTCTGAGACTGCTTCTGTATAGTTTTTATGTGAAGATGATTCCGTTTCCAACGAAATCTTCAAAGAGGTCTACATGTCCCCTTGCAGATGCCACAGAAAGAGAGTTTCAAAACTGCGCTCTCAAAAGGAGTGTTCAACTCCGTGAGTTGAATGCAGTCATCACAGAGAAGCTTCTGAGAATGCTTCTATCTAGTATTTAGGTGAAGATATTTCCTTTTCCACCACAAACCACAAAGCCCTCCAAACGTCCACTTGCAGATTCTAGAAAAAGAGTGTTTCATAGCTGCTCTTTCCAAAGGAAAGTTCAACTCTGGGAGTTGAATACAAACATCACCAAAAGGTTCCTGAGAATGCATCTGTCTAGTTTTTCTATGAAGCTATTCCCTTTACTACCATAGGCCTCAAAGCGCTCCAAATCTCCACTTGCACATTCCACAACAAGAGTGTTTCCAAACTGCTCTATCAATAGGAATGTTCAACTCTGTGAGGTGAATGCAATCATCACAAAGCAGTTTCTGAGAATGCTTCCGTTTAGTTAGGTGCAGTTATCCCGTTTCCAACGAAATCCTCAGAGAGGTCCAAATATCCACTTGTAGATTCTACAAAAAGTGTGTCTCAAACCTGCTCCATCCAAAGGAATGGTCAGCTCTGTGATTTAAACTCAATCATCACAAAGTATTTTCTGAGAATGCTTCTGTCTAGATTTTATGCGAAGATATACCCGTTTCGAACGAAGGCCACAGAGTGGTCCAAATAGCCACTTGCAGATCCTACAGAAAGAGTGTTTCAAACCTGAACTATCAAAGGAAGGTTCAACTCTGGGATTTGAATGCAAACATCACCAAGAAGTTTCTGAGAATGCTTCTGTTTAGTTTTTATGTGAAGATATTCCCGTTTCCAAAGACATCTTCGGAGAGGTCCACATATCCACTTGCAGATTCCACAAAAAGAGAGTTTCAACACTGCTCTATCCATAGGAGGGTTCAACTCTGTGAGTTGAATGCAATCATCACAGAGAAGTTTCTGAGAAGGCTTCTCTCCAGTTTTTATGTGACCATAATTCGTTTTCCACCACAGGCCTGAAAGCGCTCCAAATGTCCACTTGCAGACACTACGAAAAGCATGTTTCAGAACTACTCTATGAAAAGCAACGTGAAACTCTGGGAGTTGAACACAAACATCACAGAGAAGTTTCTGAGAATGCTTCTGTTTTAGTTCTGTGCGTTTTATCCCGTTTCCAACGAAATCCTCAGAGAGGCCCAAATATCCACTTGCAGATTCCACAGAAAGAGTGATTGGAAACTGCTGTTTGAAAAGGAACCTTCAACTCTGTGAGTTGAATGCAATCATCACAAAGAAGTTTCTGACAATGCTTCTGTTTTAGTTCTGTGCGGTTTATCCCGTTTCCAACGAAATCCTCAGAGAGGACCAAACATCCACTTGCAGTTTCTACAAAAAGAGTGTTTCAAAGCTGCACTATCAAAGAAAGGTTCAGCACTGTGAGTTGAATGCAAACATCACGAAGAGGGCTCTGAGAATTCTTCTGTTTAGTTCTGTGCGGTTTATCCCGTTTCCAACGAAATCCTCAGAGAGGACCAAATATCCACTTGCAGTTTCTACAAGAAGAGTGTTTCAAAGCTGAACTATCAAAGAAAGGTTCAGCACTGTGAGTTGAATGCAAACATCACGAAGAGGGTTCTGAGAATGCTTCTGTCTTCTTTCTATAGGAAGTTATTTCCTTTACTACGGTAGGCCTCAAAGAAGTGCAATTATCCCCTTGCAGTTTCTACAAAAAGAGTGTTTCAAACCTGAACTATCAAAGAAAGGTTCCACACTGTGAGTTGAATGCAGACATCACGAAGAAGGTTCTGAGAATGCTTCTGTTTAGTCAGCTGAAATTATCCCGTTTCCAACGAATTCCTCAGAGAGGTCCAAATATGCACTTGCAGATTCTGCAGAAAGTGTGTTTCTAAACTGCTCCATCGCAAGGAATGTTCAGCTCTGTGAGTTCCACTCAATCATCCCAAAGAATTTTCTGAGAAAGCTTCTGTCTAGATGTCGTGTGAAGATATACCCGTTTCGAACGAAGGACACAGAGTGGTCCAAATATCCACTTGTAGATCCTGCAAAAAGAGTGTTTCAAACGTGAACTTTGAAAGGAAAGTTCAACTCTGGGATTTGAATGCAAACATCACAAAGAAGATTCTGAGACTGCTTCTGTATAGTTTTTATGTGAAGATGATTCCGTTTCCAACGAAATCTTCAAAGAGGTCTACATGTCCCCTTGCAGATGCCACAGAAAGAGAGTTTCAAAACTGCGCTCTCAAAAGGAGTGTTCAACTCCGTGAGTTGAATGCAGTCATCACAGAGAAGCTTCTGAGAATGCTTCTATCTAGTATTTAGGTGAAGATATTTCCTTTTCCACCACAAACCACAAAGCCCTCCAAACGTCCACTTGCAGATTCTAGAAAAAGAGTGTTTCATAGCTGCTCTTTCCAAAGGAAAGTTCAACTCTGGGAGTTGAATACAAACATCACCAAAAGGTTCCTGAGAATGCATCTGTCTAGTTTTTCTATGAAGCTATTCCCTTTACTACCATAGGCCTCAAAGCGCTCCAAATCTCCACTTGCACATTCCACAACAAGAGTGTTTCCAAACTGCTCTATCAATAGGAATGTTCAACTCTGTGAGGTGAATGCAATCATCACAAAGCAGTTTCTGAGAATGCTTCCGTTTAGTTAGGTGCAGTTATCCCGTTTCCAACGAAATCCTCAGAGAGGTCCAAATATCCACTTGTAGATTCTACAAAAAGTGTGTCTCAAACCTGCTCCATCCAAAGGAATGGTCAGCTCTGTGATTTAAACTCAATCATCACAAAGTATTTTCTGAGAATGCTTCTGTCTAGATTTTATGCGAAGATATACCCGTTTCGAACGAAGGCCACAGAGTGGTCCAAATAGCCACTTGCAGATCCTACAGAAAGAGTGTTTCAAACCTGAACTATCAAAGGAAGGTTCAACTCTGGGATTTGAATGCAAACATCACCAAGAAGTTTCTGAGAATGCTTCTGTTTAGTTTTTATGTGAAGATATTCCCGTTTCCAAAGACATCTTCGGAGAGGTCCACATATCCACTTGCAGATTCCACAAAAAGAGAGTTTCAACACTGCTCTATCCATAGGAGGGTTCAACTCTGTGAGTTGAATGCAATCATCACAGAGAAGTTTCTGAGAAGGCTTCTCTCCAGTTTTTATGTGACCATAATTCGTTTTCCACCACAGGCCTGAAAGCGCTCCAAATGTCCACTTGCAGACACTACGAAAAGCATGTTTCAGAACTACTCTATGAAAAGCAACGTGAAACTCTGGGAGTTGAACACAAACATCACAGAGAAGTTTCTGAGAATGCTTCTGTTTAGCTTTTCTGTGAAGATTCTCCCGTTTCCAACGAAATCTTCAAAGCGGTCCAAATATCCACTTGCAGATTCCACAGAAAGAGTGATTGGAAACTGCTGTTTGAAAAGGAACCTTCAACTCTGTGAGTTAAATGCAATCATCACAAAGAAGTTTCTGACAATGCTTCTATCTAGCTTTTATGGGAAGTTAATTCCTTTTCCACCACAGGCCTCAAAGCCCTCCAAATGTCCACTTGCAGATTCTGGAAAAACAGTGTTTCAAAGCTTCTCTCTCGAAAGGAAAGTTCAACTCTGTGAGTTGAATGCAAGCATCACAAAGAAGTTTCTGAGAATGCTACTGTCTAGCTTTTATATGAAGCTATTTCCTTTACTACCATAGGCCTCAAAGCGGTCCATATCTCCACTTGCAGATTCTACACAAAGAGAGTTTCCAAACTGCTCTGTCAAAGGGAATGTTCAACTCTGTGACTTGAATGCAATCATCACAAAGTAGTTTCTGAGAATGCTTCTGTTTAGTTCTGTGCGGTTTATCCCGTTTCCAACGAAATCCTCAGAGAGGCCCAAATATCCACTTGCACATTCTACAAATAGTGTGTTTCGAAACTGCTCCATCCAAAGGAATGTTCAGCTCTGTGAGTTAAACTCAGTCGTCACCAAGAGTTTTCTGTGAATGCTTCTGTTTTAGTTCTGTGCGGGTTATCCCGTTTCCAACGAAATCCTCAGAGAGGTCCAAATATCTACTTGCAGTTTCTACAGAAAGACCGTTTCAAACCTGAACTATCAAAGAAAGGTTCAACACTGTGAGTTGAATGCAAACATCACGAAGAAGGTTCTGAGAATGCTTCTGTTTAGTTCTGTGCAGTTTATCCCGTTTCCAACGAAATCCTCAGAGAGGACCAAATATCCACTTGCAGTTTCTACAAAAAGAGTGTTTCAAAGCTGAACTATCAAAGAAAGGTTCAGCACTGTGAGTTGAATGCAAACATCACGAAGAGGGTTCTGAGAATGCTTCTGTCTTCTTTTTATAGGAAGTTATTTCCTTTACTACGGTACTCTTCAAAGAGTGCAATTATCCCCTTGCAGTTTCTACAAAAAGAGTGTTTCAAACCTGAACTATTAAAGAAAGGTTCCACACTGTGAGTTGAATGCAGACATCACGAAGAAGGTTCTGAGAATGCTTCTGTTTAGTCAGCTGAAATTATCCCGTTTCCAACGAATTCCTCAGAGAGGTCCAAATATGCACTTGCAGATTCTGCAGAAAGTGTGTTTCTAAACTGCTACATCGCAAGGAATGCTCAGCTCTGTGAGTTCAACTCAATCATCCCAAAGAATTTTCTGAGAAAGCTTCTGTCTAGATGTCATGTGAAGATATAACCGTTTCGAACGAAGGACACAGAGTGGTCCAAATATCCACTTGTAGATCCTGCAAAAAGAGTGTTTCAAACGTGAACTTTGAAAGGAAAGTTCAACTCTGGGATTTGAATGCAAACATCACAAAGAAGATTCTGAGACTGCTTCTGTATAGTTTTTATGTGAAGATGATTCCGTTTCCAACGAAATCTTCAAAGAGGTCTACATGTCCCCTTGCAGATGCCACAGAAAGAGAGTTTCAAAACTGCGCTCTCAAAAGGAGTGTTCAACTCCGTGAGTTGAATGCAGTCATCACAGAGAAGCTTCTGAGAATGCTTCTATCTAGTATTTAGGTGAAGATATTTCCTTTTCCACCACAAACCACAAAGCCCTCCAAACGTCCACTTGCAGATTCTAGAAAAAGAGTGTTTCATAGCTGCTCTTTCCAAAGGAAAGTTCAACTCTGGGAGTTGAATACAAACATCACCAAAAAGTTCCTGAGAATGCATCTGTCTAGTTTTTCTATGAAGCTATTCCCTTTACTACCATAGGCCTCAAAGCGCTCCAAATCTCCACTTGCACATTCCACAACAAGAGTGTTTCCAAACTGCTCTATCAATAGGAATGTTCAACTCTGTGAGGTGAATGCAATCATCACAAAGCAGTTTCTGAGAATGCTTCCGTTTAGTTAGGTGCAGTTATCCCGTTTCCAACGAAATCCTCAGAGAGGTCCAAATATCCACTTGTAGATTCTACAAAAAGTGTGTCTCAAACCTGCTCCATCCAAAGGAATGGTCAGCTCTGTGATTTAAACTCAATCATCACAAAGTATTTTCTGAGAATGCTTCTGTCTAGATTTTATGCGAAGATATACCCGTTTCGAACGAAGGCCACAGAGTGGTCCAAATAGCCACTTGCAGATCCTACAGAAAGAGTGTTTCAAACCTGAACTATCAAAGGAAGGTTCAACTCTGGGATTTGAATGCAAACATCACCAAGAAGTTTCTGAGAATGCTTCTGTTTAGTTTTTATGTGAAGATATTCCCGTTTCCAAAGACATCTTCGGAGAGGTCCACATATCCACTTGCAGATTCCACAAAAAGAGAGTTTCAACACTGCTCTATCCATAGGAGGGTTCAACTCTGTGAGTTGAATGCAATCATCACAGAGAAGTTTCTGAGAAGGCTTCTCTCCAGTTTTTATGTGACCATAATTCGTTTTCCACCACAGGCCTGAAAGCGCTCCAAATGTCCACTTGCAGACACTACGAAAAGCATGTTTCAGAACTACTCTATGAAAAGCAACGTGAAACTCTGGGAGTTGAACACAAACATCACAGAGAAGTTTCTGAGAATGCTTCTGTTTTAGTTCTGTGCGTTTTATCCCGTTTCCAACGAAATCCTCAGAGAGGCCCAAATATCCACTTGCAGATTCCACAGAAAGAGTGATTGGAAACTGCTGTTTGAAAAGGAACCTTCAACTCTGTGAGTTGAATGCAATCATCACAAAGAAGTTTCTGACAACGCTTCTGTTTTAGTTCTGTGCGGTTTATCCCGTTTCCAACGAAATCCTCAGAGAGGACCAAATATCCACTTGCAGTTTCTACAAAAAGAGTGTTTCAAAGCTGCACTATCAAAGAAAGGTTCAGCACTGTGAGTTGAATGCAAACATCACGAAGAGGGCTCTGAGAATTCTTCTGTTTAGTTCTGTGCGGTTTATCCCGTTTCCAACGAAATCCTCAGAGAGGACCAAATATCCACTTGCAGTTTCTACAAGAAGAGTGTTTCAAAGCTGAACTATCAAAGAAAGGTTCAGCACTGTGAGTTGAATGCAAACATCACGAAGAGGGTTCTGAGAATGCTTCTGTCTTCTTTTTATAGGAAGTTATTTCCTTTACTACGGTAGGCCTCAAAGAAGTGCAATTATCCCCTTGCAGTTTCTACAAAAAGAGTGTTTCAAACCTGAACTATCAAAGAAAGGTTCCACACTGTGAGTTGAATGCAGACATCACGAAGAAGGTTCTGAGAATGCTTCTGTTTAGTCAGCTGAAATTATCCCGTTTCCAACGAATTCCTCAGAGAGGTCCAAATATGCACTTGCAGATTCTGCAGAAAGTGTGTTTCTAAACTGCTACATCGCAAGGAATGTTCAGCTCTGTGAGTTCCACTCAATCATCCCAAAGAATTTTCTGAGAAAGCTTCTGTCTAGATGTCATGTAAAGATATACCCGTTTCGAACGAAGGACACAGAGTGGTCCAAATATTCACTTGTAGATCCTGCAAAAAGAGTGTTTCAAACGTGAACTTTGAAAGGAAATTCAACTCTGGGATTTGAATGCAAACATCACAAAGAAGATTCTGAGACTGCTTCTGTATAGTTTTTATGTGAAGATGATTCTGTTTCCAATGAAATCTTCAAAGAGGTCTACATGTCCCCTTGCAGATGACACAGAAAGGGAGTTTCAAAACTGCGCTCTCAAAAGGAGTGTTCAACTCCGTGAGTTGAATGCAGTCAACACAGAGAAGCTTCTGAGAATGCTTCTATCTAGTATTTAGGTGAAGATATTTCCTTTTCCACCACAAACCACAAAGCCCTCCAAACGTCCACTTGCAGATTCTAGAAAAAGAGTGTTTCATAGCTGCTCTTTCCAAAGGAAAGTTCAACTCTGGGAGTTGAATACAAACATCACCAAAAAGTTCCTGAGAATGCATCTGTCTAGTTTTTCTATGAAGCTATTCCCTTTACTACCATAGGCCTCAAAGCGCTCCAAATCTCCACTTGCACATTCCACAACAAGAGTGTTTCCAAACTGCTCTATCAATAGGAATGTTCAACTCTGTGAGGTGAATGCAATCATCACAAAGCAGTTTCTGAGAATGCTTCCGTTTAGTTAGGTGCAGTTATCCCGTTTCCAACGAAATCCTCAGAGAGGTCCAAATATCCACTTGTAGATTCTACAAAAAGTGTGTCTCAAACCTGCTCCATCCAAAGGAATGGTCAGCTCTGTGATTTAAACTCAATCATCACAAAGTATTTTCTGAGAATGCTTCTGTCTAGATTTTATGCGAAGATATACCCGTTTCGAACGAAGGCCACAGAGTGGTCCAAATAGCCACTTGCAGATCCTACAGAAAGAGTGTTTCAAACCTGAACTATCAAAGGAAGGTTCAACTCTGGGATTTGAATGCAAACATCACCAAGAAGTTTCTGAGAATGCTTCTGTTTAGTTTTTATGTGAAGATATTCCCGTTTCCAAAGACATCTTCGGAGAGGTCCACATATCCACTTGCAGATTCCACAAAAAGAGAGTTTCAACACTGCTCTATCCATAGGAGGGTTCAACTCTGTGAGTTGAATGCAATCATCACAGAGAAGTTTCTGAGAAGGCTTCTCTCCAGTTTTTATGTGACCATAATTCGTTTTCCACCACAGGCCTGAAAGCGCTCCAAATGTCCACTTGCAGACACTACGAAAAGCATGTTTCAGAACTACTCTATGAAAAGCAACGTGAAACTCTGGGAGTTGAACACAAACATCACAGAGAAGTTTCTGAGAATGCTTCTGTTTTAGTTCTGTGCGTTTTATCCCGTTTCCAACGAAATCCTCAGAGAGGCCCAAATATCCACTTGCAGATTCCACAGAAAGAGTGATTGGAAACTGCTGTTTGAAAAGGAACCTTCAACTCTGTGAGTTGAATGCAATCATCACAAAGAAGTTTCTGACAATGCTTCTGTTTTAGTTCTGTGCGGTTTATCCCGTTTCCAACGAAATCCTCAGAGAGGACCAAACATCCACTTGCAGTTTCTACAAAAAGAGTGTTTCAAAGCTGCACTATCAAAGAAAGGTTCAGCACTGTGAGTTGAATGCAAACATCACGAAGAGGGCTCTGAGAATTCTTCTGTTTAGTTCTGTGCGGTTTATCCCGTTTCCAACGAAATCCTCAGAGAGGACCAAATATCCACTTGCAGTTTCTACAAGAAGAGTGTTTCAAAGCTGAACTATCAAAGAAAGGTTCAGCACTGTGAGTTGAATGCAAACATCACGAAGAGGGTTCTGAGAATGCTTCTGTCTTCTTTCTATAGGAAGTTATTTCCTTTACTACGGTAGGCCTCAAAGAAGTGCAATTATCCCCTTGCAGTTTCTACAAAAAGAGTGTTTCAAACCTGAACTATCAAAGAAAGGTTCCACACTGTGAGTTGAATGCAGACATCACGAAGAAGGTTCTGAGAATGCTTCTGTTTAGTCAGCTGAAATTATCCCGTTTCCAACGAATTCCTCAGAGAGGTCCAAATATGCACTTGCAGATTCTGCAGAAAGTGTGTTTCTAAACTGCTACATCGCAAGGAATGTTCAGCTCTGTGAGTTCCACTCAATCATCCCAAAGAATTTTCTGAGAAAGCTTCTGTCTAGATGTCATGTGAAGATATACCCGTTTCGAACGAAGGACACAGAGTGCTCCAAATATCCACTTGTAGATCCTGCAAAAAGAGTGTTTCAAACGTGAACTTTGAAAGGAAAGTTCAACTCTGGGATTTGAATGCAAACATCACAAAGAAGATTCTGAGACTGCTTCTGTATAGTTTTTATGTGAAGATGATTCCGTTTCCAACGAAATCTTCAAAGAGGTCTACATGTCCCCTTGCAGATGCCACAGAAAGAGAGTTTCAAAACTGCGCTCTCAAAAGGAGTGTTCAACTCCGTGAGTTGAATGCAGTCATCACAGAGAAGCTTCTGAGAATGCTTCTATCTAGTATTTAGGTGAAGATATTTCCTTTTCCACCACAAACCACAAAGCCCTCCAAACGTCCACTTGCAGATTCTAGAAAAAGAGTGTTTCATAGCTGCTCTTTCCAAAGGAAAGTTCAACTCTGGGAGTTGAATACAAACATCACCAAAAAGTTCCTGAGAATGCATCTGTCTAGTTTTTCTATGAAGCTATTCCCTTTACTACCATAGGCCTCAAAGCGCTCCAAATCTCCACTTGCACATTCCACAACAAGAGTGTTTCCAAACTGCTCTATCAATAGGAATGTTCAACTCTGTGAGGTGAATGCAATCATCACAAAGCAGTTTCTGAGAATGCTTCCGTTTAGTTAGGTGCAGTTATCCCGTTTCCAACGAAATCCTCAGAGAGGTCCAAATATCCACTTGTAGATTCTACAAAAAGTGTGTCTCAAACCTGCTCCATCCAAAGGAATGGTCAGCTCTGTGATTTAAACTCAATCATCACAAAGTATTTTCTGAGAATGCTTCTGTCTAGATTTTATGCGAAGATATACCCGTTTCGAACGAAGGCCACAGAGTGGTCCAAATAGCCACTTGCAGATCCTACAGAAAGAGTGTTTCAAACCTGAACTATCAAAGGAAGGTTCAACTCTGGGATTTGAATGCAAACATCACCAAGAAGTTTCTGAGAATGCTTCTGTTTAGTTTTTATGTGAAGATATTCCCGTTTCCAAAGACATCTTCGGAGAGGTCCACATATCCACTTGCAGGTTCCACAAAAAGAGAGTTTCAACACTGCTCTATCCATAGGAGGGTTCAACTCTGTGAGTTGAATGCAATCATCACAGAGAAGTTTCTGAGAAGGCTTCTCTCCAGTTTATATGTGACCATAATTCGTTTTCCACCACAGGCCTGAAAGCGCTCCAAATGTCCTCTTGCAGACACTACGAAAAGCATGTTTCAGAACTACTCTATGAGAAGCAATGTGACACTCTGGGAGTTGAACACAAACATCACAGAGAAGTTTCTGAGAATGCTTTTGTTTAGCTTTTCTGTGAGGTTTATCCCTTTTCCAACGAAATCTTCAAAGAGGTCCAAATATCCACTTGCAGATTCCACAGAAAGAGTGTTTGGAAACTGCTGTTTGAAAAGCAACCTTCAACTCTGTGAGTTGAATGCAATCATCACAAAGAAGTTTCTGACAATGCTTCTATCTAGCTTTTACGGGAAGATAATTCCTTTTCCACCACAGGCCTCAAAGCCCTCCAAATGTCCACTTGCAAATTCTGTAAAAAGAGTGTTTCAAAGCTTCTCTCTCGAGAGGAAAGTTCAACTCTGTGAGTTGAATGCAAGCATCACAAAGAAGTTTCTGAGAATGCTACTGTCTAGCTTTTATATGAAGCTATTTCCTTTACTACCATAGGCCTCAAAGCGGTTCATATCTCCACTTGCAGATTCTACACAAAGAGAGTTTCCAAACTGCTCTGTCAAAGGGAATGTTCAACTCTGTGACTTGAATGCAATCATCACAAAGTAGTTTCTGAGAATGCTTCTGTTTAGTTCTGTGCGGTTTATCCCGTTTCCAACGAAATCCTCAGAGAGGCCCAAATATCCACTTGCACATTCTACAAATAGTGTGTTTCGAAACTGCTCCATCCAAAGGAATGTTCAGCTCTGTGAGTTAAACTCAGTCGTCACCAAGAGTTTTCTGTGAATGCTTCTGTTTTAGTTCTGTGCGGGTTATCCCGTTTCCAACGAAATCCTCAGAGAGGTCCAAATATCTACTTGCAGTTTCTACAGAAAGACCGTTTCAAACCTGAACTATCAAAGAAAGGTTCAACACTGTGAGTTGAATGCAAACATCACGAAGAAGGTTCTGAGAATGCTTCTGTTTAGTTCTGTGCAGTTTATCCCGTTTCCAACGAAATCCTCAGAGAGGACCAAATATCCACTTGCAGTTTCTACAAAAAGAGTGTTTCAAAGCTGAACTATCAAAGAAAGGTTCAGCACTGTGAGTTGAATGCAAACATCACGAAGAGGGTTCTGAGAATGCTTCTGTCTTCTTTTTATAGGAAGTTATTTCCTTTACTACGGTACTCCTCAAAGAGTGCAATTATCCCCTTGCAGTTTCTACAGAAAGAGTGTTTCAAACCTGAACTATCAAAGAAAGGTTCCACACTGTGAGTTGAATGCAGACATCACGAAGAAGGTTCTGAGAATGCTTCTGTTTAGTCAGCTGAAATTATCCCGTTTCCAACGAATTCCTCACAGAGGTCCAAATATGCACTTGCAGATTCTGCAGAAAGTGTGTTTCTAAACTGCTACATTGCAAGGAATGCTCAGCTCTGTGAGTTCAACTCAATCATCCCAAAGAATTTTCTGAGAAAGCTTCTGTCTAGATGTCATGTGAAGATATACCCGTTTCGAACGAAGGACACAGAGTGGTCCAAATATCCACTTGTAGATCCTGCAAAAAGAGTGTTTCAAACGTGAACTTTGAAAGGAAAGTTCAACTCGGGGATTTGAATGCAAACATCACAAAGAAGATTCTGAGACTGCTTCTGTATAGTTTTTATGTGAAGATGATTCCGTTTCCAACGAAATCTTCAAAGAGGTCTACATGTCCCCTTGCAGATGCCACAGAAAGAGAGTTTCAAAACTGCGCTCTCAAAAGGAGTGTTCAACTCCGTGAGTTGAATGCAGTCATCACAGAGAAGCTTCTGAGGATGCTTCTATCTAGTATTTAGGTGAAGATATTTCCTTTTCCACCACAAACCACAAAGCCCTCCAAACGTCCACTTGCAGATTCTAGAAAAACAGTGTTTCATAGCTGCTCTTTCCAAAGGAAAGTTCAACTCTGGGAGTTGAATACAAACATCACCAAAAAGTTCCTGAGAATGCATCTGTCTAGTTTTTCTATGAAGCTATTCCCTTTACTACCATAGGCCTCAAAGCGCTCCAAATCTCCACTTGCACATTCCACAACAAGAGTGTTTCCAAACTGCTCTATCAATAGGAATGTTCAACTCTGTGAGGTGAATGCAATCATCACAAAGCAGTTTCTGAGAATGCTTCCGTTTAGTTCGGTGCAGTTATCCCGTTTCCAACGAAATCCTCAGAGAGGTCCAAATATCCACTTGTAGATTCTACAAAAAGTGTGTCTCAAGCCTGCTCCATCCAAAGGAATATTCAGCTCTGTGAGTTAAACTCAATCATCACAAAGTATTTTCTGAGAATGCTTCTGTCTAGATTTTATGCGAAGATATACCCGTTTCGAACGAAGGCCACAGAGTGGTCCAAATATCCACTTGCAGATCCTACAAAAAGAGTGTTTCAAACCTGAACTATCAAAGGAAGGTTCAACTCTGGGATTTGAATGCAAACATCACCAAGAAGTTTCTGAGAATGCTTCTGTTTAGTTTTTATGTGAAGATATTCCCGTTTCCAAAGACATCTTCGGAGAGGTCCACGTATCCACTTGCAGATTCCACAAAAAGAGAGTTTCAACACTGCTCTATCCATAGGAGGGTTCAACTCTGTGAGTTGAATGCAATCATCACAGAGAAGTTTCTGAGAAGGCTTCTCTCCAGTTTTTATGTGACCATAATTCGTTTTCCACCACAGGCCTGAAAGCGCTCCAAATGTCCACTTGTAGACACTACGAAAAGCATGTTTCAGAACTACTCTATGAAAAGCAATGTGAAACTCTGGGAGTTGAACACAAACATCACAGAGAAGTTTCTGAGAATGCTTCTGTTTAGCTTTCCTGTGAAGATTCTCCCGTTTCCAACGAAATCTTCAAAATAGGTCCAAATATCCACTTGCAGATTCCACAGAAAGAGTGATTGGAAACTGCTCTTTGAAAAGGAACCTTCAACTCTGTGAGTTGAATGCAATCATCACAAAGAAGTTTCTGACAATGCTTCTATCTAGCTTTTACGGGAAGATAATTCCTTTTCCACCACAGGCCTCAAAGCCCTCCAAATGTCCACTTGCAGATTCTGGAAAAAGAGTGTTTCAAAGCTTCTCTCTCGAAAGGAAAGTTCAACTCTGTGAGTTGAATGCAAGCATCACAAAGAAGTTTCTGAGAATGCTACTGTCTAGCTTTTATATGAAGCTATTTCCTTTACTACCATAGGCCTCAAAGCGGTCCATATCTCCACTTGCAGATTCTACACAAAGAGAGTTTCCAAACTGCTCTGTCAAAGGGAATGTTCAACTCTGTGACTTGAATGCAATCATCACAAAGTAGTTTCTGAGAATGCTTCTGTTTAGTTCTGTGCGGTTTATCCCGTTTCCATCGAAATCCTCAGAGAGGCCCAAATATCCACTTGCACATTCTACAAATAGTGTGTTTCGAAACTGCTCCATCCAAAGGAATGTTCAGCTCTGTGAGTTAAACTCAGTCGTCACCAAGAGTTTTCTGTGAATGCTTCTGTTTTAGTTCTGTGCGGGTTATCCCGTTTCCAACGAAATCCTCAGAGAGGTCCAAATATCTACTTGCAGTTTCTACAGAAAGACCGTTTCAAACCTGAACTATCAAAGAAAGGTTCAACACTGTGAGTTGAATGCAAACATCACGAAGAAGGTTCTGAGAATGCTTCTGTTTAGTTCTGTGCGGTTTATCCCGTTTCCAACGAAATCCTCAGAGAGGACCAAATATCCACTTGCAGTTTCTACAAGAAGAGTGTTTCAAAGCTGAACTATCAAAGAAAGGTTCAGCACTGTGTGTTGAATGCAAACATCACGAAGAGGGTTCTGAGAATGCTTCTGTCTTCTCTCTATAGGAAGTTATTTCCTTTACTACGGTAGGCCTCAAAGAAGTGCAATTATCCCCTTGCAGTTTCTACAAAAAGAGTGTTTCAAACCTGAACTATCAAAGAAAGGTTCCACACTGTGAGTTGAATGCAGACATCACGAAGAAGGTTCTGAGAATGCTTCTGTTTAGTCAGCTGAAATTATCCCGTTTCCAACGAATTCCTCGGAGAGGTCCAAATATGCACTTGCAGATTCTGCAGAAAGTGTGTTTCTAAACTGCTACATCGCAAGGAATGTTCAGCTCTGTGAGTTCCACTCAATCATCCCAAAGAATTTTCTGAGAAAGCTTCTGTCTAGATGTCATGTGAAGATATACCCGTTTCGAACGAAGGACACAGAGTGGTCCAAATATCCACTTGTAGATCCTGCAAAAAGAGTGTTTCAAACGTGAACTTTGAAAGGAAAGTTCAACTCTGGGATTTGAATGCAAACATCACAAAGAAGATTCTGAGACTGCTTCTGTATAGTTTTTATGTGAAGATGATTCCATTTCCAACGAAATCTTCAAAGAGGTCCACATGTCCCCTTGCGGATGCCACAGAAAGAGAGTTTCAAAACTGCGCTCTCAAAAGGAGTGTTCAACTCCGTGAGTTGAATGCAGTCATCACAGAGAAGCTTCTGAGAATGCTTCTATCTAGTATTTAGGTGAAGATATTTCCTTTTCCACCACAAACCACAAAGCCCTCCAAACGTCCACTTGCAGATTCTAGAAAAAGAGTGTTTCATAGCTGCTCTTTCCAAAGGAAAGTTCAACTCTGGGAGTTGAATACAAACATCACCAAAAAGTTCCCTGAGAATGCATTCTGTCTAGTTTTTCTATGAAGCTATTCCCTTTACTACCATAGGCCTCAAAGCGCTCCAAATCTCCACTTGCACATTCCACAACAAGAGTGTTTCCAAACTGCTCTATCAATAGGAATGTTCAACTCTGTGAGGTGAATGCAATCATCACAAAGCAGTTTCTGAGAATGCTTCCGTTTAGTTAGGTGCAGTTATCCCGTTTCCAACGAAATCCTCAGAGAGGTCCAAATATCCACTTGTAGATTCTACAAAAAGTGTGTCTCAAACCTGCTCCATCCAAAGGAATGTTCAGCTCTGTGAGTTCAACTCAATCATCACAAAGTATTTTCTGAGAATGCTTCTGTCTAGATTTTATGCGAAGATGTACCCGTTTCGAACGAAGGCCACAGAGTGGTCCAAATATCCACTTGCAGATCCTACAAAAAGAGTGTTTCAAACCTGAACTGTCAAAGGAAGGTTCAACTCTGGGATTTGAATGCAAACATCACCAAGAAGTTTCTGAGAATGCTTCTGTTTAGTTATTATGTGAAGATATTCCCGTTTCCAAAGACATCTTCGGAGAGGTCCACATATCCACTTGCAGATTCCACAAAAAGAGAGTTTCAACACTGCTCTATCCATAGGAGGGTTCAACTCTGTGAGTTGAATGCAATCATCACAGAGAAGTTTCTGAGAAAGCTTCTCTCCAGTTTTTATGTGACCATAATTCGTTTTCCACCACAGGACTGGAAGCGCTCCAAATGTCCACTTGTAGACACTACGAAAAGCATGTTTCAGAACTACTCTATGAAAAGCAATGTGAAAGTCTGGGAGTTGAACACAAACATCACAGAGAAGTTTCTGAGAATGCTTCTGTTTAGCTTTTCTGTGAAGATTCTCCCGTTTCCAACGAAATCTTCAAAATAGGTCGAAATATCCACTTGCAGATTCCACAGAAAGAGTGATTGGAAACTGCTCTTTGAAAAGGAACCTTCAACTCTGTGAGTTGAATGCAATCATCACAAAGAAGTTTCTGACAATGCTTCTATCTAGCTTTTACGGGAAGATAATTCCTTTTCCACCACAGGCCTCAAAGCCCTCCAAATGTCCACTTGCACATTCTGGAAAAAGAGTGTTTCAAAGCTTCTCTCTCGAAAGGAAAGTTCAACTCTGTGAGTTGAATGCAAGCATCACAAAGAAGTTTCTGAGAATGCTACTGTCTAGCTTTTATATGAAGCTATTTCCTTTACTACCATAGGCCTCAAAGCGTTCCATATCTCCACTTGCAGATTCTACACAAAGAGAGTTTCCAAACTGCTCTGTCAAAGGGAATGTTCAACTCTGTGACTTGAGTGCAATCATCACAAAGTAGTTTCTGAGAATGCTTCTGTTTAGTTCTGTGCGGTTTATCCCGTTTCCAACGAAATCCTCAGAGAGGCCCAAATATCCACTTGCACATTCTACAAATAGTGTGTTTCGAAACTGCTCCATCCAAAGGAATGTTCAGCTCTGTGAGTTAAACTCATTCGTCACCAAGAGTTTTCTGTGAATGCTTCTGTTTTAGTTCTGTGCGGGTTATCCCGTTTCCAACGAAATCCTCAGAGAGGTCCAAATATCTACTTGCAGTTTCTACAGAAAGACCGTTTCAAACCTGAACTATCAAAGAAAGGTTCAACACTGTGAGTTGAATGCAAACATCACGAAGAAGGTTCTGAGAATGCTTCTGTTTAGTTCTGTGCAGTTTATCCCGTTTCCAACGAAATCCTCAGAGAGGACCAAATATCCACTTGCACTTTCTACAAAAAGAGTGTTTCAAAGCTGAACTATCAAAGAAAGGTTCAGCACTGTGAGTTGAATGCAAACATCACGAAGAGGGTTCTGAGAATGCTTCTGTCTTCTTTTTATAGGAAGTTATTTCCTTTACTACGGTACTCCTCAAAGAGTGCAATTATCCCCTTGCAGTTTCTACAAAAAGAGTGTTTCAAACCTGAACTATCAAAGAAAGGTTCCACACTGTGAGTTGAATGCAGACATCACGAAGAAGGTTCTGAGAATGCTTCTGTTTAGTCAGCTGAAATTATCCCGTTTCCAACGAATTCCTCACAGAGGTCCAAATATGCACTTGCAGATTCTGCAGAAAGTGTGTTTCTAAACTGCTACATCGCAAGGAATGCTCAGCTCTGTGAGTTCAACTCAATCATCCCAAAGAATTTTCTGAGAAAGCTTCTGTCTAGATGTCATGTGAAGATATACCCGTTTCGAACGAAGGACACAGAGTGGTCCAAATATCCACTTGTAGATCCTGCAAAAAGAGTGTTTCAAACGTGAACTTTGAAAGGAAAGTTCAACTCGGGGATTTGAATGCAAACATCACAAAGAAGATTCTGAGACTGCTTCTGTATAGTTTTTATGTGAAGATGATTCCGTTTCCAACGAAATCTTCAAAGAGGTCTACATGTCCCCTTGCAGATGCCACAGAAAGAGAGTTTCAAAACTGCGCTCTCAAAAGGAGTGTTCAACTCCGTGAGTTGAATGCAGTCATCACAGAGAAGCTTCTGAGAATGCTTCTATCTAGTATTTAGGTGAAGATATTTCCTTTTCCACCACAAACCACAAAGCCCTCCAAACGTCCACTTGCAGATTCTAGAAAAACAGTGTTTCATAGCTGCTCTTTCCAAAGGAAAGTTCAACTCTGGGAGTTGAATACAAACATCACCAAAAAGTTCCTGAGAATGCATCTGTCTAGTTTTTCTATGAAGCTATTCCCTTTACTACCATAGGCCTCAAAGCGCTCCAAATCTCCACTTGCACATTCCACAACAAGAGTGTTTCCAAACTGCTCTATCAATAGGAATGTTCAACTCTGTGAGGTGAATGCAATCATCACAAAGCAGTTTCTGAGAATGCTTCCGTTTAGTTAGGTGCAGTTATCCCGTTTCCAACGAAATCCTCAGAGAGGTCCAAATATCCACTTGTAGATTCTACAAAAAGTGTGTCTCAAACCTGCTCCATCCAAAGGAATGTTCAGCTCTGTGAGTTAAACTCAATCATCACAAAGTATTTTCTGAGAATGCTTCTGTCTAGATTTTATGCGAAGATATACCCGTTTCGAACGAAGGCCACAGAGTGGTCCAAATATCCACTTGCAGATCCTACAAAAAGAGTGTTTCAAACCTGAACTATCAAAGGAAGGTTCAACTCTGGGATTTGAATGCAAACATCACCAAGAAGTTTCTGAGAATGCTTCTGTTTAGTTTTTATGTGAAGATATTCCCGTTTCCAAAGACATCTTCGGAGAGGTCCACATAGCCACTTGCAGATTCCACAAAAAGAGAGTTTCAACACTGCTCTATCCATAGGAGGGTTCAACTCTGTGAGTTGAATGCAATCATCACAGAGAAGTTTCTGAGAAGGCTTCTCTCCAGTTTTTATGTGACCATAATTCGTTTTCCACCACAGGCCTGAAAGCGCTCCAAATGTCCACTTGTAGACACTACGAAAAGCATGTTTCAGAACTACTCTATGAAAAGCAATGTGAAACTCTGGGAGTTGAACACAAACATCACAGAGAAGTTTCTGAGAATGCTTCTGTTTAGCTTTCCTGTGAAGATTCTCCCGTTTCCAACGAAATCTTCAAAATAGGTCCAAATATCCACTTGCAGATTCCACAGAAAGAGTGATTGGAAACTGCTCTTTGAAAAGGAACCTTCAACTCTGTGAGTTGAATGCAATCATCACAAAGAAGTTTCTGACAATGCTTCTATCTAGCTTTTACGGGAAGATAATTCCTTTTCCACCACAGGCCTCAAAGCCCTCCAAATGTCCACTTGCAGATTCTGGAAAAAGAGTGTTTCAAAGCTTCTCTCTCGAAAGGAAAGTTCAACTCTGTGAGTTGAATGCAAGCATCACAAAGAAGTTTCTGAGAATGCTACTGTCTAGCTTTTATATGAAGCTATTTCCTTTACTACCATAGGCCTCAAAGCGGTCCATATCTCCACTTGCAGATTCTACACAAAGAGAGTTTCCAAACTGCTCTGTCAAAGGGAATGTTCAACTCTGTGACTTGAATGCAATCATCACAAAGTAGTTTCTGAGAATGCTTCTGTTTAGTTCTGTGCGGTTTATCCCGTTTCCAACGAAATCCTCAGAGAGGCCTAAATATCCACTTGCACATTCTACAAATAGTGTGTTTCGAAACTGCTCCATCCAAAGGAATGTTCAGCTCTGTGAGTTAAACTCAGTCGTCACCAAGAGTTTTCTGTGAATGCTTCTGTTTTAGTTCTGTGCGGGTTATCCCGTTTCCAACGAAATCCTCAGAGAGGTCCAAATATCTACTTGCAGTTTCTACAGAAAGACCGTTTCAAACCTGAACTATCAAAGAAAGGTTCAACACTGTGAGTTGAATGCAAACATCACGAAGAAGGTTCTGAGAATGCTTCTGTTTAGTTCTGTGCGTTTTATCCCTTTTCCAACGAAATCCTCAGAGAGGACCAAATATCCATTTGCAGTTTCTACAAAAAGAGTGTTTCAAAGCTGAACTATCAAAGAAAGGTTCAGCACTGTGAGTTGACTGCAAACATCACGAAGAGGGTTCTGAGAATGCTTCTGTCTTCTTTTTATAGGAAGTTATTTCCTTTACTACGGTACTCCTCAAAGAGTGCAATTATCCCCTTGCAGTTTCTACAAAAAGAGTGTTTCAAACCTGAACTATCAAAGAAAGGTTCCACACTGTGAGTTGAATGCAGACATCACGAAGAAGGTTCTGAGAATGCTTCTGTTTAGTCAGCTGAAATTATCCCGTTTCCAACGAATTCCTCACAGAGGTCCAAATATGCACTTGCAGATTCTGCAGAAAGTGTGTTTCTAAACTGCTACATCGCAAGGAATGCTCAGCTCTGTGAGTTCAACTCAATCATCCCAAAGAATTTTCTGAGAAAGCTTCTGTCTAGATGTCATGTGAAGATATACCCGTTTCGAACGAAGGACACAGAGTGGTCCAAATATCCACTTGTAGATCCTGCAAAAAGAGTGTTTCAAACGTGAACTTGGAAAGGAAAGTTCAACTCTGGGATTTGAATGCGAAACATCACAAAGAAGATTCTGAGACTGCTTCTGTATAGTTTTTATGTGTTAGATGATTCCGTTTCCAACGAAATCTTCAAAGAGGTCTACATGTCCCCTTGCAGATGCCACAGAAAGAGAGTTTCAAAACTGCGCTCTCAAAAGGAGTGTTCAACTCCGTGAGTTGAATGCAGTCATCACAGAGAAGCTTCTGAGAATGCTTCTATCTAGTATTTAGGTGAAGATATTTCCTTTTCCACCACAAACCACAAAGCCCTCCAAACGTCCACTTGCAGATTCTAGAAAAAGAGTGTTTCATAGCTGCTCTTTCCAAAGGAAAGTTCAACTCTGGGAGTTGAATACAAACATCACCAAAAAGTTACCTGAGAATGCATCTGTCTAGTTTTTCTATGAAGCTATTCCCTTTACTACCATAGGCCTCAAAGCGCTCCAAATCTCCACTTGCACATTCCACAACAAGAGTGTTTCCAAACTGCTCTATCAATAGGAATGTTCAACTCTGTGAGGTGAATGCAATCATCACAAAGCAGTTTCTGAGAATGCTTCCGTTTAGTTAGGTGCAGTTATCCCGTTTCCAACGAAATCCTCAGAGAGGTCCAAAT
Organism: Homo sapiens; assembly: GCF_000001405.40. Taxonomy (NCBI): domain Eukaryota; kingdom Metazoa; phylum Chordata; class Mammalia; order Primates; family Hominidae; genus Homo; species Homo sapiens. The sequence goes on along the minus strand of NC_000017.11, from coordinate 23,355,832 downwards.
ATCCACTTGTAGATTCTACAAAAGGTGTGTCTCAAACCTGCTCCATCCAAAGGAATGTTCAGCTCTGTGAGTTAAACTCAATCATCACAAAGTATTTTCTGAGAATGCTTCTGTCTAGATTTTATGCGAAGATATACCCGTTTCGAACGAAGGCCACAGAGTGGTCCAAATATCCACTTGCAGATCCTACAAAAAGAGTGTTTCAAACCTGAACTATCAAAGGAAGGTTCAACTCTGGGATTTGAATGCAAACATCACCAAGAAGTTTCTGAGAATGCTTCTGTTTAGTTTTTATGTGAAGATATTCCCGTTTCCAAAGACATCTTCGGAGAGGTCCACATATCCACTTGCAGATTCCACAAAAAGAGAGTTTCAACACTGCTCTATCCATAGGAGGGTTCAACTCTGTGAGTTGAATGCAATCATCACAGAGAAGTTTCTGAGAAGGCTTCTCTCCAGTTTTTATGTGACCATAATTCGTTTTCCACCACAGGCCTGAAAGCGCTCCAAATGTCCACTTGCAGACACTACGAAAAGCATGTTTCAGAACTACTCTATGAAAAGCAATGTGAAACTCTGGGAGTTGAACACAAACATCACAGAGAAGTTTCTGAGAATGCTTCTGTTTAGCTTTTCTGTGAAGATTCTCCCGTTTCCAACGAAATCTTCAAAGAGGTCCAAATATCCACTTACAGATTCCACAGAAAGAGTGATTGGAAACTGCTGTTTGAAAGGGAACCTTCAACTCTGTGAGTTGAATGCAATCATCACAAAGAAGTTTCTGACAATGCTTCTATCTAGCTTTTTCGGGAAGATAATTCCTTTTCCACCACAGGCCACAAAGCCCTCCAAATGTCCACTTGCAGATTCTGGAAAAAGAGTGTTTCAAAGCTTCTCTCTCGAAAGGAAAGTTCAACTCTGTGAGTTGAATGCAAGCATCACAAAGAAGTTTCTGAGAATGCTACTGTCTAGCTTTTATATGAAGCTATTTCCTTTACTACCATAGGCCTCAAAGCGGTCCATATCTCCACTTGCAGATTCTACACAAAGAGAGTTTCCAAACTGCTCTGTCAAAGGGAATGTTCAACTCTGTGACTTGAATGCAATCATCACAAAGTAGTTTCTGAGAATGCTTCTGTTTAGTTCTGTGCGGTTTATCCCGTTTCCAACGAAATCCTCAGAGAGGCCTAAATATCCACTTGCACATTCTACAAATAGTGTGTTTCGAAACTGCTCCATCCAAAGGAATGTTCAGCTCTGTGAGTTAAACTCAGTCGTCACCAAGAGTTTTCTGTGAATGCTTCTGTTTTAGTTCTGTGCGGGTTATCCCGTTTCCAACGAAATCCTCAGAGAGGTCCAAATATCTACTTGCAGTTTCTACAGAAAGACCGTTTCAAACCTGAACTATCAAAGAAAGGTTCAACACTGTGAGTTGAATGCAAACATCACGAAGAAGGTTCTGAGAATGCTTCTGTTTAGTTCTGTGCAGTTTATCCCGTTTCCAACGAAATCCTCAGAGAGGACCAAATATCCACTTGCAGTTTCTACAAAAAGAGTGTTTCAAAGCTGAACTATCAAAGAAAGGTTCAGCACTGTGAGTTGAATGCAAACATCACGAAGAGGGTTCTGAGAATGCTTCTGTCTTCTTTTTATAGGAAGTTATTTCCTTTACTACGGTACTCCTCAAAGAGTGCAATTATCCCCTTGCAGTTTCTACAAAAAGAGTGTTTCAAACCTGAACTATCAAAGAAAGGTTCCACACTGTGAGTTGAATGCAGACATCACGAAGAAGGTTCTGAGAATGCTTCTGTTTAGTCAGCTGAAATTATCCCGTTTCCAACGAATTCCTCACAGAGGTCCAAATATGCACTTGCAGATTCTGCAGAAAGTGTGTTTCTAAACTGCTACATCGCAAGGAATGCTCAGCTCTGTGAGTTCAACTCAATCATCCCAAAGAATTTTCTGAGAAAGCTTCTGTCTAGATGTCATGTGAAGATATAACCGTTTCGAACGAAGGACACAGAGTGGTCCAAATATCCACTTGTAGATCCTGCAAAAAGAGTGTTTCAAACGTGAACTTTGAAAGGAAAGTTCAACTCGGGGATTTGAATGCAAACATCACAAAGAAGATTCTGAGACTGCTTCTGTATAGTTTTTATGTGAAGATGATTCCGTTTCCAACGAAATCTTCAAAGAGGTCTACATGTCCCCTTGCAGATGCCACAGAAAGAGAGTTTCAAAACTACGCTCTCAAAAGGAGTGTTCAACTCCGTGAGTTGAATGCAGTCATCACAGAGAAGCTTCTGAGAATGCTTCTATCTAGTATTTAGGTGAAGATATTTCCTTTTCCACCACAAACCACAAAGCCCTCCAAACGTCCACTTGCAGATTCTAGAAAAAGAGTGTTTCATAGCTGCTCTTTCCAAAGGAAAGTTCAACTCTGGGAGTTGAATACAAACATCACCAAAAAGTTCCTGAGAATGCATCTATCTAGTTTTTCTATGAAGCTATTCCCTTTACTACCATAGGCCTCAAAGCGCTCCAAATCTCCACTTGCACATTCCACAACAAGAGTGTTTCCAAACTGCTTCTATCAATAGGAATGTTCAACTCTGTGAGGTGAATGCAATCATCACAAAGCAGTTTCTGAGAATGCTTCCGTTTAGTTAGGTGCAGTTATCCCGTTTCCAACGAAATCCTCAGAGAGGTCCAAATATCCACTTGTAGATTCTACAAAAAGTGTGTCTCAAACCTGCTCCATCCAATGGAATGTTCAGCTCTGTGAGTTCAACTCAATCATCACAAAGTATTTTCTGAGAATGCTTCTGTCTAGATTTTATGCGAAGATATACCCGTTTCGAACGAAGGCCACAGAGTGGTCCAAATAGCCACTTGCAGATCCTACAAAAAGAGTGTTTCAAACCTGAACTATCAAAGGAAGGTTCAACTCTGGGATTTGAATGCAAACATCACCAAGAAGTTTCTGAGAATGCTTCTGTTTAGTTTTTATGTGAAGATATTCCCGTTTCCAAAGACATCTTCGGAGAGGTCCACATATCCACTTGCAGATTCCACAAAAAGAGAGTTTCAACACTGCTCTATCCATAGGAGGGTTCAACTCTGTGAGTTGAATGCAATCATCACAGAGAAGTTTCTGAGAAGGCTTCTCTCCAGTTTTTATGTGACCATAATTCGTTTTCCACCACAGGCCTGAAAGCGCTCCAAATGTCCACTTGCAGACACTACGAAAAGCATGTTTCAGAACTACTCTATGAAAAGCAATGTGAAACTCTGGGAGTTGAACACAAACATCACAGAGAAGTTTCTGAGAATGCTTCTGTTTAGCTTTTCTGTGAAGATTATCCCGTTTCCAACGAAATCTTCAAAATAGGTCCAAATATCCACTTGCAGATTCCACAGAAAGAGTGATTGGAAACTGCTCTTTGAAAAGGAACCTTCAACTCTGTGAGTTGAATGCAATCATCACAAAGAAGTTTCTGACAATGCTTCTATCTAGCTTTTACGGGAAGATAATTCCTTTTCCACCACAGGCCTCAAAGCCCTCCAAATGTCCACTTGCACATTCTGGAAAAAGAGTGTTTCAAAGCTTCTCTCTCGAAAGGAAAGTTCAACTCTGTGAGTTGAATGCAAGCATCACAAAGAAGTTTCTGAGAATGCTGCTGTCTAGCTTTTATATGAAGCTATTTCCTTTACTACCATAGGCCTCAAAGCGGTCCATATCTCCACTTGCAGATTCTACGCAAAGAGAGTTTCCAAACTGCTCTGTCAAAGGGAATGTTCTACTCTGTGACTTGAATGTAATCATCACAAAGTAGTTTCTGAGAATGCTTCTGTTTAGTTCTGTGCGGTTTATCCCGTTTCCATCGAAATCCTCAGAGAGGCCCACATATCCACTTGCACATTCTACAAATAGTGTGTTTCGAAACTGCTCCATCCAAAGGAATGTTCAGTTCTGTGAGTTAAACTCAGTCGTCACCAAGAGTTTTCTTTGAATGCTTCTGTTTAGTTCTGTGCGTTTTATCCCTTTTCCAAAGAAATCCTCAGAGAGGACCAAATATCCATTTGCAGTTTCTACAAAAAGAGTGTTTCAAAGCTGAACTATCAAAGAAAGGTTCAGCACTGTGAGTTGAATGCAAACATCACGAAGAGGGTTCTGAGAATGCTTCTGTCTTCTTTTTAGAGGAAGTTATTTCCTTTACTACGGTACTCCTCAAAGAGTGCAATTATCCCCTTGCAGTTTCTACAAAAAGAGTGTTTCAAACCTGAACTATCAAGGAAAGGTTCCACACTGTGAGTTGAATGCAGACATCACGAAGAAGGTTCTGAGAATGCTTCTGTTTAGTCAGCTGAAATTATCCCGTTTCCAACGAATTCCTCAGAGAGGTCCAAATATGCACTTGCAGATTCTGCAGAAAGTGTGTTTCTAAACTGCTACATCGCAAGGAATGCTCAGCTCTGTGAGTTCAAGTCAATCATCCCAAACAATTTTCTGAGAAAGCTTCTGTCTAGTATGTCATGTGAAGATATACCCGTTTCGAACGAAGGACACAGAGTGGTCCAAATATCCACTTGTAGATCCTGCAAAAAGAGTGTTTCAAACGTGAACTTTGAAAGGAAAGTTCAACTCTGGGATTTGAATGCAAACATCACAAAGAAGATTCTGAGACTGCTTCTGTATAGTTTTTATGTGAAGATGATTCCGTTTCCAACGAAATCTTCAAAGAGGTCTACATGTCCCCTTGCAGATGCCACAGAAAGAGAGTTTCAAAACTGCGCTCTCAAAAGGAGTGTTCAACTCCCTGAGTTGAATGCAGTCATCACAGAGAAGCTTCTGAGAATGCTTCTATCTAGTATTTAGGTGAAGATATTTCCTTTTCCACCACAAACCACAAAGCCCTCCAAACGTCCACTTGCAGATTCTAGAGAAACAGTGTCTCATAGCTGCTCTTTCCAAAGGAAAGTTCAACTCTGGGAGTTGAATACAAACATCACCAAAAAGTTCCTGAGAATGCATCTGTCTAGTTTTTCTATGAAGCTATTCCCTTTACTACCATAGGCCTCGAAGCGCTCCAAATCTCCACTTGCACATTCCACAACAAGAGTGTTTCCAAACTGCTCTATCAATAGAAATGTTCAACTCTGTGAGGTGAATGCAATCATCACAAAGCAGTTTCTGAGAATGCTCCGTTTAGTTAGGTGCAGTTATCCCGTTTCCAACGAAATCCTCAGAGAGGTCCAAATATCCACTTGTAGATTCTACAAAAAGTGTGTCTCAAACCTGCTCCATCCAAAGGAATGGTCAGCTCTGTGATTTAAACTCAATCATCACAAAGTATTTTCTGAGAATGCTTTCTGTCTAGATTTTATGCGAAGATATACCCGTTTCGAACGAAGGCCACAGAGTGGTCCAAATAGCCACTTGCAGATCCTACAGAAAGAGTGTTTCAAACCTGAACTATCAAAGGAAGGTTCAACTCTGGGATTTGAATGCAAACATCACCAAGAAGTTTCTGAGAATGCTTCTGTTTAGTTTTTATGTGAAGATATTCCCGTTTCCAAAGACATCTTCGGAGAGGTCCACATATCCACTTGCAGATTCCACAAAAAGAGAGTTTCAACACTGCTCTATCCATAGGAGGGTTCAACTCTGTGAGTTGAATGCAATCATCACAGAGAAGTTTCTGAGAAGGCTTCTCTCCAGTTTTTATGTGACCATAATTCGTTTTCCACCACAGGCCTGAAAGCGCTCCAAATGTCCACTTGCAGACACTACGAAAAGCATGTTTCAGAACTACTCTATGAAAAGCAACGTGAAACTCTGGGAGTTGAACACAAACATCACAGAGAAGTTTCTGAGAATGCTTCCGTTTAGCTTTTCTGTGAAGATTCTCCCGTTTCCAACGAAATCTTCAAAGAGGTCGAAATATCCACTTGCAGATTCCACAGAAAGAGTGATTGGAAACTGCTGTTTGAAAAGGAACCTTCAACTCTGTGAGTTGAATGCAATCATCACAAAGAAGTTTCTGACAATGCTTCTATCTAGCTTTTACGGGAAGATAATTCCTTTTCCTCCACAGGCCTCAAAGCTCCCCAAATGTCCACTTGCACATTCTGGAAAAAGAGTGTTTCAAAGCTTCTCTCTCGAAAGGAAAGTTCAACTCTGTGAGTTGAATGCAAGCATCACAAAGAAGTTTCTGAGAATGCTACTGTCTAGGTTTTATATGAAGCTATTTCCTTTACTACCATAGGCCTCAAAGCGGTCCATATCTCCACTTGCAGATTCTACACAAAGAGAGTTTCCAAACTGCTCTGTCAAAGGGAATGTTCAACTCTGTGACTTGAATGCAATCATCACAAAGTAGTTTCTGAGAATGCTTCTGTTTTAGTTCTGTGCGTTTTATCCCGTTTCCAACGAAATCCTCAGAGAGGCCCAAATATCCACTTGCAGATTCTACAAATAGTGTGTTTCGAAACTGCTCCATCCAAAGGAATGTTCAGCTCTGTGAGTTAAACTCAGTCGTCACCAAGAGTTTTCTGTGAATGCTTCTGTTTTAGTTCTGTGCGGTTTATCCCGTTTCCAACGAAATCCTCAGAGAGGACCAAACATCCACTTGCAGTTTCTACAAAAAGAGTGTTTCAAAGCTGCACTATCAAAGAAAGGTTCAGCACTGTGAGTTGAATGCAAACATCACGAAGAGGGCTCTGAGAATTCTTCTGTTTAGTTCTGTGCGGTTTATCCCGTTTCCAACGAAATCCTCAGAGAGGACCAAATATCCACTTGCAGTTTCTACAAGAAGAGTGTTTCAAAGCTGAACTATCAAAGAAAGGTTCAGCACTGTGAGTTGAATGCAAACATCACGAAGAGGGTTCTGAGAATGCTTCTGTCTTCTTTCTATAAGAAGTTATTTCCTTTACTACGGTAGGCCTCAAAGAAGTGCAATTATCCCCTTGCAGTTTCTACAAAAAGAGTGTTTCAAACCTGAACTATCAAAGAAAGGTTCCACACTGTGAGTTGAATGCAGACATCACGAAGAAGGTTCTGAGAATGCTTCTGTTTAGTCAGCTGAAATTATCCCGTTTCCAACGAATTCCTCAGAGAGGTCCAAATATGCACTTGCAGATTCTGCAGAAAGTGTGTTTCTAAACTGCTACATCGCAAGGAATGTTCAGCTCTGTGAGTTCCACTCAATCATCCCAAAGAATTTTCTGAGAAAGCTTCTGTCTAGATGTCGTGTGAAGATATACCCGTTTCGAACGAAGGACACAGAGTGGTCCAAATATCCACTTGTAGATCCTGCAAAAAGAGTGTTTCAAACGTGAACTTTGAAAGGAAAGTTCAACTCTGGGATTTGAATGCAAACATCACAAAGAAGATTCTGAGACTGCTTCTGTATAGTTTTTATGTGAAGATGATTCCGTTTCCAACGAAATCTTCAAAGAGGTCTACATGTCCCCTTGCAGATGCCACAGAAAGAGAGTTTCAAAACTGCGCTCTCAAAAGGAGTGTTCAACTCCGTGAGTTGAATGCAGTCATCACAGAGAAGCTTCTGAGAATGCTTCTATCTAGTATTTAGGTGAAGATATTTCCTTTTCCACCACAAACCACAAAGCCCTCCAAACGTCCACTTGCAGATTCTAGACAAAGAGTGTTTCATAGCTGCTCTTTCCAAAGGAAAGTTCAACTCTGGGAGTTGAATACAAACATCACCAAAAAGTTCCTGAGAATGCATCTGTCTAGTTTTTCTATGAAGCTATTCCCTTTACTACCATAGGCCTCAAAGCGCTCCAAATCTCCACTTGCACATTCCACAACAAGAGTGTTTCCAAACTGCTCTATCAATAGGAATGTTCAACTCTGTGAGGTGAATGCAATCATCACAAAGCAGTTTCTGAGAATGCTTCCGTTTAGTTAGGTGCAGTTATCCCGTTTCCAACGAAATCCTCAGAGAGGTCCAAATATCCACTTGTAGATTCTACAAAAAGTGTGTCTCAAACCTGCTCCATCCAAAGGAATGGTCAGCTCTGTGATTTAAACTCAATCATCACAAAGTATTTTCTGAGAATGCTTCTGTCTAGATTTTATGCGAAGATATACCCGTTTCGAACGAAGGCCACAGAGTGGTCCAAATAGCCACTTGCAGATCCTACAGAAAGAGTGTTTCAAACCTGAACTATCAAAGGAAGGTTCAACTCTGGGATTTGAATGCAAACATCACCAAGAAGTTTCTGAGAATGCTTCTGTTTAGTTTTTATGTGAAGATATTCCCGTTTCCAAAGACATCTTCGGAGAGGTCCACATATCCACTTGCAGATTCCACAAAAAGAGAGTTTCAACACTGCTCTATCCATAGGAGGGTTCAACTCTGTGAGTTGAATGCAATCATCACAGAGAAGTTTCTGAGAAGGCTTCTCTCCAGTTTTTATGTGACCATAATTCGTTTTCCACCACAGGCCTGAAAGCGCTCCAAATGTCCACTTGCAGACACTACGAAAAGCATGTTTCAGAACTACTCTATGAAAAGCAACGTGAAACTCTGGGAGTTGAACACAAACATCACAGAGAAGTTTCTGAGAATGCTTCTGTTTTAGTTCTGTGCGTTTTATCCCGTTTCCAACGAAATCCTCAGAGAGGCCCAAATATCCACTTGCAGATTCCACAGAAAGAGTGATTGGAAACTGCTGTTTGAAAAGGAACCTTCAACTCTGTGAGTTGAATGCAATCATCACAAAGAAGTTTCTGACAATGCTTCTGTTTTAGTTCTGTGCGGTTTATCCCGTTTCCAACGAAATCCTCAGAGAGGACCAAATATCCACTTGCAGTTTCTACAAAAAGAGTGTTTCAAAGCTGCACTATCAAAGAAAGGTTCAGCACTGTGAGTTGAATGCAAACATCACGAAGAGGGCTCTGAGAATGCTTCCGTTTTAGTTCTGTGCGGTTTATCCCGTTTCCAACGAAATCCTCAGAGAGGTCCAAATATCTACTTGCATTTTCTACAGAAAGACCGTTTCAAACCTGAACTATCAAGGAACGGTTCAACACTGTGAGTTGAATGCAAACATCACGAAGAAGGTTCTGAGAATGCTTCTGTCTTCTTTCTATAGGAAGTTATTTCCTTTACTACGGTAGGCCTCAAAGAAGTGCAATTATCCCCTTGCAGTTTCTACAAAAAGAGTGTTTCAAACCTGAACTATCAAAGAAAGGTTCCACACTGTGAGTTGAATGCAGACATCACGAAGAAGGTTCTGAGAATGCTTCTGTTTAGTCAGCTGAAATTATCCCGTTTCCAACGAATTCCTCAGAGAGGTCCAAATATGCACTTGCAGATTCTGCAGAAAGTGTGTTTCTAAACTGCTACATCGCAAGGAATGTTCAGCTCTGTGAGTTCCACTCAATCATCCCAAAGAATTTTCTGAGAAAGCTTCTGTCTAGATGTCGTGTGAAGATATACCCGTTTCGAACGAAGGACACAGAGTGGTCCAAATATCCACTTGTAGATCCTGCAAAAAGAGTGTTTCAAACGTGAACTTTGAAAGGAAAGTTCAACTCTGGGATTTGAATGCAAACATCACAAAGAAGATTCTGAGACTGCTTCTGTATAGTTTTTATGTGAAGATGATTCCGTTTCCAACGAAATCTTCAAAGAGGTCTACATGTCCCCTTGCAGATGCCACAGAAAGAGAGTTTCAAAACTGCGCTCTCAAAAGGAGTGTTCAACTCCGTGAGTTGAATGCAGTCATCACAGAGAAGCTTCTGAGAATGCTTCTATCTAGTATTTAGGTGAAGATATTTCCTTTTCCACCACAAACCACAAAGCCCTCCAAACGTCCACTTGCAGATTCTAGAAAAAGAGTGTTTCATAGCTGCTCTTTCCAAAGGAAAGTTCAACTCTGGGAGTTGAATACAAACATCACCAAAAAGTTCCTGAGAATGCATCTGTCTAGTTTTTCTATGAAGCTATTCCCTTTACTACCATAGGCCTCAAAGCGCTCCAAATCTCCACTTGCACATTCCACAACAAGAGTGTTTCCAAACTGCTCAATCAATAGGAATGTTCAACTCTGTGAGGTGAATGCAATCATCACAAAGCAGTTTCTGAGAATGCTTCCGTTTAGTTAGGTGCAGTTATCCCGTTTCCAACGAAATCCTCAGAGAGGTCCAAATATCCACTTGTAGATTCTACAAAAAGTGTGTCTCAAACCTGCTCCATCCAAAGGAATGGTCAGCTCTGTGATTTAAACTCAATCATCACAAAGTATTTTCTGAGAATGCTTTCTGTCTAGATTTTATGCGAAGATATACCCGTTTCGAACGAAGGCCACAGAGTGGTCCAAATAGCCACTTGCAGATCCTACAGAAAGAGTGTTTCAAACCTGAACTATCAAAGGAAGGTTCAACTCTGGGATTTGAATGCAAACATCACCAAGAAGTTTCTGAGAATGCTTCTGTTTAGTTTTTATGTGAAGATATTCCCGTTTCCAAAGACATCTTCGGAGAGGTCCACATATCCACTTGCAGATTCCACAAAAAGAGAGTTTCAACACTGCTCTATCCATAGGAGGGTTCAACTCTGTGAGTTGAATGCAATCATCACAGAGAAGTTTCTGAGAAGGCTTCTCTCCAGTTTTTATGTGACCATAATTCGTTTTCCACCACAGGCCTGAAAGCGCTCCAAATGTCCACTTGCAGACACTACGAAAAGCATGTTTCAGAACTACTCTATGAAAAGCAACGTGAAACTCTGGGAGTTGAACACAAACATCACAGAGAAGTTTTCTGAGAATGCTTCTGTTTTAGTTCTGTGCGTTTTATCCCGTTTCCAACGAAATCCTCAGAGAGGCCCAAATATCCACTTGCAGATTCCACAGAAAGAGTGATTGGAAACTGCTGTTTGAAAAGGAACCTTCAACTCTGTGAGTTGAATGCAATCATCACAAAGAAGTTTCTGACAATGCTTCTGTTTTAGTTCTGTGCGGTTTATCCCGTTTCCAACGAAATCCTCAGAGAGGACCAAACATCCACTTGCAGTTTCTACAAAAAGAGTGTTTCAAAGCTGCACTATCAAAGAAAGGTTCAGCACTGTGAGTTGAATGCAAACATCACGAAGAGGGCTCTGAGAATTCTTCTGTTTAGTTCTGTGCGGTTTATCCCGTTTCCAACGAAATCCTCAGAGAGGACCAAATATCCACTTGCAGTTTCTACAAGAAGAGTGTTTCAAAGCTGAACTATCAAAGAAAGGTTCAGCACTGTGAGTTGAATGCAAACATCACGAAGAGGGTTCTGAGAATGCTTCTGTCTTCTTTCTATAGGAAGTTATTTCCTTTACTACGGTAGGCCTCAAAGAAGTGCAATTATCCCCTTGCAGTTTCTACAAAAAGAGTGTTTCAAACCTGAACTATCAAAGAAAGGTTCCACACTGTGAGTTGAATGCAGACATCACGAAGAAGGTTCTGAGAATGCTTCTGTTTAGTCAGCTGAAATTATCCCGTTTCCAACGAATTCCTCAGAGAGGTCCAAATATGCACTTGCAGATTCTGCAGAAAGTGTGTTTCTAAACTGCTCCATCGCAAGGAATGTTCAGCTCTGTGAGTTCAACTCAATCATCACAAAGAATTTTCTGAGAAAGGTTCTGTCTAGATGTCATGTGAAGATATACCCGTTTCGAACGAAGGACACAGAGTGGTCCAAATATCCACTTGTAGATCCTGCAAAAAGAGTGTTTCAAACGTGAACTTTGAAAGGAAAGTTCAACTCTGGGATTTGAATGCAAACATCACAAAGAAGATTCTGAGACTGCTTCTGTATAGTTTTGATGTGAAGATGATTCCGTTTCCAACGAAATCTTCAAAGAGGTCTACATGTCCCCTTGCAGATGCCACTGAAAGAGAGTTTCAAAACTGCGCTCTCAAAAGGAGTGTTCAACTCCGTGAGTTGAATGCAGTCATCACAGAGAAGCTTCTGAGAATGTTTCTATCTAGTATTTAGGTGAAGATATTTCCTTTTCCACCACAAACCACAAAGCCCTCCAAACGTCCACTTGCAGATTCTAGAAAAAGAGGGTTTCATAGCTGCTCTTTCCAAAGGAATGTTCAACTCTGGGAGTTGAATACAAACATCACCAAAAAGTTCCAGAGAATGCATCTGTCTAGTTTTTCTATGAAGCTATTCCCTTTACTTCCACAGGCCTCAAAGCGCTCCAAATCTCCACTTGCACATTCCACAACAAGAGTGTTTCCAAACTGCTCTATCAATAGGAATGTTCAACTCTGTGAGGTGAATGCAATCATCACAAAGCAGTTTCTGAGAATGCTTCCGTTTAGTTAGGTGCAGTTATCCCGTTTCCAACGAAATCCTCAGAGAGGTCCAAATATCCACTTGTAGATTCTACAAAAAGTGTGTCTCAAACCTGCTCCATCCAAAGGAATGGTCAGCTCTGTGATTTAAACTCAATCATCACAAAGTATTTTCTGAGAATGCTTCTGTCTAGATTTTATGCGAAGATATACCCGTTTCGAACGAAGGCCACAGAGTGGTCCAAATAGCCACTTGCAGATCCTACAGAAAGAGTGTTTCAAACCTGAACTATCAAAGGAAGGTTCAACTCTGGGATTTGAATGCAAACATCACCAAGAAGTTTCTGAGAATGCTTCTGTTTAGTTTTTATGTGAAGATATTCCCGTTTCCAAAGACATCTTCGGAGAGGTCCACATATCCACTTGCAGGTTCCACAAAAAGAGAGTTTCAACACTGCTCTATCCATAGGAGGGTTCAACTCTGTGAGTTGAATGCAATCATCACAGAGAAGTTTCTGAGAAGGCTTCTCTCCAGTTTTTATGTGACCATAATTCGTTTTCCACCACAGGCCTGAAAGCGCTCCAAATGTCCACTTGCAGACACTACGAAAAGCATGTTTCAGAACTACTCTATGAAAAGCAACGTGAAACTCTGGGAGTTGAACACAAACATCACAGAGAAGTTTCTGAGAATGCTTCTGTTTTAGGTCTGTGCGTTTTATCCCGTTTCCAACGAAATCCTCAGAGAGGCCCAAATATCCACTTGCAGATTCCACAGAAAGAGTGATTGGAAACTGCTGTTTGAAAAGGAACCTTCAACTCTGTGAGTTGAATGCAATCATCACAAAGAAGTTTCTGACAATGCTTCTGTTTTAGTTCTGTGCGGTTTATCCCGTTTCCAACGAAATCCTCAGAGAGGACCAAACATCCACTTGCAGTTTCTACAAAAAGAGTGTTTCAAAGCTGCACTATCAAAGAAAGGTTCAGCACTGTGAGTTGAATGCAAACATCACGAAGAGGGCTCTGAGAATTCTTCTGTTTAGTTCTGTGCGGTTTATCCCGTTTCCAACGAAATCCTCAGAGAGGACCAAATATCCACTTGCAGTTTCTACAAGAAGAGTGTTTCAAAGCTGAACTATCAAAGAAAGGTTCAGCACTGTGAGTTGAATGCAAACATCACGAAGAGGGTTCTGAGAATGCTTCTGTCTTCTTTCTATAGGAAGTTATTTCCTTTACTACGGTAGGCCTCAAAGAAGTGCAATTATCCCCTTGCAGTTTCTACAAAAAGAGTGTTTCAAACCTGAACTATCAAAGAAAGGTTCCACACTGTGAGTTGAATGCAGACATCACGAAGAAGGTTCTGAGAATGCTTCTGTTTAGTCAGCTGAAATTATCCCGTTTCCAACGAATTCCTCAGAGAGGTCCAAATATGCACTTGCAGATTCTGCAGAAAGTGTGTTTCTAAACTGCTCCATCGCAAGGAATGTTCAGCTCTGTGAGTTCCACTCAATCATCCCAAAGAATTTTCTGAGAAAGCTTCTGTCTAGATGTCGTGTGAAGATATACCCGTTTCGAACGAAGGACACAGAGTGGTCCAAATATCCACTTGTAGATCCTGCAAAAAGAGTGTTTCAAACGTGAACTTTGAAAGGAAAGTTCAACTCTGGGATTTGAATGCAAACATCACAAAGAAGATTCTGAGACTGCTTCTGTATAGTTTTTATGTGAAGATGATTCCGTTTCCAACGAAATCTTCAAAGAGGTCTACATGTCCCCTTGCAGATGCCACAGAAAGAGAGTTTCAAAACTGCGCTCTCAAAAGGAGTGTTCAACTCCGTGAGTTGAATGCAGTCATCACAGAGAAGCTTCTGAGAATGCTTCTATCTAGTATTTAGGTGAAGATATTTCCTTTTCCACCACAAACCACAAAGCCCTCCAAACGTCCACTTGCAGATTCTAGAAAAAGAGTGTTTCATAGCTGCTCTTTCCAAAGGAAAGTTCAACTCTGGGAGTTGAATACAAACATCACCAAAAAGTTCCTGAGAATGCATCTGTCTAGTTTTTCTATGAAGCTATTCCCTTTACTACCATAGGCCTCAAAGCGCTCCAAATCTCCACTTGCACATTCCACAACAAGAGTGTTTCCAAACTGCTCTATCAATAGGAATGTTCAACTCTGTGAGGTGAATGCAATCATCACAAAGCAGTTTCTGAGAATGCTTCCGTTTAGTTAGGTGCAGTTATCGCGTTTCCAACGAAATCCTCAGAGAGGTCCAAATATCCACTTGTAGATTCTACAAAAAGTGTGTCTCAAACCTGCTCCATCCAAAGGAATGTTCAGCTCTGTGAGTTAAACTCAATCATCACAAAGTATTTTCTGAGAATGCTTCTGTCTAGATTTTATGCGAAGATATACCCGTTTCGAACGAAGGCCACAGAGTGGTCCAAATATCCACTTGCAGATCCTACAAAAATAGTGTTTCAAACCTGAACTATCAAAGGAAGGTTCAACTCTGGGATTTGAATGCAAACATCACCAAGAAGTTTCTGAGAATGCTTCTGTTTAGTTTTTATGTGAAGATATTCCCGTTTCCAAAGACATCTTCGGAGAGGTCCACATATCCACTTGCAGATTCCACAAAAAGAGAGTTTCAACACTGCTCTATCCATAGGAGGGTTCAACTCTGTGAGTTGAATGCAATCATCACAGAGAAGTTTCTGAGAAGGCTTCTCTCCAGTTTTTATGTGACCATAATTCGTTTTCCACCACAGGCCTGAAAGCGCTCCAAATGTCCACTTGTAGACACTACGAAAAGCATGTTTCAGAACTACTCTATGAAAAGCAATGTGAAACTCTGGGAGTTGAACACAAACATCACAGAGAAGTTTCTGAGAATGCTTCTGTTTAGCTTTTCTGTGAAGATTCTCCCGTTTCCAACGAAATCTTCAAAATAGGTCCAAATATCCACTTGCATATTCCACAGAAAGAGTGATTGGAAACTGCTCTTTGAAAAGGAACCTTCAACTCTGTGAGTTGAATGCAATCATCACAAAGAAGTTTCTGACAATGCTTCTATCTAGCTTTTACGGGAAGATAATTCCTTTTCCACCACAGGCCTCAAAGCCCTCCAAATGTCCACTTGCAGATTCTGGAAAAAGAGTGTTTCAAAGCTTCTCTCTCGAAAGGAAAGTTCAACTCTGTGAGTTGAATGCAAGCATCACAAGGAAGTTTCTGAGAATGCTACTGTCTAGCTTTTATATGAAGCTATTTCCTTTACTACCATAGGCCTCAAAGCGGTCCATATCTCCACTTGCAGATTCTACACAAAGAGAGTTTCCAAACTGCTCTGTCAAAGGGAATGTTCAACTCTGTGACTTGAATGCAATCATCACAAAGTAGTTTCTGAGAATGCTTCTGTTTAGTTCTGTGCGGTTTATCCCGTTTCCAGCGAAATCCTCAGAGAGGCCCAAATATCCACTTGCACATTCTACAAATAGTGTGTTTCGAAACTGCTCCATCCAAAGGAATGTTCAGCTCTGTGAGTTAAACTCAGTCGTCACCAAGAGTTTTCTGTGAATGCTTCTGTTTTAGTTCTGTGCGGTTTATCCCGTTTCCAACGAAATCCTCAGAGAGGTCCAAATATCTTCTTGCAGTTTCTACAGAAAGACCGTTTCCAACCTGAACTATCAAAGAAAGGTTCAACACTGTGAGTTGAATGCAAACATCACGAAGAAGGTTCAGAGAATGCTTCTGTTTAGTTCTGTGCGGTTTATCCCGTTTCCAACGAAATCCTCAGAAAGGACCATATATCCACTTGCAGTTTCTACAAGAAGAGTGTTTCAAAGCTGAACTATCAAAGAAAGGTTCAGCACTGTGAGTTGAATGCAAACATCACGAAGAGGGTTCTGAGAATGCTTCTGTCTTCTTTCTATAGGAAGTTATTTCCTTTACGACGGTAGGCCTCAAAGAAGTGCAATTATCCCCTTGCAGTTTCTACAAAAAGAGTGTTTCAAACCTGAACTATCAAAGAAAGGTTCCACACTGTGAGTTGAATGCAGACATCACGAAGAAGGTTCTGAGAATGCTTCTGTTTAGTCAGCTGAAATTATCCCGTTTCCAACGAATTCCTCAGAGAGGTCCAAATATGCACTTGCAGATTCTGCAGAAAGTGTGTTTCTAAACTGCTACATCGCAAGGAATGTTCAGCTCTGTGAGTTCAACTCAATCATCCCAAAGAATTTTCTGAGAAAGCTTCTGTCTAGATGTCCTGTGAAGATATACCCGTTTCGAACGAAGGACACAGAGTGGTCCAAATATCCACTTGTAGATCCTGCAAAAAGAGTGTTTCAAACGTGAACTTTGAAAGGAAAGTTCAACTCTGGGATTTGAATGCAAACATCACAAAGAAGATTCTGAGACTGCTTCTGTATAGTTTTTATGTGAAGATGATTCCGTTTCCAACGAAATCTTCAAAGAGGTCTACATGTCCCCTTGCAGATGCCACAGAAAGAGAGTTTCAAAACTGCGCTCTCAAAAGGAGTGTTCAACTCCGTGAGTTGAATGCAGTCATCACAGAGAAGCTTCTGAGAATGCTTCTATCTAGTATTTAGGTGAAGATATTTCCTTTTCCACCACAAACCACAAAGCCCTCCAAACGTCCACTTGCAGATTCTAGAAAAAGAGTGTTTCATAGCTGCTCTTTCCAAAGGAAAGTTCAACTCTGGGAGTTGAATACAAACATCACCAAAAAGTTCCTGAGAATGCATCTGTCTAGTTTTTCTATGAAGCTATTCCCTTTACTACCATAGGCCTCAAAGCGCTCCAAATCTCCACTTGCACATTCCACAACAAGAGTGTTTCCAAACTGCTCTATCAATAGGAATGTTCAACTCTGTGAGGTGAATGCAATCATCACAAAGCAGTTTCTGAGAATGCTTCCGTTTAGTTAGGTGCAGTTATCCCGTTTCCAACGAAATCCTCAGAGAGGTCCAAATATCCACTTGTAGATTCTACAAAAAGTGTGTCTCAAACCTGCTCCATCCAAAGGAATGGTCAGCTCTGTGATTTAAACTCAATCATCACAAAGTATTTTCTGAGAATGCTTCTGTCTAGATTTTATGCGAAGATATACCCGTTTCGAACGAAGGCCACAGAGTGGTCCAAATAGCCACTTGCAGATCCTACAGAAAGAGTGTTTCAAACCTGAACTATCAAAGGAAGGTTCAACTCTGGGATTTGAATGCAAACATCACCAAGAAGTTTCTGAGAATGCTTCTGTTTAGTTTTTATGTGAAGATATTCCCGTTTCCAAAGACATCTTCGGAGAGGTCCACATATCCACTTGCAGATTCCACAAAAAGAGAGTTTCAACACTGCTCTATCCATAGGAGGGTTCAACTCTGTGAGTTGAATGCAATCATCACAGAGAAGTTTCTGAGAAGGCTTCTCTCCAGTTTTTATGTGACCATAATTCGTTTTCCACCACAGGCCTGAAAGCGCTCCAAATGTCCACTTGCAGACACTACGAAAAGCATGTTTCAGAACTACTCTATGAAAAGCAACGTGAAACTCTGGGAGTTGAACACAAACATCACAGAGAAGTTTCTGAGAATGCTTCTGTTTTAGTTCTGTGCGTTTTATCCCGTTTCCAACGAAATCCTCAGAGAGGCCCAAATATCCACTTGCAGATTCCACAGAAAGAGTGATTGGAAACTGCTGTTTGAAAAGGAACCTTCAACTCTGTGAGTTGAATGCAATCATCACAAAGAAGTTTCTGACAATGCTTCTGTTTTAGTTCTGTGCGGTTTATCCCGTTTCCAACGAAATCCTCAGAGAGGACCAAACATCCACTTGCAGTTTCTACAAAAAGAGTGTTTCAAAGCTGCACTATCAAAGAAAGGTTCAGCACTGTGAGTTGAATGCAAACATCACGAAGAGGGCTCTGAGAATGCTTCTGTTTAGTTCTGTGCGGTTTATCCCGTTTCCAACGAAATCCTCAGAGAGGACCAAATATCCACTTGCAGTTTCTACAAGAAGAGTGTTTCAAAGCTGAACTATCAAAGAAAGGTTCAGCACTGTGAGTTGAATGCAAACATCACGAAGAGGGTTCTGAGAATGCTTCTGTCTTCTTTCTATAGGAAGTTATTTCCTTTACTACGGTAGGCCTCAAAGAAGTGCAATTATCCCCTTGCAGTTTCTACAAAAAGAGTGTTTCAAACCTGAACTATCAAAGAAAGGTTCCACACTGTGAGTTGAATGCAGACATCACGAAGAAGGTTCTGAGAATGCTTCTGTTTAGTCAGCTGAAATTATCCCGTTTCCAACGAATTCCTCAGAGAGGTCCAAATATGCACTTGCAGATTCTGCAGAAAGTGTGTTTCTAAACTGCTACATCGCAAGGAATGTTCAGCTCTGTGAGTTCCACTCAATCATCCCAAAGAATTTTCTGAGAAAGCTTCTGTCTAGATGTCGTGTGAAGATATACCCGTTTCGAACGAAGGACACAGAGTGGTCCAAATATCCACTTGTAGATCCTGCAAAAAGAGTGTTTCAAACGTGAACTTTGAAAGGAAAGTTCAACTCTGGGATTTGAATGCAAACATCACAAAGAAGATTCTGAGACTGCTTCTGTATAGTTTTTATGTGAAGATGATTCCGTTTCCAACGAAATCTTCAAAGAGGTCTACATGTCCCCTTGCAGATGCCACAGAAAGAGAGTTTCAAAACTGCGCTCTCAAAAGGAGTGTTCAACTCCGTGAGTTGAATGCAGTCATCACAGAGAAGCTTCTGAGAATGCTTCTATCTAGTATTTAGGTGAAGATATTTCCTTTTCCACCACAAACCACAAAGCCCTCCAAACGTCCACTTGCAGATTCTAGAAAAAGAGTGTTTCATAGCTGCTCTTTCCAAAGGAAAGTTCAACTCTGGGAGTTGAATACAAACATCACCAAAAGGTTCCTGAGAATGCATCTGTCTAGTTTTTCTATGAAGCTATTCCCTTTACTACCATAGGCCTCAAAGCGCTCCAAATCTCCACTTGCACATTCCACAACAAGAGTGTTTCCAAACTGCTCTATCAATAGGAATGTTCAACTCTGTGAGGTGAATGCAATCATCACAAAGCAGTTTCTGAGAATGCTTCCGTTTAGTTAGGTGCAGTTATCCCGTTTCCAACGAAATCCTCAGAGAGGTCCAAATATCCACTTGTAGATTCTACAAAAAGTGTGTCTCAAACCTGCTCCATCCAAAGGAATGGTCAGCTCTGTGATTTAAACTCAATCATCACAAAGTATTTTCTGAGAATGCTTCTGTCTAGATTTTATGCGAAGATATACCCGTTTCGAACGAAGGCCACAGAGTGGTCCAAATAGCCACTTGCAGATCCTACAGAAAGAGTGTTTCAAACCTGAACTATCAAAGGAAGGTTCAACTCTGGGATTTGAATGCAAACATCACCAAGAAGTTTCTGAGAATGCTTCTGTTTAGTTTTTATGTGAAGATATTCCCGTTTCCAAAGACATCTTCGGAGAGGTCCACATATCCACTTGCAGATTCCACAAAAAGAGAGTTTCAACACTGCTCTATCCATAGGAGGGTTCAACTCTGTGAGTTGAATGCAATCATCACAGAGAAGTTTCTGAGAAGGCTTCTCTCCAGTTTTTATGTGACCATAATTCGTTTTCCACCACAGGCCTGAAAGCGCTCCAAATGTCCACTTGCAGACACTACGAAAAGCATGTTTCAGAACTACTCTATGAAAAGCAACGTGAAACTCTGGGAGTTGAACACAAACATCACAGAGAAGTTTCTGAGAATGCTTCTGTTTTAGTTCTGTGCGTTTTATCCCGTTTCCAACGAAATCCTCAGAGAGGCCCAAATATCCACTTGCAGATTCCACAGAAAGAGTGATTGGAAACTGCTGTTTGAAAAGGAACCTTCAACTCTGTGAGTTGAATGCAATCATCACAAAGAAGTTTCTGACAATGCTTCTATCTAGCTTTTACGGGAAGTTAATTCCTTTTCTACCACAGGCCTCAAAGCCCTCCAAATGTCCACTTGCAGATTCTGGAAAAAGAGTGTTTCAAAGCTTCTCTCTTGAAAGGAAAGTTCAACTCTGTGAGTTGAATGCAAGCATCACAAAGAAGTTTCTGAGAATGCTACTGTCTAGCTTTTATATGAAGCTATTTCCTTTACTACCATAGGCCTCAAAGCGGTCCATATCTCCACTTGCAGATTCTACAGAAAGAGAGTTTCCAAACTGCTCTGTCAAAGGGAATGTTCAACTCTGTGACTTGAATGCAATCATCACAAAGTAGTTTCTGAGAATGCTTCTGTTTAGTTCTGTGCGGTTTATCCCGTTTCCAACGAAATCCTCAGAGAGGCCCAAATATCCACTTGCACATTCTACAAATAGTGTGTTTCGAAACTGCTCCATCCAAAGGAATGTTCAGCTCTGTGAGTTAAACTCAGTCGTCACCAAGAGTTTTCTGTGAATGCTTCTGTTTTAGTTCTGTGCGGTTTATCCCGTTTCCAACGAAATCCTCAGAGAGGTCCAAATATCTACTTGCAGTTTCTACAGAAAGACCGTTTCAAACCTGAACTATCAAAGAAAGGTTCAACACTGTGAGTTGAATGCAAACATCACGAAGAAGGTTCTGAGAATGCTTCTGTTTAGTTCTGTGCGGTTTATCCCGTTTCCAACGAAATCCTCAGAGAGGACCAAATATCCACTTGCAGTTTCTACAAGAAGAGTGTTTCAAAGCTGAACTATCAAAGAAAGGTTCAGCACTGTGAGTTGAATGCAAACATCACGAAGAGGGTTCTGAGAATGCTTCTGTCTTCTTTCTATAGGAAGTTATTTCCTTTACTACGGTAGGCCTCAAAGAAGTGCAATTATCCCCTTGCAGTTTCTACAAAAAGAGTGTTTCAAACCTGAACTATCAAAGAAAGGTTCCACACTGTGAGTTGAATGCAGACATCACGAAGAAGGTTCTGAGAATGCTTCTGTTTAGTCAGCTGAAATTATCCCGTTTCCAACGAATTCCTCAGAGAGGTCCAAATATGCACTTGCAGATTCTGCAGAAAGTGTGTTTCTAAACTGCTACATCGCAAGGAATGTTCAGCTCTGTGAGTTCCACTCAATCATCCCAAAGAATTTTCTGAGAAAGCTTCTGTCTAGATGTCGTGTGAAGATATACCCGTTTCGAACGAAGGACACAGAGTGGTCCAAATATCCACTTGTAGATCCTGCAAAAAGAGTGTTTCAAACGTGAACTTTGAAAGGAAAGTTCAACTCTGGGATTTGAATGCAAACATCACAAAGAAGATTTCTGAGACTGCTTCTGTATAGTTTTTATGTGAAGATGATTCCGTTTCCAACGAAATCTTCAAAGAGGTCTACATGTCCCCTTGCAGATGCCACAGAAAGAGAGTTTCAAAACTGCGCTCTCAAAAGGAGTGTTCAACTCCGTGAGTTGAATGCAGTCATCACAGAGAAGCTTCTGAGAATGCTTCTATCTAGTATTTAGGTGAAGATATTTCCTTTTCCACCACAAACCACAAAGCCCTCCAAACGTCCACTTGCAGATTCTAGAAAAAGAGTGTTTCATAGCTGCTCTTTCCAAAGGAAAGTTCAACTCTGGGAGTTGAATACAAACATCACCAAAAAGTTCCTGAGAATGCATCTGTCTAGTTTTTCTATGAAGCTATTCCCTTTACTACCATAGGCCTCAAAGCGCTCCAAATCTCCACTTGCACATTCCACAACAAGAGTGTTTCCAAACTGCTCTATCAATAGGAATGTTCAACTCTGTGAGGTGAATGCAATCATCACAAAGCAGTTTCTGAGAATGCTTCCGTTTAGTTAGGTGCAGTTATCCCGTTTCCAACGAAATCCTCAGAGAGGTCCAAATATCCACTTGTAGATTCTACAAAAGGTGTGTCTCAAACCTGCTCCATCCAAAGGAATGTTCAGCTCTGTGAGTTAAACTCAATCATCACAAAGTATTTTCTGAGAATGCTTCTGTCTAGATTTTATGCGAAGATATACCCGTTTCGAACGAAGGCCACAGAGTGGTCCAAATATCCACTTGCAGATCCTACAAAAAGAGTGTTTCAAACCTGAACTATCAAAGGAAGGTTCAACTCTGGGATTTGAATGCAAACATCACCAAGAAGTTTCTGAGAATGCTTCTGTTTAGTTTTTATGTGAAGATATTCCCGTTTCCAAAGACATCTTCGGAGAGGTCCACATATCCACTTGCAGATTCCACAAAAAGAGAGTTTCAACACTGCTCTATCCATAGGAGGGTTCAACTCTGTGAGTTGAATGCAATCATCACAGAGAAGTTTCTGAGAAGGCTTCTCTCCAGTTTTTATGTGACCATAATTCGTTTTCCACCACAGGCCTGAAAGCGCTCCAAATGTCCACTTGCAGACACTACGAAAAGCATGTTTCAGAACTACTCTATGAAAAGCAATGTGAAACTCTGGGAGTTGAACACAAACATCACTGAGAAGTTTCTGAGAATGCTTCTGTTTAGCTTTTCTGTGAAGATTCTCCCGTTTCCAACGAAATCTTCAAAGAGGTCCAAATATCCACTTGCAGATTCCACAGAAAGAGTGATTGGAAACTGCTCTTTGAAAAGGAACCTTCAACTCTGTGAGTTGAATGCAATCATCACAAAGAAGTTTCTGACAATGCTTCTATCTAGCTTTTACGGGAAGATAATTCCTTTTCCACCACAGGCCTCAAAGCCCTCCAAATGTCCACTTGCAGATTCTGGAAAAAGAGTGTTTCAAGGCTTCTCTCTCGAAAGGAAAGTTCAACTCTGTGAGTTGAATGCAAGCATCACAACGAAGTTTCTGAGAATGCTACTGTCTAGCTTTTATATGAAGCTATTTCCTTTACTACCATAGGCCTCAAAGCGGTCCATATCTCCACTTGCAGATTCTACACAAAGAGAGTTTCCAAACTGCTCTGTCAAAGGGAATGTTCAACTCTGTGACTTGAATGCAATCATCACAAAGTAGTTTCTGAGAATGCTTCTGTTTAGTTCTGTGCGGTTTATCCCATTTCCAACGAAATCCTCAGAGAGGCCCACATATCCACTTGCACATTCTACAAATAGTGTGTTTCGAAACTGCTCCATCCAAAGGAATGTTCAGCTCTGTGAGTTAAACTCAGTCGTCACCAAGTGTTTTCTGTGAATGCTTCTGTTTTAGTTCTGTGCGGTTTATCCCGTTTCCAACGAAATCCTCAGAGAGGACCAAACATCCACTTGCAGTTTCTACAAAAAGAGTGTTTCAAAGCTGCACTATCAAAGAAAGGTTCAGCACTGTGAGTTGAATGCAAACATCACGAAGAGGGCTACTGAGAATTCTTCTGTTTAGTTCTGTGCGGTTTATCCCGTTTCCAACGAAATCCTCAGAGAGGACCAAATATCCACTTGCAGTTTCTACAAGAAGAGTGTTTCAAAGCTGAACTATCAAAGAAAGGTTCAGCACTGTGAGTTGAATGCAAACATCACGAAGAGGGTTCTGAGAATGCTTCTGTCTTCTTTCTATAGGAAGTTATTTCCTTTACTACGGTAGGCCTCAAAGAAGTGCAATTATCCCCTTGCAGTTTCTACAAAAAGAGTGTTTCAAACCTGAACTATCAAAGAAAGGTTCCACACTGTGAGTTGAATGCAGACATCACGAAGAAGGTTCTGAGAATGCTTCTGTTTAGTCAGCTGAAATTATCCCGTTTCCAACGAATTCCTCAGAGAGGTCCAAATATGCACTTGCAGATTCTGCAGAAAGTGTGTTTCTAAACTGCTACATCGCAAGGAATGTTCAGCTCTGTGAGTTCCACTCAATCATCCTAAAGAATTTTCTGAGAAAGCTTCTGTCTAGATGTCATGTGAAGATATACCCGTTTCGAACGAAGGACACAGAGTGGTCCAAATATCCACTTGTAGATTCTGCAAAAAGAGTGTTTCAAACGTGAACTTTGAAAGGAAAGTTCAACTCTGGGATTTGAATGCAAACATCACAAAGAAGATTCTGAGACTGCTTCTGTATAGTTTTTATGTGAAGATGATTCCGTTTCCAACGAAATCTTCAAAGAGGTCTACATGTCCCCTTGCAGATGCCACAGAAAGAGAGTTTCAAAACTGCGCTCTCAAAAGGAGTGTTCAACTCCGTGAGTTGAATGCAGTCATCACAGAGAAGCTTCTGAGAATGCTTCTATCTAGTATTTAGGTGAAGATATTTCCTTTTCCACCACAAACCACAAAGCCCTCCAAACGTCCACTTGCAGATTCTAGAAAAAGAGTGTTTCATAGCTGCTCTTTCCAAAGGAAAGTTCAACTCTGGGAGTTGAATACAAACATCACCAAAAAGTTCCTGAGAATGCATCTGTCTAGTTTTTCTATGAAGCTATTCCCTTTACTACCACAGGCCTCAAAGCGCTCCAAATCTCCACTTGCACATTCCGCAACAAGAGTGTTTCCAAACTGCTCTATCAATAGGAATGTTCAACTCTGTGAGGTGAATGCAATCATCACAAAGCAGTTTCTGAGAATGCTTCCGTTTAGTTAGGTGCAGTTATCCCGTTTCCAACGAAATCCTCAGAGAGGTCCAAATATCCACTTGTAGATTCTACAAAAAGTGTGTCTCAAACCTGCTCCATCCAAAGGAATGGTCAGCTCTGTGATTTAAACTCAATCATCACAAAGTATTTTCTGAGAATGCTTCTGTCTAGATTTTATGCGAAGATATACCCGTTTCGAACGAAGGCCACAGAGTGGTCCAAATAGCCACTTGCAGATCCTACAGAAAGAGTGTTTCAAACCTGAACTATCAAAGGAAGGTTCAACTCTGGGATTTGAATGCAAACATCACCAAGAAGTTTCTGAGAATGCTTCTGTTTAGTTTTTATGTGAAGATATTCCCGTTTCCAAAGACATCTTCGGAGAGGTCCACATATCCACTTGCAGATTCCACAAAAAGAGAGTTTCAACACTGCTCTATCCATAGGAGGGTTCAACTCTGTGAGTTGAATGCAATCATCACAGAGAAGTTTCTGAGAAGGCTTCTCTCCAGTTTTTATGTGACCATAATTCGTTTTCCACCACAGGCCTGAAAGCGCTCCAAATGTCCACTTGCAGACACTACGAAAAGCATGTTTCAGAACTACTCTATGAAAAGCAACGTGAAACTCTGGGAGTTGAACACAAACATCACAGAGAAGTTTCTGAGAATGCTTCTGTTGAGCTTTTCTGTGAAGATTCTCCCGTTTCCAACGAAATCTTCAAAGAGGTCGAAATATCCACTTGCAGATTCCACAGAAAGAGTGATTGGAAACTGCTGTTTGAAAAGGAACCTTCAACTCTGTGAGTTGAATGCAATCATCACAAAGAAGTTTCTGACAATGCTTCTATCTAGCTTTTACGGGAAGATAATTCCTTTTCCACCCCAGGCCTCAAAGCTCCCCAAATGTCCACTTGCACATTCTGGAAAAAGAGTGTTTCAAAGCTTCTCTCTCGAAAGGAAAGTTCAACTCTGTGAGTTGAATGCAAGCATCACAAAGAAGTTTCTGAGAATGCTACTGTCTAGCTTTTATATGAAGCTATTTCCTTTACTACCATAGGCCTCAAAGCGGTCCATATCTCCACTTGCAGATTCTACACAAAGAGAGTTTCCAAACTGCTCTGTCAAAGGGAATGTTCAACTCTGTGACTTGAATGCAATCATCACAAAGTAGTTTCTGAGAATGCTTCTGTTTTAGTTCTGTGCGTTTTATCCCGTTTCCAACGAAATCCTCAGAGAGGCCCAAATATCCACTTGCAGATTCTACAAATAGTGTGTTTCGAAACTGCTCCATCCAAAGGAATGTTCAGCTCTGTGAGTTAAACTCAGTCGTCACCAAGAGTTTTCTGTGAATGCTTCTGTTTTAGTTCTGTGCGGTTTATCCCGTTTCCAACGAAATCCTCAGAGAGGACCAAATATCCACTTGCAGTTTCTACAAAAAGAGTGTTTCAAAGCTGCACTATCAAAGAAAGGTTCAGCACTGTGAGTTGAATGCAAACATCACGAAGAGGGCTCTGAGAGTTCTTCTGTTTAGTTCTGTGCGGTTTATCCCGTTTCCAACGAAATCCTCAGAGAGGACCAAATATCCACTTGCAGTTTCTACAAGAAGAGTGTTTCAAAGCTGAACTATCAAAGAAAGGTTCAGCACTGTGAGTTGAATGCAAACATCACGAAGAGGGTTCTGAGAATGCTTCTGTCTTCTTTCTATAGGAAGTTATTTCCTTTACGACGGTAGGCCTCAAAGAACTGCAATTATCCCCTTGCAGTTTCTACGAAAAGAGTGTTTCAAACCTGAACTATCAAAGAAAGGTTCCACACTGTGAGTTGAATGCAGACATCACGAAGAAGGTTCTGAGAATGCTTCTGTTTAGTCAGCTGAAATTATCCCGTTTCCAACGAATTCCTCAGAGATGTCCAAATATGCACTTGCAGATTCTGCAGAAAGTGTGTTTCTAAACTGCTACATCGCAAGGAATGTTCAGCTCTGTGAGTTCCACTCAATCATCCCAAAGAATTTTCTGAGAAAGCTTCTGTCTAGATGTCATGTGAAGATATACCCGTTTCGAACGAAGGACACAGAGTGGTCCAAATATCCACTTGTAGATCCTGCAAAAAGAGTGTTTCAAACGTGAACTTTGAAAGGAAAGTTCAACTCTGGGATTTGAATGCAAACATCACAAAGAAGATTCTGAGACTGCTTCTGTATAGTTTTTATGTGAAGATGATTCCGTTTCCAACGAAATCTTCAAAGAGGTCCACATGTCCCCTTGCGGATGCCACAGAAAGAGAGTTTCAAAACTGCGCTCTCAAAAGGAGTGTTCAACTCCGTGAGTTGAATGCAGTCATCACAGAGAAGCTTCTGAGAATGCTTCTATCTAGTATTTAGGTGAAGATATTTCCTTTTCCACCACAAACCACAAAGCCCTCCAAACGTCCACTTGCAGATTCTAGAAAAAGAGTGTTTCATAGCTGCTCTTTCCAAAGGAAAGTTCAACTCTGGGAGTTGAATACAAACATCACCAAAAAGTTCCTGAGAATGCATCTGTCTAGTTTTTCTATGAAGCTATTCCCTTTACTACCATAGGCCCCAAAGCGCTCCAAATCTCCACTTGCACATTCCACAAGAAGAGTGTTTCCAAACTGCTCTATCAATACGAATGTTCAACTCTGTGAGGTGAATGCAATCATCACAAAGCAGTTTCTGAGAATGCTTCCGTTTAGTTAGGTGCAGTTATCCCGTTTCCAACGAAATCCTCAGAGAGGTCCAAATATCCACTTGTAGATTCTACAAAAAGTGTGTCTCAAACCTGCTCCATCCAAAGGAATGTTCAGCTCTGTGATTTTAACTCAATCATCACAAAGTATTTTCTGAGAATGCTTCTGTCTAGATTTTATGCGAAGATATAGCCGTTTCGAACGAAGGCCACAGAGTGGTCCAAATATCCACTTGCAGATCCTACAAAAAGAGTGTTTCAAACCTGAACTATCAAAGGAAGGTTCAACTTCTGGGATTTGAATGCAAACATCACCAAGAAGTTTCTGAGAATGCTTCTGTTTAGTTTTTATGTGAAGATATTCCCGTTTCCAAAGACATCTTCGGAGAGGTCCACATATCCACTTGCAGATTCCACAAAAAGAGAGTTTCAACACTGCTCTATCCATAGGAGGGTTCAACTCTGTGAGTTGAATGCAATCATCACAGAGAAGTTTCTGAGAAGGCTTCTCTCCAGTTTTTATGTGACCATAATTCGTTTTCCACCACAGGCCTGAAAGCGCTCCAAATGTCCACTTGCAGACACTACGAAAAGCATGTTTCAGAACTACTCTATGAAAAGCAACGTGAAACTCTGGGAGTTGAACACAAACATCACAGAGAAGTTTCTGAGAATGCTTCTGTTTTAGTTCTGTGCGTTTTATCCCGTTTCCAACGAAATCCTCAGAGAGGCCCAAATATCCACTTGCAGATTCCACAGAAAGAGTGATTGGAAACTGCTGTTTGAAAAGGAACCTTCAACTCTGTGAGTTGAATGCAATCATCACAAAGAAGTTTCTGACAATGCTTCTGTTTTAGTTCTGTGCGGTTTATCCCGTTTCCAACGAAATCCTCAGAGAGGACCAAACATCCACTTGCAGTTTCTACAAAAAGAGTGTTTCAAAGCTGCACTATCAAAGAAAGGTTCAGCACTGTGAGTTGAATGCAAACATCACGAAGAGGGCTCTGAGAATTCTTCTGTTTAGTTCTGTGCGGTTTATCCCGTTTCCAACGAAATCCTCAGAGAGGACCAAATATCCACTTGCAGTTTCTACAAGAAGAGTGTTTCAAAGCTGAACTATCAAAGAAAGGTTCAGCACTGTGAGTTGAATGCAAACATCACGAAGAGGGTTCTGAGAATGCTTCTGTCTTCTTTCTATAGGAAGTTATTTCCTTTACTACGGTAGGCCTCAAAGAAGTGCAATTATCCCCTTGCAGTTTCTACAAAAAGAGTGTTTCAAACCTGAACTATCAAAGAAAGGTTCCACACTGTGAGTTGAATGCAGACATCACGAAGAAGGTTCTGAGAATGCTTCTGTTTAGTCAGCTGAAATTATCCCGTTTCCAACGAATTCCTCAGAGAGGTCCAAATATGCACTTGCAGATTCTGCAGAAAGTGTGTTTCTAAACTGCTCCATCGCAAGGAATGTTCAGCTCTGTGAGTTCCACTCAATCATCCCAAAGAATTTTCTGAGAAAGCTTCTGTCTAGATGTCGTGTGAAGATATACCCGTTTCGAACGAAGGACACAGAGTGGTCCAAATATCCACTTGTAGATCCTGCAAAAAGAGTGTTTCAAACGTGAACTTTGAAAGGAAAGTTCAACTCTGGGATTTGAATGCAAACATCACAAAGAAGATTCTGAGACTGCTTCTGTATAGTTTTTATGTGAAGATGATTCCGTTTCCAACGAAATCTTCAAAGAGGTCTACATGTCCCCTTGCAGATGCCACAGAAAGAGAGTTTCAAAACTGCGCTCTCAAAAGGAGTGTTCAACTCCGTGAGTTGAATGCAGTCATCACAGAGAAGCTTCTGAGAATGCTTCTATCTAGTATTTAGGTGAAGATATTTCCTTTTCCACCACAAACCACAAAGCCCTCCAAACGTCCACTTGCAGATTCTAGAAAAAGAGTGTTTCATAGCTGCTCTTTCCAAAGGAAAGTTCAACTCTGGGAGTTGAATACAAACATCACCAAAAGGTTCCTGAGAATGCATCTGTCTAGTTTTTCTATGAAGCTATTCCCTTTACTACCACAGGCCTCAAAGCGCTCCAAATCTCCACTTGCACATTCCACAACAAGAGTGTTTCCAAACTGCTCTATCAATAGGAATGTTCAACTCTGTGAGGTGAATGCAATCATCACAAAGCAGTTTCTGAGAATGCTTCCGTTTAGTTAGGTGCAGTTATCCCGTTTCCAACGAAATCCTCAGAGAGGTCCAAATATCCACTTGTAGATTCTACAAAAAGTGTGTCTCAAACCTGCTCCATCCAAAGGAATGGTCAGCTCTGTGATTTAAACTCAATCATCACAAAGTATTTTCTGAGAATGCTTCTGTCTAGATTTTATGCGAAGATATACCCGTTTCGAACGAAGGCCACAGAGTGGTCCAAATAGCCACTTGCAGATCCTACAGAAAGAGTGTTTCAAACCTGAACTATCAAAGGAAGGTTCAACTCTGGGATTTGAATGCAAACATCACCAAGAAGTTTCTGAGAATGCTTCTGTTTAGTTTTTATGTGAAGATATTCCCGTTTCCAAAGACATCTTCGGAGAGGTCCACATATCCACTTGCAGATTCCACAAAAAGAGAGTTTCAACACTGCTCTATCCATAGGAGGGTTCAACTCTGTGAGTTGAATGCAATCATCACAGAGAAGTTTCTGAGAAGGCTTCTCTCCAGTTTTTATGTGACCATAATTCGTTTTCCACCACAGGCCTGAAAGTGCTCCAAATGTCCACTTGCAGACACTACGAAAAGCATGTTTCAGAACTACTCTATGAAAAGCAACGTGAAACTCTGGGAGTTGAACACAAACATCACAGAGAAGTTTCTGAGAATGCTTCTGTTTAGCTTTTCTGTGAAGATTCTCCCGTTTCCAACGAAATCTTCAAAGAGGTCGAAATATCCACTTGCAGATTCCACAGAAAGAGTGATTGGAAACTGCTGTTTGAAAAGGAACCTTCAACTCTGTGAGTTGAATGCAATCATCACAAAGAAGTTTCTGACAATGCTTCTATCTAGCTTTTACGGGAAGATAATTCCTTTTCCACCCTAGGCCTCAAAGCTCCCCAAATGTCCACTTGCACATTCTGGAAAAAGAGTGTTTCAAAGCTTCTCTCTCGAAAGGAAAGTTCAACTCTGTGAGTTGAATGCAAGCATCACAAAGAAGTTTCTGAGAATGCTACTGTCTAGCTTTTATATGAAGCTATTTCCTTTACTACCATAGGCCTCAAAGCGGTCCATATCTCCACTTGCAGATTCTACACAAAGAGAGTTTCCAAACTGCTCTGTCAAAGGGAATGTTCAACTCTGTGACTTGAATGCAATCATCACAAAGTAGTTTCTGAGAATGCTTCTGTTTTAGTTCTGTGCGTTTTAATCCGGTTTCCAACGAAATCCTCAGAGAGGCCCAAATATCCACTTGCAGATTCTACAAATAGTGTGTTTCGAAACTGCTCCATCCAAAGGAATGTTCAGCTCTGTGAGTTAAACTCAGTCGTCACCAAGAGTTTTCTGTGAATGCTTCTGTTTTAGTTCTGTGCGGTTTATCCCGTTTCCAACGAAATCCTCAGAGAGGACCAAATATCCACTTGCAGTTTCTACAAAAAGAGTGTTTCAAAGCTGCACTATCAAAGAAAGGTTCAGCACTGTGAGTTGAATGCAAACATCACGAAGAGGGCTCTGAGAATTCTTCTGTTTAGTTCTGTGCGGTTTATCCCGTTTCCAACGAAATCCTCAGAGAGGACCAAATATCCACTTGCAGTTTCTACAAGAAGAGTGTTTCAAAGCTGAACTATCAAAGAAAGGTTCAGCACTGTGAGTTGAATGCAAACATCACGAAGAGGGTTCTGAGAATGCTTCTGTCTTCTTTCTATAGGAAGTTATTTCCTTTACTACGGTAGGCCTCAAAGAAGTGCAATTATCCCCTTGCAGTTTCTACAAAAAGAGTGTTTCAAACCTGAACTATCAAAGAAAGGTTCCACACTGTGAGTTGAATGCAGACATCACGAAGAAGGTTCTGAGAATGCTTCTGTTTAGTCAGCTGAAATTATCCCGTTTCCAACGAATTCCTCAGAGAGGTCCAAATATGCACTTGCAGATTCTGCAGAAAGTGTGTTTCTAAACTGCTACATCGCAAGGAATGTTCAGCTCTGTGAGTTCCACTCAATCATCCCAAAGAATTTTCTGAGAAAGCTTCTGTCTAGATGTCGTGTGAAGATATACCCGTTTCGAACGAAGGACACAGAGTGGTCCAAATATCCACTTGTAGATCCTGCAAAAAGAGTGTTTCAAACGTGAACTTTGAAAGGAAAGTTCAACTCTGGGATTTGAATGCAAACATCACAAAGAAGATTCTGAGACTGCTTCTGTATAGTTTTTATGTGAAGATGATTCCGTTTCCAACGAAATCTTCAAAGAGGTCTACATGTCCCCTTGCAGATGCCACAGAAAGAGAGTTTCAAAACTGCGCTCTCAAAAGGAGTGTTCAACTCCGTGAGTTGAATGCAGTCATCACAGAGAAGCTTCTGAGAATGCTTCTATCTAGTATTTAGGTGAAGATATTTCCTTTTCCACCACAAACCACAAAGCCCTCCAAACGTCCACTTGCAGATTCTAGAAAAAGAGTGTTTCATAGCTGCTCTTTCCAAAGGAAAGTTCAACTCTGGGAGTTGAATACAAACATCACCAAAAAGTTCCTGAGAATGCATCTGTCTAGTTTTTCTATGAAGCTATTCCCTTTACTACCATAGGCCTCAAAGCGCTCCAAATCTCCACTTGCACATTCCACAACAAGAGTGTTTCCAAACTGCTCTATCAATAGGAATGTTCAACTCTGTGAGGTGAATGCAATCATCACAAAGCAGTTTCTGAGAATGCTTCCGTTTAGTTAGGTGCAGTTATCCCGTTTCCAACGAAATCCTCAGAGAGGTCCAAATATCCACTTGTAGATTCTACAAAAAGTGTGTCTCAAACCTGCTCCATCCAAAGGAATGGTCAGCTCTGTGATTTAAACTCAATCATCACAAAGTATTTTCTGAGAATGCTTCTGTCTAGATATTATGCGAAGATGTACCCGTTTTGAACGAAGGCAACAGAGTGGTCCAAATATCCACTTGCAGATCCTACAAAAAGAGTGTTTCAAACCTGAACTATCAAAGGAAGGTTCAACTCTGGGATTTGAATGCAAACATCACCAAGAAGTTTCTGAGAATGCTTCTGTTTAGTTTTTATGTGAAGATATTCCCGTTTCCAAAGAACATCTTCGGAGAGGTCCACATATCCACTTGCAGATTCCACAAAAAGAGAGTTTCAACACTGCTCTATCCATAGGAGGGTTCAACTCTGTGAGTTGAATGCAGTCATCACAGAGAAGTTTCTGAGAAGGCTTCTCTCTAGTTCTTATGTGACGATAATTTCTTTTCCACCACAGGCCTGAAAGCTCTCCAAATGTCCACTTGTAGACACTGCGAAAAGAATGTTTCAGAACTGCTCTATGAAAAGCAACGTGAAACACTGTGAGTTGAACACAAACATCACAGAGAAGTTTCTGAGAATGCTTCTGTTTAGCTTTTCTGGGAAGATTATCATGTTTCCAACGAAATCTTCAAAGACGTCCAAATATCCTCTTCCACATTCCACAGAAAGAGTGTTTGCAAACGGCTGCTTGAAAAGGAACCTTCAACTCTTTGAGTTGAATGCAATCATCACAAAGAAATTTCTGACAATTCTTCTATCTAGCTTTTACGGGAAGATAATTCCTTTTCCACCACAGGCCTCAAAGCCCTCCAAATGTCCACTTGCAGATTCTGGAAAAAGAGTGTTTCAAAGCTTCTCTCTCGAAAGGAAAGTTCAACATCTGTGAGTTGAATGCAAGCATCACAAAGAAGTTTCTGAGAATGCTACTGTCTAGCTTTTATATGAAGCTATTTCCTTTACTACCATAGTCCTCAAAGCATTCCATATCTCCACTTGCAGATTCTACACAAAGAGAGTTTCCAAACTGCTCTGTCAAAGGGAATGTTCAACTCTGTGACTTGAATGCAATCATCACAAAGTAGTTTCTGAGAATGCTTCTGTTTTAGTTCTGTGCGGTTTATCCCGTTTCCATCGAAATCCTCAGAGAGGCTCAAATATCCACGTGCAGATTCTACAAATAGTGTGTTTCGAAAATGCTCCATCCAAAGGAATGTTCAGCTCTGTGAGTTAAACTCAGTCGTCACCAAGAGTTTTCTGTGAATGCTTCTGTTTAGTTCTGTGCGGTTTATCCCTTTTCCAACGAAATCCTCAGAGAGGACCAAGTATCCACTTGCAGTTTCTACAAAAAGAGTGTTTCAAAGCTGAACTATCAAAGAAAGTTTCAGCACTGTGAGTTGAATGCAAACATCACGAAGAGGGTTCTGAGAATGCTTCTGTCTTCTTTTTATAGGAAGTTATTTCCTTTACTACGGTAGGCCTCAAAGAAGTGCAATTATCCCCTTGCAGTCTCTACAAAAAGAGTGTTTCAAACCTGAACTATCAAAGAAAGGTTCCACACTGTGAGTTGAATGCAGACATCACGAAGAAGGTTCTGAGAATGCTTCTGTTTAGTCAGCTGAAATTATCCCGTTTCCAACGAATTCCTCAGAGAGGTCCAAATATGCACTTGCAGATTCTGCAGAAAGTGTGTTTCTAAACTGCTCCATCGCAAGGAATGTTCAGCTCTGTGAGTTCAACTCAATCATCCCAAAGAATTTTCTGAGAAAGCTTCTGTCTAGATGTCATGTGAAGATATACCCGTTTCGAACGAAGGACACAGAGTGGTCCAAATATCCACTTGTAGATCCTGCAAAAAGAGTGTTTCAAACGTGAACTTTGAAAGGAAAGTTCAACTCTGGGATTTGAATGCAAACATCACAAAGAAGATTCTGAGACTGCTTCTGTATAGTTTTTATGTGAAGATGATTCCGTTTCCAACGAAATCTTCAAAGAGGTCTACATGTCCCCTTGCAGATGCCACAGAAAGAGAGTTTCAAAACTGCGCTCTCAAAAGGAGTGTTCAACTCCGTGAGTTGAATGCAGTCATCACAGAGAAGCTTCTGAGAATGCTTCTATCTAGTATTTAGGTGAAGATATTTCCTTTTCCACCACAAACCACAAAGCCCTCCAAACGTCCACTTGCAGATTCTAGAAAAAGAGTGTTTCATAGCTGCTCTTTCCAAAGGAAAGTTCAACTCTGGGAGTTGAATACAAACATCACCAAAAAGTTCCTGAGAATGCATCTGTCTAATTTTTCTATGAAGCTATTCCCTTTACTACCATAGGCCTCAAAGCGCTCCAAATCTCCACTTGCACATTCCACAACAAGAGTGTTTCCAAACTGCTCTGTCAATAGGAATGCTCCACTCCGTGAGGTGAATGCAATCATCACAAAGTAGTTTCTGAGAAGGCTTCCGTGTAGTTAGGTGCAGTTATCGCGTTTCCAACGAAATCCTCAGAGAGGTCCAAATATCCACTTGTAGATTCTACAAAAAGTGTGTCTCAAACCTGCTCCATCCAAAGGAATGTTCAGCTCTGTGAGTTAAACTCAATCATCACAAAGTATTTTCTGAGAATGCTTCTGTCTAGATTTTATGTGAAGATGTACCCGTTTCGAACGAAGGCCACAGAGTGGTCCAAATATCCACTTGCAGATCCTACAAAAAGAGTGATTCAAACCTGAACTATCACAGGAAGGTTCAACTCTGGGATTTGAATGCAAACATCACCAAGAAGTTTCTGAGAATGCTTCTGTTTAGTTTTTATGTGAAGATATTCCCGTTTCCAAAGACATCTTCGGAGAGGTCCACATATCCACTTGCAGATTCCACAAAAAGAGAGTTTCAACAATGCTCTATCCATAGGAGGGTTCAAATCTGTGAGTTGAATGCAATCATCACAGAGAAGTTTCTGAGAAGGCTTCTCTCCAGTTTTTATGGGACCATAATTCGTTTTCCACCACAGGCCTGAAAGCGCTCCAAATGTCCACTTGCAGACACTACGAAAAGCATGTTTCAGAACTACTCTATGAAAAGCAATGTGAAACTCTGGGAGTTGAACACAAACATCACAGAGAAGTTTCTGAGAATGCTTCTGTTTAGCTTTTCTGTGAAGATTCTCCCGTTTCCAACGAAATCTTCAAAGAGGTCTAAATATCCACTTGCAGATTCCACAGAAAGAGTGTTTGGAAACTGCTGTTTGTAAAGGAACCTTCATCTCTGTGAGTTGAATGCAATCATCACAAAGAAGTTTCTGACAATGCTTCTATCTAGCTTTTACGGGAAGTTAATTCCTTTTCCACCACAGGCCTCAAAGCCCTCCAAATGTCCACTTGCAGATTCTGGAAAAAGAGTGTTTCAAAGCTTCTCTCTCGAAAGGAAAGTTCAACTCTGTGAGTTGAATGCAAGCATCACAAAGAAGTTTCTGAGAATGCTACTGTCTAGCTTTTATATGAAGCTATTTCCTTTACTACCATAGGCCTCAAAGCGGTCCATATCTCCACTTGCAGATTCTACACAAAGAGAGTTTCCAAACTGCTCTGTCAAAGGGAATGTTCAACTCTGTGACTTGAATGCAATCATCACAAAGTAGTTTCTGAGAATGCTTCTGTTTAGTTCTGTGCGGTTTATCCCGTTTCCAACGAAATCCTCAGAGAGGCCCAAATATCCACTTGCACATTCTACAAATAGTGTGTTTCGAAACTGCTCCATCCAAAGGAATGTTCAGCTCTGTGAGTTAAACTCAGTCGTCACCAAGAGTTTTCTGTGAATGCTTCTGTTTTAGTTCTGTGCGGGTTATCCCGTTTCCAACGAAATCCTCAGAGAGGTCCAAATATCTACTTGCAGTTTCTACAGAAAGACCGTTTCAAACCTGAACTATCAAAGAAAGGTTCAACACTGTGAGTTGAATGCAAACATCACGAAGAAGGTTCTGAGAATGCTTCTGTTTAGTTCTGTGCAGTTTATCCCGTTTCCAACGAAATGCTCAGAGAGGACCAAATATCCACTTGCAGTTTCTACAAAAAGAGTGTTTCAAAGCTGAACTATCAAAGAAAGGTTCAGCACTGTGAGTTGAATGCAAACATCACGAAGAGGGTTCTGAGAATGCTTCTGTCTTCTTTTTATAGGAAGTTATTTCCTTTACTACGGTACTCCTCAAAGAGTGCAATTATCCCCTTGCAGTTTCTACAAAAAGAGTGTTTCAAACCTGAACTATCAAAGAAAGGTTCCACACTGTGAGTTGAATGCAGACATCACGAAGAAGGTTCTGAGAATGCTTCTGTTTAGTCAGCTGAAATTATCCCGTTTCCAACGAATTCCTCACAGAGGTCCAAATATGCACTTGCAGATTCTGCAGAAAGTGTGTTTCTAAACTGCTACATCGCAAGGAATGCTCAGCTCTGTGAGTTCAACTCAATCATCCCAAAGAATTTTCTGAGAAAGCTTCTGTCTAGATGTCATGTGAAGATATACCCGTTTCGAACGAAGGACACAGAGTGGTCCAAATATCCACTTGTAGATCCTGCAAAAAGAGTGTTTCAAACGTGAACTTTGAAAGGAAAGTTCAACTCTGGGATTTGAATGCAAACATCACAAAGAAGATTACTGAGACTGTCTGTATAGTTTTTATGTGAAGATGATTCCGTTTCCAACGAAATCTTCAAAGAGGTCTACATGTCCCCTTGCAGATGCCACAGAAAGAGAGTTTCAAAACTGCGCTCTCAAAAGGAGTGTTCAACTCCGTGAGTTGAATGCAGTCATCACAGAGAAGCTTCTGAGGATGCTTCTATCTAGTATTTAGGTGAAGATATTTCCTTTTCCACCACAAACCACAAAGCCCTCCAAACGTCCACTTGCAGATTCTAGAAAAACAGTGTTTCATAGCTGCTCTTTCCAAAGGAAAGTTCAACTCTGGGAGTTGAATACAAACATCACCAAAAAGTTCCTGAGAATGCATCTGTCTAGTTTTTCTATGAAGCTATTCCCTTTACTACCATAGGCCTCAAAGCGCTCCAAATCTCCACTTGCACATTCCACAACAAGAGTGTTTCCAAACTGCTCTATCAATAGGAATGTTCAACTCTGTGAGGTGAATGCAATCATCACAAAGCAGTTTCTGAGAATGCTTCCGTTTAGTTAGGTGCAGTTATCGCGTTTCCAACGAAATCCTCAGAGAGGTCCAAATATCCACTTGTAGATTCTACAAAAAGTGTGTCTCAAACCTGCTCCATCCAAAGGAATGTTCAGCTCTGTGAGTTAAACTCAATCATCACAAAGTATTTTCTGAGAATGCTTCTGTCTAGATTTTATGCGAAGATATACCCGTTTCGAACGAAGGCCACAGAGTGGTCCAAATATCCACTTGCAGATCCTACAAAAAGAGTGTTTCAAACCTGAACTATCAAAGGAAGGTTCAACTCTGGGATTTGAATGCAAACATCACCAAGAAGTTTCTGAGAATGCTTCTGTTTAGTTTTTATGTGAAGATATTCCCGTTTCCAAAGACATCTTCGGAGAGGTCCACATATCCACTTGCAGATTCCACAAAAAGAGAGTTTCAACACTGCTCTATCCATAGGAGGGTTCAACTCTGTGAGTTGAATGCAATCATCACAGAGAAGTTTCTGAGAAGGCTTCTCTCCAGTTTTTATGTAACCATAATTCGTTTTCCACCACAGGCCTGAAAGCGCTCCAAATGTCCACTTGCAGACACTACGAAAAGCATGTTTCAGAACTACTCTATGAAAAGCAACGTGAAACTCTGGGAGTTGAACACAAATATCACAGAGAAGTTTCTGAGAATGCTTCTGTTTAGCTTTTCTGTGAAGATTCTCCCGTTTCCAACGAAATCTTCAAAATAGGTCCAAATATCCACTTGCAGATTCCACAGAAAGAGTGATTGGAAACTGCTGTTTAAAAGGAACCTTCAACTCTGTGAGTTGAATGCAATCATCACAAAGAAGTTTCTGACAATGCTTCCATCTAGCTTTTACGGGAAGATAATTCCTTTTCCACCACAGGCCTCAAAGCCCTCCAAATGTCCACTTGCACATTCTGGAAAAAGAGTGTTTCAAAGCTTCTCTCTCAAAAGGAAAGTTCAACTCTGTGAGTTGAATGCAAGCATCACAAAGAAGTTTCTGAGAATGCTACTGTCTAGCTTTTATATGAAGCTATTTCCTTTACTACCATAGGCCTCAAAGCGGTCCATATCTCCACTTGCAGATTCTACACAAAGAGAGTTTCCAAACTGCTCTGTCAAAGGGAATGTTCAACTCTGTGACTTGAATGCAATCATCACAAAGTAGTTTCTGAGAATGCTTCTGTTTAGTTCTGTGCGGTTTATCCCGTTTCCAACGAAATCCTCAGAGAGGCCCAAATATCCACTTGCACATTCTACAAATAGTGTGTTTCGAAACTGCTCCATCCAAAGGAATGTTCAGCTCTGTGAGTTAAACTCAGTCGTCACCAAGAGTTTTCTGTGAATGCTTCTGTTTTAGTTCTGTGCGGGTTATCCCGTTTCCAACGAAATCCTCAGAGAGGTCCAAATATCTACTTGCAGTTTCTACAGAAAGACCGTTTCAAACCTGAACTATCAAAGAAAGGTTCAACACTTGTGAGTTGAATGCAAACATCACGAAGAAGGTTCTGAGAATGCTTCTGTTTAGTTCTGTGCAGTTTATCCCGTTTCCAACGAAATGCTCAGAGAGGACCAAATATCCACTTGCAGTTTCTACAAAAAGAGTGTTTCAAAGCTGAACTATCAAAGAAAGGTTCAGCACTGTGAGTTGAATGCAAACATCACGAAGAGGGTTCTGAGAATGCTTCTGTCTTCTTTTTATAGGAAGTTATTTCCTTTACTACGGTACTCCTCAAAGAGTGCAATTATCCCCTTGCAGTTTCTACAAAAAGAGTGTTTCAAACCTGAACTATCAAAGAAAGGTTCCACACTGTGAGTTGAATGCAGACATCACGAAGAAGGTTCTGAGAATGCTTCTGTTTAGTCAGCTGAAATTATCCCGTTTCCAACGAATTCCTCACAGAGGTCCAAATATGCACTTGCAGATTCTGCAGAAAGTGTGTTTCTAAACTGCTACATCGCAAGGAATGCTCAGCTCTGTGAGTTCAACTCAATCATCCCAAAGAATTTTCTGAGAAAGCTTCTGTCTAGATGTCATGTGAAGATATACCCGTTTCGAACGAAGGACACAGAGTGGTCCAAATATCCACTTGTAGATCCTGCAAAAAGAGTGTTTCAAACGTGAACTTTGAAAGGAAAGTTCAACTCGGGGATTTGAATGCAAACATCACAAAGAAGATTCTGAGACTGCTTCTGTATAGTTTTTATGTGAAGATGATTCCGTTTCCAACGAAATCTTCAAAGAGGTCTACATGTCCCCTTGCAGATGCCACAGAAAGAGAGTTTCAAAACTGCGCTCTCAAAAGGAGTGTTCAACTCCGTGAGTTGAATGCAGTCATCACAGAGAAGCTTCTGAGGATGCTTCTATCTAGTATTTAGGTGAAGATATTTCCTTTTCCACCACAAACCACAAAGCCCTCCAAACGTCCACTTGCAGATTCTAGAAAAACAGTGTTTCATAGCTGCTCTTTCCAAAGGAAAGTTCAACTCTGGGAGTTGAATACAAACATCACCAAAAAGTTCCTGAGAATGCATCTGTCTAGTTTTTCTATGAAGCTATTCCCTTTACTACCACAGGCCTCAAAGCGCTCCAAATCTCCACTTGCACATTCCACAACAAGAGTGTTTCCAAACTGCTCTATCAATAGGAATGTTCAACTCTGTGAGGTGAATGCAATCATCACAAAGCAGTTTCTGAGAATGCTTCCGTTTAGTTAGGTGCAGTTATCCCGTTTCCAACGAAATCCTCAGAGAGGTCCAAATATCCACTTGTAGATTCTACAAAAGGTGTGTCTCAAACCTGCTCCATCCAAAGGAATGTTCAGCTCTGTGAGTTAAACTCAATCATCACAAAGTATTTTCTGAGAATGCTTCTGTCTAGATTTTATGCGAAGATATACCCGTTTCGAACGAAGGCCACAGAGTGGTCCAAATAGCCACTTGCAGATCCTACAGAAAGAGTGTTTCAAACCTGAACTATCAAAGGAAGGTTCAACTCTGGGATTTGAATGCAAACATCACCAAGAAGTTTCTGAGAATGCTTCTGTTTAGTTTTTATGTGAAGATATTCCCGTTTCCAAAGACATCTTCGGAGAGGTCCACATATCCACTTGCAGATTCCACAAAAAGAGAGTTTCAACACTGCTCTATCCATAGGAGGGTTCAACTCTGTGAGTTGAATGCAATCATCACAGAGAAGTTTCTGAGAAGGCTTCTCTCCAGTTTTTATGTGACCATAATTCGTTTTCCACCACAGGCCTGAAAGCGCTCCAAATGTCCACTTGCAGACACTACGAAAAGCATGTTTCAGAACTACTCTATGAAAAGCAACGTGAAACTCTGGGAGTTGAACACAAACATCACAGAGAAGTTTCTGAGAATGCTTCTGTTTTAGTTCTGTGCGTTTTATCCCGTTTCCAACGAAATCCTCAGAGAGGCCCAAATATCCACTTGCAGATTCCACAGAAAGAGTGATTGGAAACTGCTGTTTGAAAAGGAACCTTCAACTCTGTGAGTTGAATGCAATCATCACAAAGAAGTTTCTGACAATGCTTCTGTTTTAGTTCTGTGCGGTTTATCCCGTTTCCAACGAAATCCTCAGAGAGGACCAAACATCCACTTGCAGTTTCTACAAAAAGAGTGTTTCAAAGCTGCACTATCAAAGAAAGGTTCAGCACTGTGAGTTGAATGCAAACATCACGAAGAGGGCTCTGAGAATTCTTCTGTTTAGTTCTGTGCGGTTTATCCCGTTTCCAACGAAATCCTCAGAGAGGACCAAATATCCACTTGCAGTTTCTACAAGAAGAGTGTTTCAAAGCTGAACTATCAAAGAAAGGTTCAGCACTGTGAGTTGAATGCAAACATCACGAAGAGGGTTCTGAGAATGCTTCTGTCTTCTTTCTATAGGAAGTTATTTCCTTTACTACGGTAGGCCTCAAAGAAGTGCAATTATCCCCTTGCAGTTTCTACAAAAAGAGTGTTTCAAACCTGAACTATCAAAGAAAGGTTCCACACTGTGAGTTGAATGCAGACATCACGAAGAAGGTTCTGAGAATGCTTCTGTTTAGTCAGCTGAAATTATCCCGTTTCCAACGAATTCCTCAGAGAGGTCCAAATATGCACTTGCAGATTCTGCAGAAAGTGTGTTTCTAAACTGCTCCATCGCAAGGAATGTTCAGCTCTGTGAGTTCCACTCAATCATCCCAAAGAATTTTCTGAGAAAGCTTCTGTCTAGATGTCGTGTGAAGATATACCCGTTTCGAACGAAGGACACAGAGTGGTCCAAATATCCACTTGTAGATCCTGCAAAAAGAGTGTTTCAAACGTGAACTTTGAAAGGAAAGTTCAACTCTGGGATTTGAATGCAAACATCACAAAGAAGATTCTGAGACTGCTTCTGTATAGTTTTTATGTGAAGATGATTCCGTTTCCAACGAAATCTTCAAAGAGGTCTACATGTCCCCTTGCAGATGCCACAGAAAGGGAGTTTCATAACTGCGCTCTCAAAAGGAGTGTTCAACTCCGTGAGTTGAATGCAGTCATCACAGAGAAGCTTCTGAGAATGCTTCTATCTAGTATTTAGGTGAAGATATTTCCTTTTCCACCACAAACCACAAAGCCCTCCAAACGTCCACTTGCAGATTCTAGAAAAAGAGTGTTTCATAGCTGCTCTTTCCAAAGGAAAGTTCAACTCTGGGAGTTGAATACAAACATCACCAAAAAGTTCCTGAGAATGCATCTGTCTAGTTTTTCTATGAAGCTATTCCCTTTACTACCATAGGCCTCAAAGCGCTCCAAATCTCCACTTGCACATTCCACAACAAGAGTGTTTCCAAACTGCTCTATCAATAGGAATGTTCAACTCTGTGAGGTGAATGCAATCATCACAAAGCAGTTTCTGAGAATGCTTCCGTTTAGTTAGGTGCAGTTATCCCGTTTCCAATGAAATCCTCAGAGAGGTGCAAATATCCACTTGTAGATTCTACAAAAAGTGTGTCTCAAACCTGCTCCATCCAAAGGAATGTTCAGCTCTGTGATTTAAACTCAATCATCACAAAGTATTTTCTGAGAATGCTTCTGTCTAGATTTTATGCGAAGATATACCCGTTTCGAATGAAGGCCACAGAGTGGTCCAAATAGCCACTTGCAGATCCTACAGAAAGAGTGTTTCAAACCTGAACTATCAAAGGAAGGTTCAACTCTGGGATTTGAATGCAAACATCACCAAGAAGTTTCTGAGAATGCTTCTGTTTAGTTTTTATGTGAAGATATTCCCGTTTCCAAAGACATCTTCGGAGAGGTCCACATATCCACTTGCAGATTCCACAAAAAGAGAGTTTCAACACTGCTCTATCCATAGGAGGGTTCAACTCTGTGAGTTGAATGCAATCATCACAGAGAAGTTTCTGAGAAGGCTTCTCTCCAGTTTTTATGTGACCATAATTCGTTTTCCACCACAGGCCTGAAAGCGCTCCAAATGTCCACTTGCAGACACTACGAAAAGCATGTTTCAGAACTACTCTATGAAAAGCAACGTGAAACTCTGGGAGTTGAACACAAACATCACAGAGAAGTTTCTGAGAA
The DNA here is from genome assembly GCF_000001405.40 of Homo sapiens. Taxonomy (NCBI): domain Eukaryota; kingdom Metazoa; phylum Chordata; class Mammalia; order Primates; family Hominidae; genus Homo; species Homo sapiens. The sequence continues at coordinate 23,312,457 of NC_000017.11, read as the reverse complement.
TGCTTCTGTTTTAGTTCTGTGCGTTTTATCCCGTTTCCAACGAAATCCTCAGAGAGGCCCAAATATCCACTTGCAGATTCCACAGAAAGAGTGATTGGAAACTGCTGTTTGAAAAGGAACCTTCAACTCTGTGAGTTGAATGCAATCATCACAAAGAAGTTTCTGACAATGCTTCTGTTTTAGTTCTGTGCGGTTTATCCCGTTTCCAACGAAATCCTCAGAGAGGACCAAACATCCACTTGCAGTTTCTACAAAAAGAGTGTTTCAAAGCTGCACTATCAAAGAAAGGTTCAGCACTGTGAGTTGAATGCAAACATCACGAAGAGGGCTCTGAGAATTCTTCTGTTTAGTTCTGTGCGGTTTATCCCGTTTCCAACGAAATCCTCAGAGAGGACCAAATATCCACTTGCAGTTTCTACAAGAAGAGTGTTTCAAAGCTGAACTATCAAAGAAAGGTTCAGCACTGTGAGTTGAATGCAAACATCACGAAGAGGGTTCTGAGAATGCTTCTGTCTTCTTTCTATAGGAAGTTATTTCCTTTACTACGGTAGGCCTCAAAGAAGTGCAATTATCCCCTTGCAGTTTCTACAAAAAGAGTGTTTCAAACCTGAACTATCAAAGAAAGGTTCCACACTGTGAGTTGAATGCAGACATCACGAAGAAGGTTCTGAGAATGCTTCTGTTTAGTCAGCTGAAATTATCCCGTTTCCAACGAATTCCTCAGAGAGGTCCAAATATGCACTTGCAGATTCTGCAGAAAGTGTGTTTCTAAACTGCTACATCGCAAGGAATGTTCAGCTCTGTGAGTTCCACTCAATCATCCCAAAGAATTTTCTGAGAAAGCTTCTGTCTAGATGTCGTGTGAAGATATACCCGTTTCGAACGAAGGACACAGAGTGGTCCAAATATCCACTTGTAGATCCTGCAAAAAGAGTGTTTCAAACGTGAACTTTGAAAGGAAAGTTCAACTCTGGGATTTGAATGCAAACATCACAAAGAAGATTCTGAGACTGCTTCTGTATAGTTTTGATGTGAAGATGATTCCGTTTCCAACGAAATCTTCAAAGAGGTCTACATGTCCCCTTGCAGATGCCACAGAAAGAGAGTTTCAAAACTGCGCTCTCAAAAGGAGTGTTCAACTCCGTGAGTTGAATGCAGTCATCACAGAGAAGCTTCTGAGAATGCTTCTATCTAGTATTTAGGTGAAGATATTTCCTTTTCCACCACAAACCACAAAGCCCTCCAAACGTCCACTTGCAGATTCTAGAAAAAGAGTGTTTCATAGCTGCTCTTTCCAAAGGAAAGTTCAACTCTGGGAGTTGAATACAAACATCACCAAAAAGTTCCTGAGAATGCATCTGTCTAGTTTTTCTATGAAGCTATTCCCTTTACTACCATAGGCCTCAAAGCGCTCCAAATCTCCACTTGCACATTCCACAACAAGAGTGTTTCCAAACTGCTCTATCAATAGGAATGTTCAACTCTGTGAGGTGAATGCAATCATCACAAAGCAGTTTCTGAGAATGCTTCCGTTTAGTTAGGTGCAGTTATCGCGTTTCCAACGAAATCCTCAGAGAGGTCCCAATATCCACTTGTAGATTCTACAAAAAGTGTGTCTCAAACCTGCTCCATCCAAAGGAATGTTCAGCTCCGTGAGTTAAACTCAATCATCACAAAGTATTTTCTGAGAATGCTTCTGTCTAGATTTTATGCGAAGATATACCCGTTTCTAACGAAGGCCACAGAGTGGTCCAAATAGCCACTTGCAGATCCTACAAAAAGAGTGTTTCAAACCTGAACTATCAAAGGAAGGTTCACCTCTGGGATTTGAATGCAAACATCACCAAGAAGTTTCTGAGAATGCTTCTGTTTAGTTTTTATGTGAAGATATTCCCGTTTCCAAAGACATCTTCGGAGAGGTCCACATATCCACTTGCAGGTTCCACAAAAAGAGAGTTTCAACACTGCTCTATCCATAGGAGGGTTCAACTACTGTGAGTTGAATGCAATCATCACAGAGAAGTTTCTGAGAAGGCTTCTCTCCAGTTTTTATGTGACCATAATTCGTTTTCCACCACAGGCCTGAAAGCGCTCCAAATGTCCACTTGCAGACACTACGAAAAGCATGTTTCAGAACTACTCTATGAAAAGCAACGTGAAACTCTGGGAGTTGAACACAAACATCACAGAGAAGTTTCTGAGAATGCTTCTGTTTTAGTTCTGTGCGTTTTATCCCGTTTCCAACGAAATCCTCAGAGAGGCCCAAATATCCACTTGCAGATTCCACAGAAAGAGTGATTGGAAACTGCTGTTTGAAAAGGAACCTTCAACTCTGTGAGTTGAATGCAATCATCACAAAGAAGTTTCTGACAATGCTTCTGTTTTAGTTCTGTGCGGTTTATCCCGTTTCCAACGAAATCCTCAGAGAGGACCAAACATCCACTTGCAGTTTCTACAAAAAGAGTGTTTCAAAGCTGCACTATCAAAGAAAGGTTCAGCACTGTGAGTTGAATGCAAACATCACGAAGAGGGCTCTGAGAATGCTTCTGTCTTCTTTTTATAGTAAGTTATCTCCTTTACTACGGTAGGCCTCAAAGAAGTGCAATGATCCCCTTGCAGTTTCTACAAAAAGAGTGTTTCAAACCTGAACTATCAAAGAAAGGTTCCACACTGTGAGTTGAATGCAGACATCACGAAGAAGGTTCTGAGAATGCTTCTGTTTAGTCAGCTGAAATTATCCCGTTTCCAACGAATTCCTCAGAGAGGTCCACATATGCACTTGCAGATTCTGCAGAAAGTGTGTTTCTAAACTGCTACATCGCAAGGAGTGTTCAGCTCTGTTTGCTCAACTCAATCATCCCAAAGAATTTTCTGAGAAAGCTTCTGTCTAGATGTCATGTGAAGATATACCCGTTTCGAACGAAGGACACAGAGTGGTCCAAATATCCACTTGTAGATCCTGCAAAAAGAGTGTTTCAAACGTGAACTTTGAAAGGAAAGTTCAACTCTGGGATTTGAATGCAAACATCACAAAGAAGATTCTTGAGACTGCTTCTGTATAGTTTTTATGCGAAGATGATTCCGTTTCCAACGAAATCTTCAAAGAGGTCTACATGTCCCCTTGCAGATGCCACAGAAAGAGAGTTTCAAAACTGCGCTCTCAAAAGGAGTGTTCAACTCCGTGAGTTGAATGCAGTCATCACAGAGAAGCTTCTGAGAATGCTTCTATCTAGTATTTAGGTGAAGATATTTCCTTTTCCACCACAAACCACAAAGCCCTCCAAACGTCCACTTGCAGATTCTAGAAAAAGAGTGTTTCATAGCTGCTCTTTCCAAAGGAAAGTTCAACTCTGGGAGTTGAATACAAACATCACCAAAAAGTTCCTGAGAATGCATCTGTCTAGTTTTTCTATGAAGCTATTCCCTTTACTACCATAGGCCTCAAAGCGCTCCAAATCTCCACTTGCACATTCCACAACAAGAGTGTTTCCAAACTGCTCTATCAATAGGAATGTTCAACTCTGTGAGGTGAATGCAATCATCACAAAGCAGTTTCTGAGAATGCTTCCGTTTAGTTAGGTGCAGTTATCCCGTTTCCAACGAAATCCTCAGAGAGGTCCAAATATCCACTTGTAGATTCTACAAAAAGTGTGTCTCAAACCTGCTCCATCCAAAGGAATGGTCAGCTCTGTGATTTAAACTCAATCATCACAAAGTATTTTCTGAGAATGCTTCTGTCTAGATTTTATGCGAAGATATACCCGTTTCGAACGAAGGCCACAGAGTGGTCCAAATAGCCACTTGCAGATCCTACAGAAAGAGTGTTTCAAACCTGAACTATCAAAGGAAGGTTCAACTCTGGGATTTGAATGCAAACATCACCAAGAAGTTTCTGAGAATGCTTCTGTTTAGTTTTTATGTGAAGATATTCCCGTTTCCAAAGACATCTTCGGAGAGGTCCACATATCCACTTGCAGATTCCACAAAAAGAGAGTTTCAACACTGCTCTATCCATAGGAGGGTTCAACTCTGTGAGTTGAATGCAATCATCACAGAGAAGTTTCTGAGAAGGCTTCTCTCCAGTTTTTATGTGACCATAATTCGTTTTCCACCACAGGCCTGAAAGCGCTCCAAATGTCCACTTGCAGACACTACGAAAAGCATGTTTCAGAACTACTCTATGAAAAGCAACGTGAAACTCTGGGAGTTGAACACAAACATCACAGAGAAGTTTCTGAGAATGCTTCTGTTTTAGTTCTGTGCGTTTTATCCCGTTTCCAACGAAATCCTCAGAGAGGCCCAAATATCCACTTGCAGATTCCACAGAAAGAGTGATTGGAAACTGCTGTTTGAAAAGGAACCTTCAACTCTGTGAGTTGAATGCAATCATCACAAAGAAGTTTCTGACAATGCTTCTGTTTTAGTTCTGTGCGGTTTATCCCGTTTCCAACGAAATCCTCAGAGAGGACCAAACATCCACTTGCAGTTTCTACAAAAAGAGTGTTTCAAAGCTGCACTATCAAAGAAAGGTTCAGCACTGTGAGTTGAATGCAAACATCACGAAGAGGGCTCTGAGAATTCTTCTGTTTAGTTCTGTGCGGTTTATCCCGTTTCCAACGAAATCCTCAGAGAGGACCAAATATCCACTTGCAGTTTCTACAAGAAGAGTGTTTCAAAGCTGAACTATCAAAGAAAGGTTCAGCACTGTGAGTTGAATGCAAACATCACGAAGAGGGTTCTGAGAATGCTTCTGTCTTCTTTCTATAGGAAGTTATTTCCTTTACTACGGTAGGCCTCAAAGAAGTGCAATTATCCCCTTGCAGTTTCTACAAAAAGAGTGTTTCAAACCTGAACTATCAAAGAAAGGTTCCACACTGTGAGTTGAATGCAGACATCACGAAGAAGGTTCTGAGAATGCTTCTGTTTAGTCAGCTGAAATTATCCCGTTTCCAACGAATTCCTCAGAGAGGTCCAAATATGCACTTGCAGATTCTGCAGAAAGTGTGTTTCTAAACTGCTACATCGCAAGGAATGTTCAGCTCTGTGAGTTCCACTCAATCATCCCAAAGAATTTTCTGAGAAAGCTTCTGTCTAGATGTCGTGTGAAGATATACCCGTTTCGAACGAAGGACACAGAGTGGTCCAAATATCCACTTGTAGATCCTGCAAAAAGAGTGTTTCAAACGTGAACTTTGAAAGGAAAGTTCAACTCTGGGATTTGAATGCAAACATCACAAAGAAGATTCTGAGACTGCTTCTGTATAGTTTTTATGTGAAGATGATTCCGTTTCCAACGAAATCTTCAAAGAGGTCTACATGTCCCCTTGCAGATGCCACAGAAAGAGAGTTTCAAAACTGCGCTCTCAAAAGGAGTGTTCAACTCCGTGAGTTGAATGCAGTCATCACAGAGAAGCTTCTGAGAATGCTTCTATCTAGTATTTAGGTGAAGATATTTCCTTTTCCACCACAAACCACAAAGCCCTCCAAACGTCCACTTGCAGATTCTAGAAAAAGAGTGTTTCATAGCTGCTCTTTCCAAAGGAAAGTTCAACTCTGGGAGTTGAATACAAACATCACCAAAAAGTTCCTGAGAATGCATCTGTCTAATTTTTCTATGAAGCTATTCCCTTTACTACCATAGGCCTCAAAGCGCTCCAAATCTCCACTTGCACATTCCACAAGAAGAGTGTTTTCAAACTGCTCTATCAATAGGAATGTTCAACTCTGTGAGGTGAATGCAATCATCACAAAGCAGTTTCTGAGAATGCTTCCGTTTAGTTAGGTGCAGTTATCCCGTTTCCAACGAAATCCTCAGAGAGGTCCAAATATCCACTTGTAGATTCTACAAAAAGTGTGTCTCAAACCTGCTCCATCCAAAGGAATGTTCAGCTCTGTGAGTTCAACTCAATCATCACAAAGTATTTTCTGAGAATGCTTCTGTCTAGATTTTATTCGAAGATGTACCCGTTTCGAACGAAGGCCACAGAGTGGTCCAAATATCCACTTGCAGATCCTACAAAAAGAGTGTTTCAAACCTGAACTCTCAAAGGAAGGTTCAACTCTGGGATTTGAATAGAAACATCACCAAGAAGTTTCTGAGAATGCTTCTGTTTAGTTTTTATGTGAAGATATTCCCGTTTCCAAAGACATCTTCGGAGAGGTCCACATATCCACTTGCAGATTCCACAAAAAGAGAGTTTCAACACTGCTCTATCCATAGGAGGGTTCAACTCTGTGAGTTGAATGCAATCATCACAGAGAAGTTTCTGAGAAGGCTTCTCTCCAGTTTTTATGTGACCATAATTCGTTTTCCACCACAGGCCGGAAAGCGCTCCAAATGACCACTTGCAGACACTACGAAAAGCATGTTTCAGAACTACTCTATGAGAAGCAATGTGAAACTCTGGGAGTTGAACACAAACATCACAGAGAAGTTTCTGAGAATGCTTCTGTTTAGCTTTTCTGTGAAGATTCTCCCGTTTCCAACGAAATCTTCAAAGAGGTCCAAATATCCACTTGCAGATTCCACAGAAAGAGTGTTTGGAAACTGCTGTTTGGAAAGGAACCTTCAACTCTGTGAGTTGAATGCAATCATCACAAAGAAGTTTCTGACAATGCTTCTATCTAGCTTTTACGGGAAGATAATTCCTTTTCCACCACAGGCCTCAAAGCCCTCCAAATGTCCACTTGCACATTCTGGAAAAAGAGTGTTTCAAAGCTTCTCTCTCGAAAGGAAAGTTCAACTCTGTGAGTTGAATGCAAGCATCACAAAGAAGGTCCTGAGAATGCTACTGTCTAGCTTTTATATGAAGCTATTTCCTTTACTACCATAGGCCTCAAAGCGGTCCATATCTCCACTTGCAGATTCTACACAAAGAGAGTTTCCAAACTGCTCTGTCAAAGGGAATGTTCAACTACTGTGACTTGAATGCAATCATCACAAAGTAGTTTCTGAGAATGCTTCTGTTTAGTTCTGTGCGGTTTATCCCGTTTCCAACGAAATCCTCAGAGAGGCCCAAATATCCACTTGCACATTCTACAAATAGTGTGTTTCGAAACTGCTCCATCCAAAGGAATGTTCAGCTCTGTGAGTTAAACTCAGTCGTCACCAAGAGTTTTCTGTGAATGCTTCTGTTTTAGTTCTGTGCGGTTTATCCCGTTTCCAACGAAATCCTCAGAGAGGTCCAAATATCTACTTGCAGTTTCTACAGAAAGACCGTTTCAAACCTGAACTATCAAAGAAAGGTTCAACACTGTGAGTTGAATGCAAACATCACGAAGAAGGTTCTGAGAATGCTTCTGTTTAGTTCTGTGCGGTTTATCCCGTTTCCAACGAAATCCTCAGAGAGGACCAAATATCCACTTGCAGTTTCTACAAGAAGAGTGTTTCAAAGCTGAACTATCAAAGAAAGGTTCAGCACTGTGAGTTCAATGCAAACATCACGAAGAGGGTTCTGAGAATGCTTCTGTCTTCTTTCTATAGGAAGTTATTTCCTTTACTACGGTAGGCCTCAAAGAAGTGCAATTATCCCCTTGCAGTTTCTACAAAAAGAGTGTTTCAAACCTGAACTATCAAAGAAAGGTTCCACACTGTGAGTTGAATGCAGACATCACGAAGAAGGTTCTGAGAATGCTTCTGTTTAGTCAGCTGAAATTATCCCGTTTCCAACGAATTCCTCAGAGAGGTCCAAATATGCACTTGCAGATTCTGCAGAAAGTGTGTTTCTAAACTGCTACATCGCAAGGAATGTTCAGCTCTGTGAGTTCCACTCAATCATCCCAAAGAATTTTCTGAGAAAGCTTCTGTCTAGATGTCGTGTGAAGATATACCCGTTTCGAACGAAGGACACAGAGTGGTCCAAATATCCACTTGTAGATCCTGCAAAAAGAGTGTTTCAAACGTGAACTTTGAAAGGAAAGTTCAACTCTGGGATTTGAATGCAAACATCACAAAGAAGATTCTGAGACTGCTTCTGTATAGTTTTTATGTGAAGATGATTCCGTTTCCAACGAAATCTTCAAAGAGGTCTACATGTCCCCTTGCAGATGCCACAGAAAGAGAGTTTCAAAACTGCGCTCTCAAAAGGAGTGTTCAACTCCGTGAGTTGAATGCAGTCATCACAGAGAAGCTTCTGAGAATGCTTCTATCTAGTATTTAGGTGAAGATATTTCCTTTTCCACCACAAACCACAAAGCCCTCCAAACGTCCACTTGCAGATTCTAGAAAAAGAGTGTTTCATAGCTGCTCTTTCCAAAGGAAAGTTCAACTCTGGGAGTTGAATACAAACATCACCAAAAAGTTCCTGAGAATGCATCTGTCTAGTTTTTCTATGAAGCTATTCCCTTTACTACCATAGGCCTCAAAGCGCTCCAAATCACCACTTGCACATTCCACAACAAGAGTGTTTCCAAACTGCTCTATCAATAGGAATGTTCAACTCTGTGAGGTGAATGCAATCATCACAAAGCAGTTTCTGAGAATGCTTCCGTTTAGTTAGGTGCAGTTATCCCGTTTCCAACGAAATCCTCAGAGAGGTCCAAATATCCACTTGTAGATTCTACAAAAAGTGTGTCTCAAACCTGTTCCATCCAAAGGAATGTCCAGCTCTGTGAGTTAAACTCAATCATCACAAAGTATTTTCTGAGAATGCTTCTGTCTAGATTTTATGCGAAGATATACCCGTTTCGAACGAAGGCCACAGGGTGGTCCAAATAGCCACTTGCAGATCCTACAGAAAGAGTGTTTCAAACCTGAACTATCAAAGGAAGGTTCAACTCTGGGATTTGAATGCAATCATCACCAAGAAGTTTCTGAGAATGCTTCTGTTTAGTTTTTATGTGAAGATATTCCCGTTTCCAAAGACATCTTCGGAGAGGTCCACATATCCACTTGCAGATTCCACAAAAAGAGAGTTTCAACACTGCTCTATCCATAGGAGGGTTCAACTCTGTGAGTTGAATGCAATCATCACAGAGAAGTTTCTGAGAAGGCTTCTCTCCAGTTTTTATGTGACCATAATTCGTTTTCCACCACAGGCCTGAAAGCGCTCCAAATGTCCACTTGCAGACACTACGAAAAGCATGTTTCAGAACTACTCTATGAAAAGCAACGTGAAACTCTGGGAGTTGAACACAAACATCACAGAGAAGTTTCTGAGAATGCTTCTGTTTTAGTTCTGTGCGTTTTATCCCGTTTCCAACGAAATCCTCAGAGAGGCCCAAATATCCACTTGCAGATTCCACAGAAAGAGTGATTGGAAACTGCTGTTTGAAAAGGAACCTTCAACTCTGTGAGTTGAATGCAATCATCACAAAGAAGTTTCTGACAATGCTTCTGTTTTAGTTCTGTGCGGTTTATCCCGTTTCCAACGAAATCCTCAGAGAGGACCAAACATCCACTTGCAGTTTCTACAAAAAGAGTGTTTCAAAGCTGCACTATCAAAGAAAAGTTCAGCACTGTGAGTTGAATGCAAACATCACGAAGAGGGCTCTGAGAATTCTTCTGTTTAGTTCTGTGCGGTTTATCCCGTTTCCAACGAAATCCTCAGAGAGGACCAAATATCCACTTGCAGTTTCTACAAGAAGAGTGTTTCAAAGCTGAACTATCAAAGAAAGGTTCAGCACTGTGAGTTGAATGCAAACATCACGAAGAGGGTTCTGAGAATGCTTCTGTCTTCTTTCTATAGGAAGTTATTTCCTTTACTACGGTAGGCCTCAAAGAAGTGCAATTATCCCCTTGCAGTTTCTACAAAAAGAGTGTTTCAAACCTGAACTATCAAAGAAAGGTTCCACACTGTGAGTTGAATGCAGACATCACGAAGAAGGGTGTCTGAGAATGCTTCTGTTTAGTCAGCTGAAATTATCCCGTTTCCAACGAATTCCTCAGAGAGGTCCAAATATGCACTTGCAGATTCTGCAGAAAGTGTGTTTCTAAACTGCTACATCGCAAGGAATGTTCAGCTCTGTGAGTTCCACTCAATCATCCCAAAGAATTTTCTGAGAAAGCTTCTGTCTAGATGTCGTGTGAAGATATACCCGTTTCGAACGAAGGACACAGAGTGGTCCAAATATCCACTTGTAGATCCTGCAAAAAGAGTGTTTCAAACGTGAACTTTGAAAGGAAAGTTCAACTCTGGGATTTGAATGCAAACATCACAAAGAAGATTCTGAGACTGCTTCTGTATAGTTTTTATGTGAAGATGATTCCGTTTCCAACGAAATCTTCAAAGAGGTCTACATGTCCCCTTGCAGATGCCACAGAAAGAGAGTTTCAAAACTGCGCTCTCAAAAGGAGTGTTCAACTCCGTGAGTTGAATGCAGTCATCACAGAGAAGCTTCTGAGAATGCTTCTATCTAGTATTTAGGTGAAGATATTTCCTTTTCCACCACAAACCACAAAGCCCTCCAAACGTCCACTTGCAGATTCTAGAAAAAGAGTGTTTCATAGCTGCTCTTTCCAAAGGAAAGTTCAACTCTGGGAGTTGAATACAAACATCACCAAAAAGTTCCTGAGAATGCATCTGTCTAGTTTTTCTATGAAGCTATTCCCTTTACTACCACAGGCCTCAAAGCGCTCCAAATCTCCACTTGCACATTCCGCAACAAGAGTGTTTCCAAACTGCTCTATCAATAGGAATGTTCAACTCTGTGAGGTGAATGCAATCATCACAAAGCAGTTTCTGAGAATGCTTCCGTTTAGTTAGGTGCAGTTATCCCGTTTCCAACGAAATCCTCAGAGAGGTCCAAATATCCACTTGTAGATTCTACAAAAAGTGTGTCTCAAACCTGCTCCATCCAAAGGAATGGTCAGCTCTGTGATTTAAACTCAATCATCACAAAGTATTTTCTGAGAATGCTTCTGTCTAGATTTTATGCGAAGATATACCCGTTTCGAACGAAGGCCACAGAGTGGTCCAAATAGCCACTTGCAGATCCTACAGAAAGAGTGTTTCAAACCTGAACTATCAAAGGAAGGTTCAACTCTGGGATTTGAATGCAAACATCACCAAGAAGTTTCTGAGAATGCTTCTGTTTAGTTTTTATGTGAAGATATTCCCGTTTCCAAAGACATCTTCGGAGAGGTCCACATATCCACTTGCAGATTCCACAAAAAGAGAGTTTCAACACTGCTCTATCCATAGGAGGGTTCAACTCTGTGAGTTGAATGCAATCATCACAGAGAAGTTTCTGAGAAGGCTTCTCTCCAGTTTTTATGTGACCATAATTCGTTTTCCACCACAGGCCTGAAAGCGCTCCAAATGTCCACTTGCAGACACTACGAAAAGCATGTTTCAGAACTACTCTATGAAAAGCAACGTGAAACTCTGGGAGTTGAACACAAACATCACAGAGAAGTTTCTGAGAATGCTTCTGTTTAGCTTTTCTGTGAAGATTCTCCCGTTTCCAACGAAATCTTCAAAGAGGTCGAAATATCCACTTGCAGATTCCACAGAAAGAGTGATTGGAAACTGCTGTTTGAAAAGGAACCTTCAACTCTGTGAGTTGAATGCAGTCATCACAAAGAAGTTTCTGACAATGCTTCTATCTAGCTTTTACGGGAAGATAATTCCTTTTCCACCCCAGGCCTCAAAGCTCCCCAAATGTCCACTTGCACATTCTGGAAAAAGAGTGTTTCAAAGCTTCTCTCTCGAAAGGAAAGTTCAACTCTGTGAGTTGAATGCAAGCATCACAAAGAAGTTTCTGAGAATGCTACTGTCTAGCTTTTATATGAAGCTATTTCCTTTACTACCATAGGCCTCAAAGCGGTCCATATCTCCACTTGCAGATTCTACACAAAGAGAGTTTCCAAACTGCTCTGTCAAAGGGAATGTTCAACTCTGTGACTTGAATGCAATCATCACAAAGTAGTTTCTGAGAATGCTTCTGTTTTAGTTCTGTGCGTTTTATCCCGTTTCCAACGAAATCCTCAGAGAGGCCCAAATATCCACTTGCAGATTCTACAAATAGTGTGTTTCGAAACTGCTCCATCCAAAGGAATGTTCAGCTCTGTGAGTTAAACTCAGTCGTCACCAAGAGTTTTCTGTGAATGCTTCTGTTTTAGTTCTGTGCGGTTTATCCCGTTTCCAACGAAATCCTCAGAGAGGACCAAATATCCACTTGCAGTTTCTACAAAAAGAGTGTTTCAAAGCTGCACTATCAAAGAAAGGTTCAGCACTGTGAGTTGAATGCAAACATCACGAAGAGGGCTCTGAGAATTCTTCTGTTTAGTTCTGTGCGGTTTATCCCGTTTCCAACGAAATCCTCAGAGAGGACCAAATATCCACTTGCAGTTTCTACAAGAAGAGTGTTTCAAAGCTGAACTATCAAAGAAAGGTTCAGCACTGTGAGTTGAATGCAAACATCACGAAGAGGGTTCTGAGAATGCTTCTGTCTTCTTTCTATAGGAAGTTATTTCCTTTACTACGGTAGGCCTCAAAGAAGTGCAATTATCCCCTTGCAGTTTCTACAAAAAGAGTGTTTCAAACCTGAGCTATCAAAGAAAGGTTCCACACTGTGAGTTGAATGCAGACATCACGAAGAAGGTTCTGAGAATGCTTCTGTTTAGTCAGCTGAAATTATCCCGTTTCCAACGAATTCCTCAGAGAGGTCCAAATATGCACTTGCAGATTCTGCAGAAAGTGTGTTTCTAAACTGCTACATCGCAAGGAATGTTCAGCTCTGTGAGTTCAACTCAATCATCCCAAAGAATTTTCTGAGAAAGCTTCTGTCTAGATGTCGTGTGAAGATATACCCGTTTCGAACGAAGGACACAGAGTGGTCCAAATATCCACTTGTAGATCCTGCAAAAAGAGTGTTTCAAACGTGAACTTTGAAAGGAAAGTTCAACTCTGGGATTTGAATGCAAACATCACAAAGAAGATTCTGAGACTGCTTCTGTATAGTTTGTATGTGAAGATGATTCCGTTTCCAACGAAATCTTCAGAGAGGTCTACATGTCTCTCTTGCAGATGCCACAGAAAGAGAGTTTCAAAACTGCACTCTCAAAAGGAGTGTTCAACTCCGTGAGTTGAATGCAGTCATCACAGAGAAGCTTCTGAGAATGCTTCTATCTAGTATTTAGGTGAAGATATTTCCTTTTCCACCACAAACCACAAAGCCCTCCAAACGTCCACTTGCAGATTCTAGAAAAAGAGTGTTTCATAGCTGCTCTTTCCAAAGGAAAGTTCAACTCTGGGAGTTGAATACAAACATCACCAAAAAGTTCCTGAGAATGCATCTGTCTAGTTTTTCTATGAAGCTATTCCCTTTACTACCATAGGCCTCAAAGCGCTCCAAATCTCCACTTGCACATTCCACAACAAGAGTGTTTCCAAACTGCTCTATCAATAGGAATGTTCAACTCTGTGAGGTGAATGCAATCATCACAAAGCAGTTTCTGAGAATGCTTCCGTTTAGTTAGGTGCAGTTATCCCGTTTCCAACGAAATCCTCAGAGAGGTCCAAATATCCACTTGTAGATTCTACAAAAAGTGTGTCTCAAACCTGCTCCATCCAAAGGAATGGTCAGCTCTGTGATTTAAACTCAATCATCACAAAGTATTTTCTGAGAATGCTTCTGTCTAGATTTTATGCGAAGATATACCCGTTTCGAACGAAGGCCACAGAGTGGTCCAAATAGCCACTTGCAGATCCTACAGAAAGAGTGTTTCAAACCTGAACTATCAAAGGAAGGTTCAACTCTGGGATTTGAATGCAAACATCACCAAGAAGTTTCTGAGAATGCTTCTGTTTAGTTTTTATGTGAAGATATTCCCGTTTCCAAAGACATCTTCGGAGAGGTCCACATATCCACTTGCAGATTCCACAAAAAGAGAGTTTCAACACTGCTCTATCCATAGGAGGGTTCAACTCTGTGAGTTGAATGCAATCATCACAGAGAAGTTTCTGAGAAGGCTTCTCTCCAGTTTTTATGTGACCATAATTCGTTTTCCACCACAGGCCTGAAAGCGCTCCAAATGTCCACTTGCAGACACTACGAAAAGCATGTTTCAGAACTACTCTATGAAAAGCAACGTGAAACTCTGGGAGTTGAACACAAACATCACAGAGAAGTTTCTGAGAATGCTTCTGTTTTAGTTCTGTGCGTTTTATCCCGTTTCCAACGAAATCCTCAGAGAGGCCCAAATATCCACTTGCAGATTCCACAGAAAGAGTGATTGGAAACTGCTGTTTGAAAAGGAACCTTCAACTCTGTGAGTTGAATGCAATCATCACAAAGAAGTTTCTGACAATGCTTCTGTTTTAGTTCTGTGCGGTTTATCCCGTTTCCAACGAAATCCTCAGAGAGGACCAAACATCCACTTGCAGTTTCTACAAAAAGAGTGTTTCAAAGCTGCACTATCAAAGAAAGGTTCAGCACTGTGAGTTGAATGCAAACATCACGAAGAGGGCTCTGAGAATTCTTCTGTTTAGTTCTGTGCGGTTTATCCCGTTTCCAACGAAATCCTCAGAGAGGACCAAATATCCACTTGCAGTTTCTACAAGAAGAGTGTTTCAAAGCTGAACTATCAAAGAAAGGTTCAGCACTGTGAGTTGAATGCAAACATCACGAAGAGGGTTCTGAGAATGCTTCTGTCTTCTTTCTATAGGAAGTTATTTCCTTTACTACGGTAGGCCTCAAAGAAGTGCAATTATCCCCTTGCAGTTTCTACAAAAAGAGTGTTTCAAACCTGAACTATCAAAGAAAGGTTCCACACTGTGAGTTGAATGCAGACATCACGAAGAAGGTTCTGAGAATGCTTCTGTTTAGTCAGCTGAAATTATCCCGTTTCCAACGAATTCCTCAGAGAGGTCCAAATATGCACTTGCAGATTCTGCAGAAAGTGTGTTTCTAAACTGCTACATCGCAAGGAATGTTCAGCTCTGTGAGTTCCACTCAATCATCCCAAAGAATTTTCTGAGAAAGCTTCTGTCTAGATGTCGTGTGAAGATATACCCGTTTCGAACGAAGGACACAGAGTGGTCCAAATATCCACTTGTAGATCCTGCAAAAAGAGTGTTTCAAACGTGAACTTTGAAAGGAAAGTTCAACTCTGGGATTTGAATGCAAACATCACAAAGAAGATTCTGAGACTGCTTCTGTATAGTTTTTATGTGAAGATGATTCCGTTTCCAACGAAATCTTCAAAGAGGTCTACATGTCCCCTTGCAGATGCCACAGAAAGAGAGTTTCAAAACTGCGCTCTCAAAAGGAGTGTTCAACTCCGTGAGTTGAATGCAGTCATCACAGAGAAGCTTCTGAGAATGCTTCTATCTAGTATTTAGGTGAAGATATTCCTTTTCCACCACAAACCACAAAGCCCTCCAAACGTCCACTTGCAGATTCTAGAAAAAGAGTGTTTCATAGCTGCTCTTTCCAAAGGAAAGTTCAACTCTGGGAGTTGAATACAAACATCACCAAAAAGTTCCTGAGAATGCATCTGTCTAGTTTTTCTATGAAGCTATTCCCTTTACTACCATAGGCCTCAAAGCGCTCCAAATCTCCACTTGCACATTCCACAAGAAGAGTGTTTCCAAACTGCTCTATCAATAGGAATGTTCAACTCTGTGAGGTGAATGCAATCATCACAAAGCAGTTTCTGAGAATGCTTCCGTTTAGTTAGGTGCAGTTATCCCGTTTCCAACGAAATCCTCAGAGAGGTCCAAATATCCACTTGTAGATTCTACAAAAAGTGTGTCTCAAACCTGCTCCATCCAAAGGAATGTTCAGCTCTGTGAGTTCAACTCAGTCATCAAAAAGTATTTTCTGAGAATGCTTCTGTCTAGATTTTATGCGAAGATGTACCCGTTTCGAACGAAGGCCACAGAGTGGTCCAAATATCCACTTGCAGATCCTACAAAAAGAGTGTTTCAAACCTGAACTCTCAAAGGAAGGTTCAACTCTGGGATTTGAATGCAAACATCACGAAGAAGTTTCTGAGAATGCTTCTGTTTAGTTATTATGTGAAGATATTCCCGTTTCCAAAGACATCTTCGGAGAGGTCCACATATCCACTTGCAGATTCCACAAAAAGAGAGTTTCAACACTGCTCTATCCATAGGAGGGTTCAACTCTGTGAGTTGAATGCAATCATCACAGAGAAGTTTCTGAGAAAGCTTCTCTCCAGTTTTTATGTGACCATAATTCGTTTTCCACCACAGGACTGGAAGCGCTCCAAATGTCCACTTGTAGACACTACGAAAAGCATGTTTCAGAACTACTCTATGAAAAGCAATGTGAAAGTCTGGGAGTTGAACACAAACATCACAGAGAAGTTTCTGAGAATGCTTCTGTTTAGCTTTTCTGTGAAGATTCTCCCGTTTCCAACGAAATCTTCAAAATAGGTCGAAATATCCACTTGCAGATTCCACAGAAAGAGTGATTGGAAACTGCTCTTTGAAAAGGAACCTTCAACTCTGTGAGTTGAATGCAATCATCACAAAGAAGTTTCTGACAATGCTTCTATCTAGCTTTTACGGGAAGATAATTCCTTTTCCACCACAGGCCTCAAAGCCCTCCAAATGTCCACTTGCAGATTCTGGAAAAAGAGTGTTTCAAAGCTTCTCTCTCGAAAGGAAAGTTCAACTCTGTGAGTTGAATGCAAGCATCACAAAGAAGTTTCTGAGAATGCTACTGTCTAGCTTTTATATGAAGCTATTTCCTTTACTACCATAGGCCTCAAAGCGGTCCATATCTCCACTTGCAGATTCTACACAAAGAGAGTTTCCAAACTGCTCTGTCAAAGGGAATGTTCAACTCTGTGACTTGAATGCAATCATCACAAAGTAGTTTCTGAGAATGCTTCTCTTTAGTTCTGTGCGGTTTATCCCGTTTCCAACGAAATCCTCAGAGAGGCCCAAATATCCACTTGCACATTCTACAAATAGTGCGTTTCGAAACTGCTCCATCCAAAGGAATGTTCAGCTCTGTGAGTTAAACTCAGTCGTCACCAAGAGTTTTCTGTGAATGCTTCTGTTTTAGTTCTGTGCGGTTTATCCCGTTTCCAACGAAATCCTCAGAGAGGTCCAAATATCTACTTGCAGTTTCTACAGAAAGACCTTTTCAAACCTGAACTATCAAAGAAAGGTTCAACACTGTGAGTTGAATGCAAACATCACGAAGAAGGTTCTGAGAATGCTTCTGTCTTCTTTCTATAGGAAGTTATTTCCTTTACTACGGTAGGCCTCAAAGAAGTGCAATGATCCCCTTGCAGTTTCTACAAAAAGAGTGCTTCAAACCTGAACTATCAAAGAAAGGTTCCACACTGTGAGTTGAATGCAAACATCACGAAGAGGGTTCTGAGAATGCTTCTGTTTAGTCAGCTGAAATTATCCCGTTTCCAACGAATTCCTCAGAGAGGTCCAAATATGCACTTGCAGATTCTGCAGAAAGTGTGTTTCTAAACTGCTACATCGCAAGGAATGTTCAGCTCTGTGAGTTCCACTCAATCATCCCAAAGAATTTTCTGAGAAAGCTTCTGTCTAGATGTCATGTGAAGATATACCCGTTTCGAACGAAGGACACAGAGTGGTCCAAATATCCACTTGTAGATCCTGCAAAAAGAGTGTTTCAAACGTGAACTTTGAAAGGAAAGTTCAACTCTGGGATTTGAATGCAAACATCACAAAGAAGATTCTGAGACTGCTTCTGTATAGTTTCTATGTGAAGATGATTCCGTTTCCAACGAAATCTTCAAAGAGGTCTACATGTCCCCTTGCAGATGCCACAGAAAGAGAGTTTCAAAACTGCGCTCTCAAAAGGAGTGTTCAACTCCGTGAGTTGAATGCAGTCATCACAGAGAAGCTTCTGAGAATGCTTCTATCTAGTATTTAGGTGAAGATATTTCCTTTTCCACCACAAACCACAAAGCCCTCCAAACGTCCACTTCCAGATTCTAGAAAAAGAGTGTTTCATAGCTGCTCTTTCCAAAGGAAAGTTCAACTGCTGGGAGTTGAATACAAACATCACCAAAAAGTTCCTGAGAATGCATCTGTCTAGTTTTTCTATGAAGCTATTCCCTTTACTACCATAGGCCTCAAAGCGCTCCAAATCTCCACTTGCACATTCCACAACAAGAGTGTTTCCAAACTGCTCTATCAATAGGAATGTTCAACTCTGGTGAGGTGAATGCAATCATCACAAAGCAGTTTCTGAGAATGCTTCCGTTTAGTTAGGTGCAGTTATCCCGTTTCCAACGAAATCCTCAGAGAGGTCCAAATATCCACTTGTAGATTCTACAAAAAGTGTGTCTCAAACCTGCTCCATCCAAAGGAATGTTCAGCTCTGTGAGTTCAACTCAATCATCACAAAGTATTTTACTGTGAATGCTTCTGTCTAGATTTTATGCGAAGATGTACCCGTTTCGAATGAAGGCCACAGAGTGGTCCAAATATCCACTTGCAGATCCTACAAAAAGAGTGTTTCAAACCTGAACTCTCAAAGGAAGGTTCAACTCTGGGATTTGAATGCAAACATCACCAAGAAGTTTCTGAGAATGCTTCTGTTTAGTTTTTATGTGAAGATATTCCCGTTTCCAAAGACATCTTCGGAGAGGTCCACATATCCACTTGCGGATTCCACAAAAAGAGAGTTTCAACACTGCTCTATCCATAGGAGGGTTCAACTCTGTGAGTTGAATGCAATCATCACAGAGAAGTTTCTGAGAAGGCTTCTCTCCAGTTTTTATGTGACCATAATTCGTTTTCCACCACAGGCCTGAAAGCGCTCCAAATGTCCACTTGCAGACACTACGAAAAGCATGTTTCAGAACTACTCTATGAGAAGCAATGTGAAACTCTGGGAGTTGAACACAAACATCACAGAGAAGTTTCTGAGAATGCTTCTGTTTAGCTTTTCTGTGAAGATTCTCCCGTTTCCAACGAAATCTTCAAAGAGGTCCAAATATCCACTTGCAGATTCCACAGAAAGAGTGATTGGAAACTGCTCTTTGAAAAGGAACCTTCAACTCTGTGACTTGAATGCAATCATCACAAAGAAGTTTCTGACAATGCTTCTATCTAGCTTTTACGGGAAGATAATTCCTTTTCCACCACAGGCCTCAAAGCCCTCCAAATGTCCACTTGCAGATTCTGGAAAAAGAGTGTTTCAAAGCTTCTCTCTCGAAAGGAAAGTTCAACTCTGTGAGTTGAATGCAAGCATCACAAAGAAGTTTCTGAGAATGCTGCTGTCTAGCTTTTATATGAAGCTATTTCCTTTACTACCATAGGCCTCAAAGCGGTCCATATCTCCACTTGCAGATTCTACGCAAAGAGAGTTTCCAAACTGCTCTGTCAAAGGGAATGTTCAACTCTGTGACTTGAATGCAATCATCACAAAGTAGTTTCTGAGAATGCTTCTGTTTAGTTCTGTGCGGTTTATCCCGTTTCCAACGAAATCCTCAGAGAGGCCCACATATCCACTTGCACATTCTACAAATAGTGTGTTTCGAAACTGCTCCATCCAAAGGAATGTTCAGCTCTGTGAGTTAAACTCAGTCGTCACCAAGAGTTTTCTGTGAATGCTTCTGTTTTAGTTCTGTGCGGTTTATCCCGTTTCCAACGAAATCCTCAGAGAGGTCCAAATATCTACTTGCAGTTTCTACAGAAAGACCGTTTCCAACCTGAACTATCAAAGAAAGGTTCAACACTGTGAGTTGAATGCAAACATCACGAAGAAGGTTCTGAGAATGCTTCTGTTTAGTTCTGTGCGGTTTATCCCGTTTCCAACGAAATCCTCAGAGAGGACCAAATATCCACTTGCAGTTTCTACAAAAAGAGTGTTTCAAAGCTGAACTATCAAAGAAAGGTTCAGCACCGTGAGTTGAATGCAAACATCACGAAGAGGGTTCTGAGAATGCTTCTGTCTTCTTTTTATAGGAAGTTATCTCCTTTACTACGGTAGGCCTCAAAGAAGTGCAATGATCCCCTTGCAGTTTCTACAAAAAGAGTATTTCAAACCTGAACTATCAAAGAAAGGTTCCACACTGTGAGTTGAATGCAGACATCACGAAGAAGGTTCTGAGAATGCTTCTGTTTAGTCAGCTGAAATTATCCCGTTTCCAACGAATTCCTCAGAGAGGTCCAAATATGCACTTGCAGATTCTGCAGAAAGTGTGTTTCTAAACTGCTACATCGCAAGGAATGTTCAGCTCTGTGAGTTCCACTCAATCATCCCAAAGAATTTTCTCAGAAAGCTTCTGTCTAGATGTCATGTGAAGATATACCCGTTTCGAACGAAGGACACAGAGTGGTCCAAATATCCACTTGCAGATCCTGCAAAAAGAGTGTTTCAAACGTGAACTTGGAAAGGAAAGTTCAACTCTGGGATTTGAATGCAAACATCACAAAGAAGATTCTGAGACTGCTTCTGTATAGTTTTGATGTGAAGATGATTCCGTTTCCAACGAAATCTTCAAAGAGGTCTACATGTCCCCTTGCAGATGCCACAGAAAGAGAGTTTCAAAACTGCGCTCTCAAAAGGAGTGTTCAACTCCGTGAGTTGAATGCAGTCATCACAGAGAAGCTTCTGAGAATGCTTCTATCTAGTATTTAGGTGAAGATATTTCCTTTTCCACCACAAACCACAAAGCCCTCCAAACGTCCACTTGCAGATTCTAGAAAAAGAGTGTTTCATAGCTGCTCTTTCCAAAGGAAAGTTCAACTCTGGGAGTTGAATACAAACATCACCAAAAAGTTCCTGAGAATGCATCTGTCTAGTTTTTCTATGAAGCTATTCCCTTTACTACCATAGGCCTCAAAGCGCTCCAAATCTCCACTTGCACATTCCACAACAAGAGTGTTTCCAAACTGCTCTATCAATAGGAATGTTCAACTCTGTGAGGTGAATGCAATCATCACAAAGCAGTTTCTGAGAATGCTTCCGTTTAGTTAGGTGCAGTTATCCCGTTTCCAACGAAATCCTCAGAGAGGTCCAAATATCCACTTGTAGATTCTACAAAAGGTGTGTCTCAAACCTGCTCCATCCAAAGGAATGTTCAGCTCTGTGAGTTAAACTCAATCATCACAAAGTATTTTCTGAGAATGCTTCTGTCTAGATTTTATGCGAAGATATACCCGTTTCGAACGAAGGCCACAGAGTGGTCCAAATATCCACTTGCAGATCCTACAAAAAGAGTGTTTCAAACCTGAACTATCAAAGGAAGGTTCAACTCTGGGATTTGAATGCAAACATCACCAAGAAGTTTCTGAGAATGCTTCTGTTTAGTTTTTATGTGAAGATATTCCCGTTTCCAAAGACATCTTCGGAGAGGTCCACATATCCACTTGCAGATTCCACAAAAAGAGAGTTTCAACACTGCTCTATCCATAGGAGGGTTCAACTCTGTGAGTTGAATGCAATCATCACAGAGAAGTTTCTGAGAAGGCTTCTCTCCAGTTTTTATGTGACCATAATTCGTTTTCCACCACAGGCCTGAAAGCGCTCCAAATGTCCACTTGTAGACACTACGAAAAGCATGTTTCAGAACTACTCTATGAAAAGCAATGTGAAACTCTGGGAGTTGAACACAAACATCACAGAGAAGTTTCTGAGAATGCTTCTGTTTAGCTTTCCTGTGAAGATTCTCCCGTTTCCAACGAAATCTTCAAAATAGGTCCAAATATCCACTTGCAGATTCCACAGAAAGAGTGATTGGAAACTGCTCTTTGAAAAGGAACCTTCAACTCTGTGAGTTGAATGCAATCATCACAAAGAAGTTTCTGACAATGCTTCTATCTAGCTTTTACGGGAAGATAATTCCTTTTCCACCACAGGCCTCAAAGCCCTCCAAATGTCCACTTGCAGATTCTGGAAAAAGAGTGTTTCAAAGCTTCTCTCTCGAAAGGAAAGTTCAACTCTGTGAGTTGAATGCAAGCATCACAAAGAAGTTTCTGAGAATGCTACTGTCTAGCTTTTATATGAAGCTATTTCCTTTACTACCATAGGCCTCAAAGCGGTCCATATCTCCACTTGCAGATTCTACACAAAGAGAGTTTCCAAACTGCTCTGTCAAAGGGAATGTTCAACTCTGTGACTTGAATGCAATCATCACGAAGTAGTTTCTGAGAATGCTTCTGTTTAGTTCTGTGCGGTTTATCCCGTTTCCAACGAAATCCTCAGAGAGGCCTAAATATCCACTTGCACATTCTACAAATAGTGTGTTTCGAAACTGCTCCATCCAAAGGAATGTTCAGCTCTGTGAGTTAAACTCAGTCGTCACCAAGAGTTTTCTGTGAATGCTTCTGTTTTAGTTCTGTGCGGGTTATCCCGTTTCCAACGAAATCCTCAGAGAGGTCCAAATATCTACTTGCAGTTTCTACAGAAAGACCGTTTCAAACCTGAACTATCAAAGAAAGGTTCAACACTGTGAGTTGAATGCAAACATCACGAAGAAGGTTCTGAGAATGCTTCTGTTTAGTTCTGTGCAGTTTATCCCGTTTCCAACGAAATGCTCAGAGAGGACCAAATATCCACTTGCAGTTTCTACAAAAAGAGTGTTTCAAAGCTGAACTATCAAAGAAAGGTTCAGCACTGTGAGTTGAATGCAAACATCACGAAGAGGGTTCTGAGAATGCTTCTGTCTTCTTTTTATAGGAAGTTATTTCCTTTACTACGGTACTCCTCAAAGAGTGCAATTATCCCCTTGCAGTTTCTACAAAAAGAGTGTTTCAAACCTGAACTATCAAAGAAAGGTTCCACACTGTGAGTTGAATGCAGACATCACGAAGAAGGTTCTGAGAATGCTTCTGTTTAGTCAGCTGAAATTATCCCGTTTCCAACGAATTCCTCACAGAGGTCCAAATATGCACTTGCAGATTCTGCAGAAAGTGTGTTTCTAAACTGCTACATCGCAAGGAATGCTCAGCTCTGTGAGTTCAACTCAATCATCCCAAAGAATTTTCTGAGAAAGCTTCTGTCTAGATGTCATGTGAAGATATACCCGTTTCGAACGAAGGACACAGAGTGGTCCAAATATCCACTTGTAGATCCTGCAAAAAGAGTGTTTCAAACGTGAACTTTGAAAGGAAAGTTCAACTCGGGGATTTGAATGCAAACATCACAAAGAAGATTCTGAGACTGCTTCTGTGTAGTTTTTATGTGAAGATGATTCCGTTTCCAACGAAATCTTCAAAGAGGTCTACATGTCCCCTTGCAGATGCCACAGAAAGAGAGTTTCAAAACTGCGCTCTCAAAAGGAGTGTTCAACTCCGTGAGTTGAATGCAGTCATCACAGAGAAGCTTCTGAGGATGCTTCTATCTAGTATTTAGGTGAAGATATTTCCTTTTCCACCACAAACCACAAAGCCCTCCAAACGTCCACTTGCAGATTCTAGAAAAACAGTGTTTCATAGCTGCTCTTTCCAAAGGAAAGTTCAACTCTGGGAGTTGAATACAAACATCACCAAAAAGTTCCTGAGAATGCATCTGTCTAGTTTTTCTATGAAGCTATTCCCTTTACTACCATAGGCCTCAAAGCGCTCCAAATCTCCACTTGCACATTCCACAACAAGAGTGTTTCCAAACTGCTCTATCAATAGGAATGTTCAACTCTGTGAGGTGAATGCAATCATCACAAAGCAGTTTCTGAGAATGCTTCCGTTTAGTTAGGTGCAGTTATCCCGTTTCCAACGAAATCTTCAGAGAGGACCAAATATCCACTTGTAGATTCTACAAAAAGTGTGTCTCAAACCTGCTCCATCCAAAGGAATGTTCAGCTCTGTGAGTTCAACTCAATCATCACAAAGTATTTTCTGAGAATGCTTCTGTCTAGATTTTATGCGAAGATGTACCCGTTTCGAACGAAGGCCACAGAGTGGTCCAAATATCCACTTGCAGATCCTACAAAAAGAGTGTTTCAAACCTGAACTATCAAAGGAAGGTTCAACTCTGGGATTTGAATGCAAACATCACCAAGAAGTTTCTGAGAATGCTTCTGTTTAGTTTTTATGTGAAGATATTCCCGTTTCCAAAGACATCTTCGGAGAGGTCCACATATCCACTTGCAGATTCCACAAAAAGAGAGTTTCAACACTGCTCTATCCATAGGAGGGTTCAACTCTGTGAGTTGAATGCAATCATCACAGAGAAGTTTCTGAGAAGGCTTCTCTCCAGTTTTTATGTGACCATAATTCGTTTTCCACCACAGGCCTGAAAGCGCTCCAAATGTCCACTTGCAGACACTACGAAAAGCATGTTTCAGAACTACTCTATGAGAAGCAACGTGAAACTCTGGGAGTTGAACACAAACATCACAGAGAAGTTTCTGAGAATGCTTCTGTTTAGCTTTTCTGTGAAGATTCTCCCGTTTCCAACGAAATCTTCAAAGAGGTCCAAATATCCACTTGCAGATTCCACAGAAAGAGTGATTGGAAACTGCTCTTTGAAAAGGAACCTTCAACTCTGTGACTTGTATGCAATCATCACAAAGAAGTTTCTGACAATGCTTCTATCTAGCTTTTACGGGAAGATAATTCCTTTTCCACCACAGGCCTCAAAGCCCTCCAAATGTCCACTTGCAGATTCTGGAAAAAGAGTGTTTCAAAGCTTCTCTCTCGAAAGGAAAGTTCAACTCTGTGAGTTGAATGCAAGCATCACAAAGAAGTTTCTGAGAATGCTACTGTCTAGCTTTTATATGAAGCTATTTCCTTTACTACCATAGGCCTCAAAGCGGTCCATATCTCCACTTGCAGATTCTACACAAAGAGAGTTTCCAAACTGCTCTGTCAAAGGGAATGTTCAACTCTGTGACTTGAATGCAATCATCACAAAGTAGTTTCTGAGAATGCTTCTGTTTAGTTCTGTGCGGTTTATCCCATTTCCAACGAAATCCTCAGAGAGGCCCACATATCCACTTGCACATTCTACAAATAGTGTGTTTCGAAACTGCTCCATCCAAAGGAATGTTCAGCTCTGTGAGTTAAACTCAGTCGTCACCAAGTGTTTTCTGTGAATGCTTCTGTTTTAGTTCTGTGCGGTTTATCCCGTTTCCAACGAAATCCTCAGAGAGGACCAAACATCCACTTGCAGTTTCTACAAAAAGAGTGTTTCAAAGCTGCACTATCAAAGAAAGGTTCAGCACTGTGAGTTGAATGCAAACATCACGAAGAGGGCTACTGAGAATTCTTCTGTTTAGTTCTGTGCGGTTTATCCCGTTTCCAACGAAATCCTCAGAGAGGACCAAATATCCACTTGCAGTTTCTACAAGAAGAGTGTTTCAAAGCTGAACTATCAAAGAAAGGTTCAGCACTGTGAGTTGAATGCAAACATCACGAAGAGGGTTCTGAGAATGCTTCTGTCTTCTTTCTATAGGAAGTTATTTCCTTTACTACGGTAGGCCTCAAAGAAGTGCAATTATCCCCTTGCAGTTTCTACAAAAAGAGTGTTTCAAACCTGAACTATCAAAGAAAGGTTCCACACTGTGAGTTGAATGCAGACATCACGAAGAAGGTTCTGAGAATGCTTCTGTTTAGTCAGCTGAAATTATCCCGTTTCCAACGAATTCCTCAGAGAGGTCCAAATATGCACTTGCAGATTCTGCAGAAAGTGTGTTTCTAAACTGCTCCATCGCAAGGAATGTTCAGCTCTGTGAGTTCCACTCAATCATCCCAAAGAATTTTCTGAGAAAGCTTCTGTCTAGATGTCGTGTGAAGATATACCCGTTTCGAACGAAGGACACAGAGTGGTCCAAATATCCACTTGTAGATCCTGCAAAAAGAGTGTTTCAAACGTGAACTTTGAAAGGAAAGTTCAACTCTGGGATTTGAATGCAAACATCACAAAGAAGATTCTGAGACTGCTTCTGTATAGTTTTTATGTGAAGATGATTCCGTTTCCAACGAAATCTTCAAAGAGGTCTACATGTCCCCTTGCAGATGCCACAGAAAGAGAGTTTCAAAACTGCGCTCTCAAAAGGAGTGTTCAACTCCGTGAGTTGAATGCAGTCATCACAGAGAAGCTTCTGAGAATGCTTCTATGTAGTATTTAGGTGAAGATATTTCCTTTTCCACCACAAACCACAAAGCCCTCCAAACGTCCACTTGCAGATTCTAGAAAAAGAGTGTTTCATAGCTGCTCTTTCCAAAGGAAAGTTCAACTCTGGGAGTTGAATACAAACATCACCAAAAAGTTCCTGAGAATGCATCTGTCTAGTTTTTCTATGAAGTTATTCCCTTTACTACCATAGGCCTCAAAGCGCTCCAAATCTCCACTTGCACATTCCACAACAGGAGTGTTTCCAAACTGCTCTATCAATAGCAATGTTCAACTCTGTGAGGTGAATGCAATCATCACAAAGCAGTTTCTGAGAATGCTTCCGTTTAGTTAGGTGCAGTTATCCCGTTTCCAACGAAATCCTCAGAGAGGTCCAAATATCCACTTGTAGATTTTACAAAAAGTGTGTCTCAAACCTGCTCCATCCAAAGGAATGTTCAGCTCTGTGAGTTAAACTCAATCATCACAAAGTATTTTCTGAGAATGCTTCTGTCTAGATTTTATGCGAAGATGTACCCGTTTCGAACGAAGGCCACAGAGTGGTCCAAATATCCACTTGCAGATCCTACAAAAAGAGTGTTTCAAACCTGAACTATCAAAGGAAGGTTCAACTCTGGGATTTGAATGCAAACATCACCAAGAAGTTTCTGAGAATGCTTCTGATTAGCTTTTATGTGAAGATTTTCCCGTTTCCAAAGACATCTTCGGAGAGGTCCACATATCCACTTGCAGATTCCACAAAAAGAGAGTTTCAACACTGCTCTATCCATAGGAGGGTTCAACTCTGTGAGTTGAATGCAATCATCACAGAGAAGTTTCTGAGAAGGCTTCTCTCCAGTTTTTATGTGACCATAATTCGTTTTCCACCACAGGCCTGAAAGCGCTCCAAATGTCCACTTGCAGACACTACGAAAAGCATGTTTCAGAACTACTCTATGAAAAGCAATGTGAAACTCTGGGAGTTGAACACAAACATCACAGAGAAGTTTCTGAGAATGCTTCTTCTGTTTTAGTTCTGTGCGTTTTATCCCGTTTCCAACGAAATCCTCAGAGAGGCCCAAATATCCACTTGCAGATTCCACAGAAAGAGTGATTGGAAACTGCTGTTTGAAAAGGAACCTTCAACTCTGTGAGTTGAATGCAATCATCACAAAGAAGTTTCTGACAATGCTTCTATCTAGCTTTTACGGGAAGATAATTCCTTTTCCACCACAGGCCTCAAAGCCCTCCAAATGTCCACTTGCAGATTCTGGAAAAAGAGTGTTTCAAAGCTTCTCTCTCGAAAGGAAAGTTCAACTCTGTGAGTTGAATGCAAGCATCACAAAGAAGTTTCTGAGAATGCTTACTGTCTAGCTTTTATATGAAGCTATTTCCTTTACTACCATAGGCCTCAAAGCGGTCCATATCTCCACTTGCAGATTCTACACAAAGAGAGTTTCCAAACTGCTCTGTCAAAGGGAATGTTCAACTCTGTGACTTGAATGCAATCATCACAAAGTAGTTTCTGAGAATGCTTCTGTTTAGTTCTGTGCGGTTTATCCCGTTTCCAACGAAATCCTCAGAGAGGCCTAAATATCCACTTGCACATTCTACAAATAGTGTGTTTCGAAACTGCTCCATCCAAAGGAATGTTCAGCTCTGTGAGTTAAACTCAGTCGTCACCAAGAGTTTTCTGTGAATGCTTCTGTTTTAGTTCTGTGCGGGTTATCCCGTTTCCAACGAAATCCTCAGAGAGGTCCAAATATCTACTTGCAGTTTCTACAGAAAGACCGTTTCAAACCTGAACTATCAAAGAAAGGTTCAACACTGTGAGTTGAATGCAAACATCACGAAGAAGGTTCTGAGAATGCTTCTGTCTTCTTTTTATAGGAAGTTATTTCCTTTACTACGGTACTCCTCAAAGAGTGCAATTATCCCCTTGCAGTTTCTACAGAAAGAGTGTTTCAAAGCTGAACTATCAAAGAAAGGTTCAGCACTGTGAGTTGAATGCAAACATCACGAAGAGGGTTCTGAGAATGCTTCTGTTTAGTCAGCTGAAATTATCCCGTTTCCAACGAATTCCTCACAGAGGTCCAAATATGCACTTGCAGATTCTGCAGAAAGTGTGTTTCTAAACTGCTACATCGCAAGGAATGCTCAGCTCTGTGAGTTCTACTCAATCATCCCAAAGAATTTTCTGAGAAAGCTTCTGTCTAGATGTCATGTGAAGATATACCCGTTTCGAACGAAGGACACAGAGCGGTCCAAATATCCACTTGTAGATCCTGCAAAAAGAGTGTTTCAAACGTGAACTTTGAAAGGAAAGTTCAACTCGGGGATTTGAATGCAAACATCACAAAGAAGATTCTGAGACTGCTTCTGTATAGTTTTTATGTGAAGATGATTCCGTTTCCAACGAAATCTTCAAAGAGGTCTACATGTCCCCTTGCAGATGCCACAGAAAGAGAGTTTCAAAACTGCGCTCTCAAAAGGAGTGTTCAACTCCGTGAGTTGAATGCAGTCATCACAGAGAAGCTTCTGAGAATGCTTCTATCTAGTATTTAGGTGAAGATATTTCCTTTTCCACCACAAACCACAAAGCCCTCCAAACGTCCACTTGCAGATTCTAGAAAAAGAGTGTTTCATAGCTGCTCTTTCCAAAGGAAAGTTCAACTCTGGGAGTTGAATACAAACATCACCAAAAAGTTCCTGAGAATGCATCTGTCTAGTTTTTCTATGAAGCTATTCCCTTTACTACCATAGGCCTCAAAGCGCTCCAAATCTCCACTTGCACATTCCACAACAAGAGTGTTTCCAAACTGCTCTATCAATAGGAATGTTCAACTCTGTGAGGTGAATGCAATCATCACAAAGCAGTTTCTGAGAATGCTTCCGTTTAGTTAGGTGCAGTTATCCCGTTTCCAACGAAATCCTCAGAGAGGTCCAAATATCCACTTGTAGATTCTACAAAAAGTGTGTCTCAAACCTGCTCCATCCAAAGGAATGGTCAGCTCTGTGATTTAAACTCAATCATCACAAAGTATTTTCTGAGAATGCTTCTGTCTAGATTTTATGCGAAGATATACCCATTTCGAACGAAGGCCACAGAGTGGTCCAAATAGCCACTTGCAGATCCTACAGAAAGAGTGTTTCAAACCTGAACTATCAAAGGAAGGTTCAACTCTGGGATTTGAATGCAAACATCACCAAGAAGTTTCTGAGAATGCTTCTGTTTAGTTTTTATGTGAAGATATTCCCGTTTCCAAAGACATCTTCGGAGAGGTCCACATATCCACTTGCAGATTTCACAAAAAGAGAGTTTCAACACTGCTCTATCCATAGGAGGGTTCAACTCTGTGAGTTGAATGCAATCATCACAGAGAAGTTTCTGAGAAGGCTTCTCTCCAGTTTTTATGTGACCATAATTCGTTTTCCACCACAGGCCTGAAAGCGCTCCAAATGTCCACTTGTAGACACTACGAAAAGCATGTTTCAGAACTACTCTATGAAAAGCAATATGAAACTCTGGGAGTTGAACACAAACATCACAGAGAAGTTTCTGAGAATGCTTCTGTTTAGCTTTCCTGTGAAGATTCTCCCGTTTCCAACGAAATCTTCAAAATAGGTCCAAATATCCACTTGCAGATTCCACAGAAAGAGTGATTGGAAACTGCTCTTTGAAAAGGAACCTTCAACTCTGTGAGTTGAATGCAATCATCACAAAGAAGTTTCTGACAATGCTTCTATCTAGCTTTTACGGGAAGATAATTCCTTTTCCACCACAGGCCTCAAAGCCCTCCAAATGTCCACTTGCAGATTCTGGAAAAAGAGTGTTTCAAAGCTTCTCTCTCGAAAGGAAAGTTCAACTCTGTGAGTTGAATGCAAGCATCACAAAGAAGTTTCTGAGAATGCTACTGTCTAGCTTTTATATGAAGCTATTTCCTTTACTACCATAGGCCTCAAAGCGGTCCATATCTCCACTTGCAGATTCTACACAAAGAGAGTTTCCAAACTGCTCTGTCAAAGGGAATGTTCAACTCTGTGACTTGAATGCAATCATCACAAAGTAGTTTCTGAGAATGCTTCTGTTTAGTTCTGTGCGGTTTATCCCGTTTCCAACGAAATCCTCAGAGAGGCCTAAATATCCACTTGCACATTCTACAAATAGTGTGTTTCGAAACTGCTCCATCCAAAGGAATGTTCAGCTCTGTGAGTTAAACTCAGTCGTCACCAAGAGTTTTCTGTGAATGCTTCTGTTTTAGTTCTGTGCGGGTTATCCCGTTTCCAACGAAATCCTCAGAGAGGTCCAAATATCTACTTGCAGTTTCTACAGAAAGACCGTTTCAAACCTGAACTATCAAAGAAAGGTTCAACACTGTGAGTTGAATGCAAACATCACGAAGAAGGTTCTGAGAATGCTTCTGTTTTAGTTCTGTGCGGTTTATCCCGGTTTCCAACGAAATCCTCAGAGAGGACCAAACATCCACTTGCAGTTTCTACAAAAAGAGTGTTTCAAAGCTGCACTATCAAAGAAAGGTTCAGCACTGTGAGTTGAATGCAAACATCACGAAGAGGGCTCTGAGAATTCTTCTGTCTTCTTTTTATAGGAAGTTATTTCCTTTACTACGGTACTCCTCAAAGAGTGCAATTATCCCCTTGCAGTTTCTACAAAAAGAGTGTTTCAAACCTGAACTATCAAAGAAAGGTTCCACACTGTGAGTTGAATGCAGACATCACGAAGAAGGTTCTGAGAATGCTTCTGTTTAGTCAGCTGAAATTATCCCGTTTCCAACGAATTCCTCACAGAGGTCCAAATATGCACTTGCAGATTCTGCAGAAAGTGTGTTTCTAAACTGCTACATCGCAAGGAATGCTCAGCTCTGTGAGTTCAACTCAATCATCCCAAAGAATTTTCTGAGAAAGCTTCTGTCTGGATGTCATGTGAAGATATACCCGTTTCGAACGAAGGACACAGAGTGGTCCAAATATCCACTTGTAGATCCTGCAAAAAGAGTGTTTCAAACGTGAACTTTGAAAGGAAAGTTCAACTCTGGGATTTGAATGCAAACATCACAAAGAAGATTCTGAGACTGCTTCTGTATAGTTTTTATGTGAAGATGATTCCGTTTCCAACGAAATCTTCAAAGAGGTCTACATGTCCCCTTGCAGATGCCACAGAAAGAGAGTTTCAAAACTGCGCTCTCAAAAGGAGTGTTCAACTCCATGAGTTGAATGCAGTCATCACAGAGAAGCTTCTGAGGATGCTTCTATCTAGTATTTAGGTGAAGATATTTCCTTTTCCACCACAAACCACAAAGCCCTCCAAACGTCCACTTGCAGATTCTAGAAAAAGAGTGTTTCATAGCTGCTCTTTCCAAAGGAAAGTTCAACTCTGGGAGTTGAATACAAACATCACCAAAAAGTTCCTGAGAATGCATCTGTCTAGTTTTTCTATGAAGCTATTCCCTTTACTACCATAGGCCTCAAAGCGCTCCAAATCTCCACTTGCACATTCCACAACAAGAGTGTTTCCAAACTGCTCTATCAATAGGAATGTTCAACTCTGTGAGGTGAATGCAATCATCACAAAGCAGTTTCTGAGAATGCTTCCGTTTAGTTAGGTGCAGTTATCCCGTTTCCAACGAAATCCTCAGAGAGGTCCAAATATCCACTTGTAGATTCTACAAAAAGTGTGTCTCAAACCTGCTCCATCCAAAGGAATGGTCAGCTCTGTGATTTAAACTCAATCATCACAAAGTATTTTCTGAGAATGCTTCTGTCTAGATTTTATGCGAAGATATACCCGTTTCGAACGAAGGCCACAGAGTGGTCCAAATAGCCACTTGCAGATCCTACAGAAAGAGTGTTTCAAACCTGAACTATCAAAGGAAGGTTCAACTCTGGGATTTGAATGCAAACATCACCAAGAAGTTTCTGAGAATGCTTCTGTTTAGTTTTTATGTGAAGATATTCCCGTTTCCAAAGACATCTTCGGAGAGGTCCACATATCCACTTGCAGATTCCACAAAAAGAGAGTTTCAACACTGCTCTATCCATAGGAGGGTTCAACTCTGTGAGTTGAATGCAATCATCACAGAGAAGTTTCTGAGAAGGCTTCTCTCCAGTTTTTATGTGACCATAATTCGTTTTCCACCACAGGCCTGAAAGCGCTCCAAATGTCCACTTGCAGACACTACGAAAAGCATGTTTCAGAACTACTCTATGAAAAGCAACGTGAAACTCTGGGAGTTGAACACAAACATCACAGAGAAGTTTCTGAGAATGCTTCTGTTTTAGTTCTGTGCGTTTTATCCCGTTTCCAACGAAATCCTCAGAGAGGCCCAAATATCCACTTGCAGATTCCACAGAAAGAGTGATTGGAAACTGCTGTTTGAAAAGGAACCTTCAACTCTGTGAGTTGAATGCAATCATCACAAAGAAGTTTCTGACAATGCTTCTGTTTTAGTTCTGTGCGGTTTATCCCGTTTCCAACGAAATCCTCAGAGAGGACCAAACATCCACTTGCAGTTTCTACAAAAAGAGTGTTTCAAAGCTGCACTATCAAAGAAAGGTTCAGCACTGTGAGTTGAATGCAAACATCACGAAGAGGGCTCTGAGAATGCTTCTGTTTAGTTCTGTGCGGTTTATCCCGTTTCCAACGAAATCCTCAGAGAGGACCAAATATCCACTTGCAGTTTCTACAAGAAGAGTGTTTCAAAGCTGAACTATCAAAGAAAGGTTCAGCACTGTGAGTTGAATGCAAACATCACGAAGAGGGTTCTGAGAATGCTTCTGTCTTCTTTCTATAGGAAGTTATTTCCTTTACTACGGTAGGCCTCAAAGAAGTGCAATTATCCCCTTGCAGTTTCTACAAAAAGAGTGTTTCAAACCTGAACTATCAAAGAAAGGTTCCACACTGTGAGTTGAATGCAGACATCACGAAGAAGGTTCTGAGAATGCTTCTGTTTAGTCAGCTGAAATTATCCCGTTTCCAACGAATTCCTCAGAGAGGTCCAAATATGCACTTGCAGATTCTGCAGAAAGTGTGTTTCTAAACTGCTACATCGCAAGGAATGTTCAGCTCTGTGAGTTCCACTCAATCATCCCAAAGAATTTTCTGAGAAAGCTTCTGTCTAGTATGTCGTGTGAAGATATACCCGTTTCGAACGAAGGACACAGAGTGGTCCAAATATCCACTTGTAGATCCTGCAAAAAGAGTGTTTCAAACGTGAACTTTGAAAGGAAAGTTCAACTCTGGGATTTGAATGCAAACATCGCAAAGAAGATTCTGAGACTGCTTCTGTATACTTTTTATGTGAAGATGATTCCGTTTCCAACGAAATCTTCAAAGAGGTCTACATGTCCCCTTGCAGATGCCACAGAAAGAGAGTTTCAAAACTGCGCTCTCAAAAGGAGTGTTCAACTCCGTGAGTTGAATGCAGTCATCACAGAGAAGCTTCTGAGAATGCTTCTATCTAGTATTTAGGTGAAGATATTTCCTTTTCCACCACAAACCACAAAGCCCTCCAAACGTCCACTTGCAGATTCTAGAAAAAGAGTGTTTCATAGCTGCTCTTTCCAAAGGAAAGTTCAACTCTGGGAGTTGAATACAAACATCACCAAAAGGTTCCTGAGAATGCATCTGTCTAGTTTTTCTATGAAGCTATTCCCTTTACTACCACAGGCCTCAAAGCGCTCCAAATCTCCACTTGCACATTCCACAACAAGAGTGTTTCCAAACTGCTCTATCAATAGGAATGTTCAACTCTGTGAGGTGAATGCAATCATCACAAAGCAGTTTCTGAGAATGCTTCCGTTTAGTTAGGTGCAGTTATCCCGTTTCCAACGAAATCCTCAGAGAGGTCCAAATATCCACTTGTAGATTCTACAAAAAGTGTGTCTCAAACCTGCTCCATCCAAAGGAATGGTCAGCTCTGTGATTTAAACTCAATCATCACAAAGTATTTTCTGAGAATGCTTCTGTCTAGATTTTATGCGAAGATATACCCGTTTCGAACGAAGGCCACAGAGTGGTCCAAATAGCCACTTGCAGATCCTACAGAAAGAGTGTTTCAAACCTGAACTATCAAAGGAAGGTTCAACTCTGGGATTTGAATGCAAACATCACCAAGAAGTTTCTGAGAATGCTTCTGTTTAGTTTTTATGTGAAGATATTCCCGTTTCCAAAGACATCTTCGGAGAGGTCCACATATCCACTTGCAGATTCCACAAAAAGAGAGTTTCAACACTGCTCTATCCATAGGAGGGTTCAACTCTGTGAGTTGAATGCAATCATCACAGAGAAGTTTCTGAGAAGGCTTCTCTCCAGTTTTTATGTGACCATAATTCGTTTTCCACCACAGGCCTGAAAGCGCTCCAAATGTCCACTTGCAGACACTACGAAAAGCATGTTTCAGATCTACTCTATGAAAAGCAACGTGAAACTCTGGGAGTTGAACACAAACATCACAGAGAAGTTTCTGAGAATGCTTCTGTTTAGCTTTTCTGTGAAGATTCTCCCGTTTCCAACGAAATCTTCAAAGAGGTCGAAATATCCACTTGCAGATTCCACAGAAAGAGTGATTGGAAACTGCTGTTTGAAAAGGAACCTTCAACTCTGTGAGTTGAATGCAATCATCACAAAGAAGTTTCTGACAATGCTTCTATCTAGCTTTTACGGGAAGATAATTCCTTTTCCACCACAGGCCTCAAAGCTCCCCAAATGTCCACTTGCACATTCTGGAAAAAGAGTGTTTCAAAGCTTCTCTCTCGAAAGGAAAGTTCAACTCTGTGAGTTGAATGCAAGCATCACAAAGAAGTTTCTGAGAATGCTACTGTCTAGCTTTTATATGAAGCTATTTCCTTTACTAACATAGTCCTCAAAGCGGTCCATATCTCCACTTGCAGATTCTACACAAAGAGAGTTTCCAAACTGCTCTGTCAAAGGGAATGTTCAGCTCTGTGACTTGAATGCAATCATCACAAAGTAGTTTCTGAGAATGCTCTGTTTTAGTTCTGTGCGTTTTATCCCGTTTCCAACGAAATCCTCAGAGAGGCCCAAATATCCACTTGCAGATTCTACAAATAGTGTGTTTCGAAACTGCTCCATCCAAAGGAATGTTCAGCTCTGTGAGTTAAACTCAGTCGTCACCAAGAGTTTTCTGTGAATGCTATCTGTTTTAGTTCTGTGCGGTTTATCCCGTTTCCAACGAAATCCTCAGAGAGGACCAAATATCCACTTGCAGTTTCTACAAAAAGAGTGTTTCAAAGCTGCACTATCAAAGAAAGGTTCAGCACTGTGAGTTGAATGCAAACATCACGAAGAGGGCTCTGAGAGTTCTTCTGTTTAGTTCTGTGCGGTTTATCCCGTTTCCAACGAAATCCTCAGAGAGGACCAAATATCCACTTGCAGTTTCTACAAGAAGAGTGTTTCAAAGCTGAACTATCAAAGAAAGGTTCAGCACTGTGAGTTGAATGCAAACATCACGAAGAGGGTTCTGAGAATGCTTCTGTCTTCTTTCTATAGGAAGTTATTTCCTTTACTACGGTAGGCCTCAAAGAAGTGCAATTATCCCCTTGCAGTTTCTACAAAAAGAGTGTTTCAAACCTGAACTATCAAAGAAAGGTTCCACACTGTGAGTTGAATGCAGACATCACGAAGAAGGTTCTGAGAATGCTTCTGTTTAGTCAGCTGAAATTATCCCGTTTCCAACGAATTCCTCAGAGAGGTCCAAATATGCACTTGCAGATTCTGCAGAAAGTGTGTTTCTAAACTGCTACATCGCAAGGAATGTTCAGCTCTGTGAGTTCAACTCAATCAACCCAAAGCATTTTCTGAGAAAGCTTCTGTCTAGATGTCATGTGAAGATATACCCGTTTCGAACGAAGGACACAGAGTGGTCCAAATATCCACTTGTAGATCCTGCAAAAAGAGTGTTTCAAACGTGAACTTTGAAAGGAAAGTTCAACTCTGGGATTTGAATGCAAACATCACAAAGAAGATTCTGAGACTGCTTCTGTATAGTTTTTATGTGAAGATGATTCCGTTTCCAACGAAATCTTCAAAGAGGTCCACATGTCCCCTTGCGGATGCCACAGAAAGAGAGTTTCAAAACTGCGCTCTCAAAAGGAGTGTTCAACTCCGTGAGTTGAATGCAGTCATCACAGAGAAGCTTCTGAGAATGCTTCTATCTAGTATTTAGGTGAAGATATTTCCTTTTCCACCACAAACCACAAAGCCCTCCAAACGTCCACTTGCAGATTCTAGAAAAAGAGTGTTTCATAGCTGCTCTTTCCAAAGGAAAGTTCAACTCTGGGAGTTGAATACAAACATCACCAAAAAGTTCCTGAGAATGCATCTGTCTAGTTTTTCTATGAAGCTATTCCCTTTACTACCATAGGCCTCAAAGCGCTCCAAATCTCCACTTGCACATTCCACAACAAGAGTGTTTCCAAACTGCTCTATCAATAGGAATGTTCAACTCTGTGAGGTGAATGCAATCATCACAAAGCAGTTTCTGAGAATGCTTCCGTTTAGTTAGGTGCAGTTATCCCGTTTCCAACGAAATCCTCAGAGAGGTCCAAATATCCACTTGTAGATTCTACAAAAAGTGTGTCTCAAACCTGCTCCATCCAAAGGAATGTTCAGCTCTGTGATTTTAACTCAATCATCACAAAGTATTTTCTGAGAATGCTTCTGTCTAGATTTTATGCGAAGATGTACCCGTTTCGAACGAAGGCCACAGAGTGGTCCAAATATCCACTTGCAGATCCTACAAAAAGAGTGTTTCAAACCTGAACTCTCAAAGGAAGGTTCAACTCTGGGATTTGAATGCAAACATCACCAAGAAGTTTCTGAGAATGCTTCTGTTTAGTTTTTAGGTGAAGATATTCCCGTTTCCAAAGACATCTTCGGAGAGGTCCACATATCCACTTGCAGATTCCACAAAAAGAGAGTTTCAACACTGCTCTATCCATAGGAGGGTTCAACTCTGTGAGTTGAATGCAATCATCACAGAGAAGTTTCTGAGAAGGCTTCTCTCCAGTTTTTATGTGACCATAATTCGTTTTCCACCACAGGCCTGAAAGCGCTCCAAATGTCCACTTGCAGACACTACGAAAAGCATGTTTCAGAACTACTCTATGAAAAGCAATGTGAAACTCTGGGAGTTGAACACAAACATCACAGAGAAGTTTCTGAGAATGCTTCTGTTTTAGTTCTGTGCGTTTTATCCCGTTTCCAACGAAATCCTCAGAGAGGCCCAAATATCCACTTGCAGATTCCACAGAAAGAGTGATTGGAAACTGCTGTTTGAAAAGGAACCTTCAACTCTGTGAGTTGAATGCAATCATCACAAAGAAGTTTCTGACAATGCTCTGTTTTAGTTCTGTGCGGTTTATCCCGTTTCCAACGAAATCCTCAGAGAGGACCAAACATCCACTTGCAGTTTCTACAAAAAGAGTGTTTCAAAGCTGCACTATCAAAGAAAGGTTCAGCACTGTGAGTTGAATGCAAACATCACGAAGAGGGCTCTGAGAATTCTTCTGTTTAGTTCTGTGCGGTTTATCCCGTTTCCAACGAAATCCTCAGAGAGGACCAAATATCCACTTGCAGTTTCTACAAGAAGAGTGTTTCAAAGCTGAACTATCAAAGAAAGGTTCAGCACTGTGAGTTGAATGCAAACATCACGAAGAGGGTTCTGAGAA
The DNA here is from genome assembly GCF_000001405.40 of Homo sapiens. Taxonomy (NCBI): domain Eukaryota; kingdom Metazoa; phylum Chordata; class Mammalia; order Primates; family Hominidae; genus Homo; species Homo sapiens. Next base: position 23,274,786 of record NC_000017.11, on the reverse strand, counting down.
TGCTTCTGTCTTCTTTCTATAGGAAGTTATTTCCTTTACTACGGTAGGCATCAAAGAAGTGCCATTATCCCCTTGCAGTTTCTACAAAAAGAGTGTTTCAAACCTGAACTATCAAAGAAAGGTTCCACACTGTGAGTTGAATGCAGACATCACGAAGAAGGTTCTGAGAATGCTTCTGTTTAGTCAGCTGAAATTATCCCGTTTCCAACGAATTCCTCGGAGAGGTCCAAATATGCACTTGCAGATTCTGCAGAAAGTGTGTTTCTAAACTGCTACATCGCAAGGAATGTTCAGCTCTGTGAGTTCCACTCAATCATCCCAAAGGATTTTCTGAGAAAGCTTCTGTCTAGATGCCATGTGAAGATATACCCGTTTCGAACGAAGGACACAGAGTGGTCCAAATATCCACTTGTAGATCCTGCAAAAAGAGTGTTTCAAACGTGAACTTTGAAAGGAAAGTTCAACTCTGGGATTTGAATGCAAACATCACAAAGAAGATTCTGAGACTGCTTCTGTATAGTTTTTATGTGAAGATGATTCCGTTTCCAACGAAATCTTCAAAGAGGTCTACATGTCCCCTTGCAGATGCCACAGAAAGAGAGTTTCAAAACTGCGCTCTCAAAAGGAGTGTTCAACTCCGTGAGTTGAATGCAGTCATCACAGAGAAGCTTCTGAGAATGCTTCTATCTAGTATTTAGGTGAAGATATTTCCTTTTCCACCACAAACCACAAAGCCCTCCAAACGTCCACTTGCAGATTCTAGAAAAAGAGTGTTTCATAGCTGCTCTTTCCAAAGGAAAGTTCAACTCTGGGAGTTGAATACAAACATCACCAAAAAGTTCCTGAGAATGCATCTGTCTAGTTTTTCTATGAAGCTATTCCCTTTACTACCATAGGCCTCAAAGCGCTCCAAATCTCCACTTGCACATTCCACAACAAGAGTGTTTCCAAACTGCTCTATCAATAGGAATGTTCAACTCTGTGAGGTGAATGCAATCATCACAAAGCAGTTTCTGAGAATGCTTCCGTTTAGTTAGGTGCAGTTATCGCGTTTCCAACGAAATCCTCAGAGAGGTCCAAATATCCACTTGTAGATTCTACAAAAAGTGTGTCTCAAACCTGCTCCATCCAAAGGAATGTTCAGCTCTGTGAGTTAAACTCAATCATCACAAAGTATTTTCTGAGAATGCTTCTGTCTAGATTTTATGCGAAGATATACCCGTTTCGAACGAAGGCCACAGAGTGGTCCAAATATCCACTTGCAGATCCTACAAAAAGAGTGTTTCAAACCTGAACTATCAAAGGAAGGTTCAACTCTGGGATTTGAATGCAAACATCACCAAGAAGTTTCTGAGAATGCTTCTGTTTAGTTTTTATGTGAAGATATTCCCGTTTCCAAAGACATCTTCGGAGAGGTCCACATATCCACTTGCAGATTCCACAAAAAGAGAGTTTCAACACTGCTCTATCCATAGGAGGGTTCAACTCTGTGAGTTGAATGCAATCATCACAGAGAAGTTTCTGAGAAGGCTTCTCTCCAGTTTTTATGTGACCATAATTCGTTTTCCACCACAGGCCTGAAAGCGCTCCAAATGTCCACTTGCAGACACTACGAAAAGCATGTTTCAGAACTACTCTATGAAAAGCAACGTGAAACTCTGGGGAGTTGAACACAAACATCACAGAGAAGTTTCTGAGAATGCTTCTGTTTTAGTTCTGTGCGTTTTATCCCGTTTCCAACGAAATCCTCAGAGAGGCCCAAATATCCACTTGCAGATTCCACAGAAAGAGTGATTGGAAACTGCTGTTTGAAAAGGAACCTTCAACTCTGTGAGTTGAATGCAATCATCACAAAGAAGTTTCTGACAATGCTTCTGTTTTAGTTCTGTGCGGTTTATCCCGTTTCCAACGAAATCCTCAGAGAGGACCAAACATCCACTTGCAGTTTCTACAAAAAGAGTGTTTCAAAGCTGCACTATCAAAGAAAGGTTCAGCACTGTGAGTTGAATGCAAACATCACGAAGAGGGCTCTGAGAATTCTTCTGTTTAGTTCTGTGCGGTTTATCCCGTTTCCAACGAAATCCTCAGAGAGGACCAAATATCCACTTGCAGTTTCTACAAGAAGAGTGTTTCAAAGCTGAACTATCAAAGAAAGGTTCAGCACTGTGAGTTGAATGCAAACATCACGAAGAGGGTTCTGAGAATGCTTCTGTCTTCTTTCTATAGGAAGTTATTTCCTTTACTACGGTAGGCCTCAAAGAAGTGCAATTATCCCCTTGCAGTTTCTACAAAAAGAGTGTTTCAAACCTGAACTATCAAAGAAAGGTTCCACACTGTGAGTTGAATGCAGACATCACGAAGAAGGTTCTGAGAATGCTTCTGTTTAGTCAGCTGAAATTATCCCGTTTCCAACGAATTCCTCAGAGAGGTCCAAATATGCACTTGCAGATTCTGCAGAAAGTGTGTTTCTAAACTGCTACATCGCAAGGAATGTTCAGCTCTGTGAGTTCCACTCAATCATCCCAAAGAATTTTCTGAGAAAGCTTCTGTCTAGATGTCGTGTGAAGATATACCCGTTTCGAACGAAGGACACAGAGTGGTCCAAATATCCACTTGTAGATCCTGCAAAAAGAGTGTTTCAAACGTGAACTTTGAAAGGAAAGTTCAACTCTGGGATTTGAATGCAAACATCACAAAGAAGATTCTGAGACTGCTTCTGTATAGTTTTTATGTGAAGATGATTCCGTTTCCAACGAAATCTTCAAAGAGGTCTACATGTCCCCTTGCAGATGCCACAGAAAGAGAGTTTCAAAACTGCGCTCTCAAAAGGAGTGTTCAACTCCGTGAGTTGAATGCAGTCATCACAGAGAAGCTTCTGAGAATGCTTCTATCTAGTATTTAGGTGAAGATATTTCCTTTTCCACCACAAACCACAAAGCCCTCCAAACGTCCACTTGCAGATTCTAGAAAAAGAGTGTTTCATAGCTGCTCTTTCCAAAGGAAAGTTCAACTCTGGGAGTTGAATACAAACATCACCAAAAAGTTCCTGAGAATGCATCTGTCTTGTTTTTCTATGAAGCTATTCCCTTTACTACCATAGGCCTCAAAGCGCTCCAAATCTCCACTTGCACATTCCACAACAAGAGTGTTTCCAAACTGCTCTATCAATAGGAATGTTCAACTCTGTGAGGTGAATGCAATCATCACAAAGCAGTTTCTGAGAATGCTTCCGTTTAGTTAGGTGCAGTTATCCCGTTTCCAACGAAATCCTCAGAGAGGTCCAAATATCCACTTGTAGATTCTACAAAAAGTGTGTCTCAAACCTGCTCCATCCAAAGGAATGTTCAGCTCTGTGAGTTAAACTCAATCATCACAAAGTATTTTCTGAGAATGCTTCTGTCTAGATTTTATGCGAAGATGTACCCGTTTCGAACGAAGGCCACAGAGTGGTCCAAATATCCACTTGCAGATCCTACAAAAAGAGTGTTTCAAACCTGAACTATCAAAGGAAGGTTCAACTCTGGGATTTGAATGCAAACATCACCAAGAAGTTTCTGAGAATGCTTCTGTTTAGTTTTTATGTGAAGATATTCCCGTTTCCAAAGACATCTTCGGAGAGGTCCACATATCCACTTGCAGATTCCACAAAAAGAGAGTTTCAACACTGCTCTATCCATAGGAGGGTTCAACTGTGTGAGTTGAATGCAATCATCACAGAGAAGTTTCTGAGAAGGCTTCTCTCCAGTTTTTATGTGACCATAATTCGTTTTCCACCACAGGCCTGAAAGCGCTCCAAATGTCCACTTGCAGACACTACGAAAAGCATGTTTCAGAACTACTCTATGAAAAGCAATGTGAAACTCTGGGAGTTGAACACAAACATCACAGAGTAGTTTCGGAGAATGCTTCTGTTTTAGTTCTGTGCGTTTTATCCCGTTTCCAACGAAATCCTCAGAGAGGCCCAAATATCCACTTGCAGATTCCACAGAAAGAGTGATTGGAAACTGCTGTTTGAAAAGGAACCTTCAACTCTGTGAGTTGAATGCAATCATCACAAAGAAGTTTCTGACAATGCTTCTGTTTTAGTTCTGTGCGGTTTATCCCGTTTCCAACGAAATCCTCAGAGAGGACCAAACATCCACTTGCAGTTTCTACAAAAAGAGTGTTTCAAAGCTGCACTATCAAAGAAAGGTTCAGCACTGTGAGTTGAATGCAAACATCACGAAGAGGGCTCTGAGAATTCTTCTGTTTAGTTCTGTGCGGTTTATCCCGTTTCCAACGAAATCCTCAGAGAGGACCAAATATCCACTTGCAGTTTCTACAAGAAGAGTGTTTCAAAGCTGAACTATCAAAGAAAGGTTCAGCACTGTGAGTTGAATGCAAACATCACGAAGAGGGTTCTGAGAATGCTTCTGTCTTCTTTCTATAGGAAGTTATTTCCTTTACTACGGTAGGCCTCAAAGAAGTGCAATTATCCCCTTGCAGTTTCTACAAAAAGAGTGTTTCAAACCTGAACTATCAAAGAAAGGTTCCACACTGTGAGTTGAATGCAGACATCACGAAGAAGGTTCTGAGAATGCTTCTGTTTAGTCAGCTGAAATTATCCCGTTTCCAACGAATTCCTCAGAGAGGTCCAAATATGCACTTGCAGATTCTGCAGAAAGTGTGTTTCTAAACTGCTACATCGCAAGGAATGTTCAGCTCTGTGAGTTCCACTCAATCATCCCAAAGAATTTTCTGAGAAAGCTTCTGTCTAGATGTCGTGTGAAGATATACCCGTTTCGAACGAAGGACACAGAGTGGTCCAAATATCCACTTGTAGATCCTGCAAAAAGAGTGTTTCAAACGTGAACTTTGAAAGGAAAGTTCAACTCTGGGATTTGAATGCAAACATCACAAAGAAGATTCTGAGACTGCTTCTGTATAGTTTTTATGTGAAGATGATTCCGTTTCCAACGAAATCTTCAAAGAGGTCTACATGTCCCCTTGCAGATGCCACAGAAAGAGAGTTTCAAAACTGCGCTCTCAAAAGGAGTGTTCAACTCCGTGAGTTGAATGCAGTCATCACAGAGAAGCTTCTGAGAATGCTTCTATCTAGTATTTAGGTGAAGATATTTCCTTTTCCACCACAAACCACAAAGCCCTCCAAACGTCCACTTGCAGATTCTAGAAAAAGAGTGTTTCATAGCTGCTCTTTCCAAAGGAAAGTTCAACTCTGGGAGTTGAATACAAACATCACCAAAAAGTTCCTGAGAATGCATCTGTCTAGTTTTTCTATGAAGCTATTCCCTTTACTACCATAGGCCTCAAAGCGCTCCAAATCTCCACTTGCACATTCCACAACAAGAGTGTTTCCAAACTGCTCTATCAATAGGAATGTTCAACTCTGTGAGGTGAATGCAATCATCACAAAGCAGTTTCTGAGAATGCTTCCGTTTAGTTAGGTGCAGTTACCCCGTTTCCAACGAAATCCTCAGAGAGGTCCAAATATCCACTTGTAGATTCTACAAAAAGTGTGTCTGAAACCTGCTCCATCCAAAGGAATGTTCAGCTCTGTGAGTTCAACTCAATCATCACAAAGTATTTTCTGAGAATGCTTCTGTCTAGATTTTATGCGAAGATGTACCCGTTTCGAACGAAGGCCACAGAGTGGTCCAAATATCCACTTGCAGATCCTACAAAAAGAGTGTTTCAAACCTAAACTATCAAAGGAAGGTTCAACTCTGGGATTTGAAAGCAAACATCACCAAGAAGTTTCTGAGAATGCTTCTGTTTAGTTTTTATGTGAAGATATTCCCGTTTCCAAAGACATCTTCGGAGAGGTCCACATATCCACTTGCAGATTCCACAAAAAGAGAGTTTCAACACTGCTCTATCCATAGGAGGGTTCAACTCTGTGAGTTGAATGCAATCATCACAGAGAAGTTTCTGAGAAGGCTTCTCTCCAGTTTTTATGTGACCATAATTCGTTTTCCACCACAGGCCTGAAAGCGCTCCAAATGTCCACTTGCAGACACTACGAAAAGCATGTTTCAGAACTACTCTATGAAAAGCAATGTGAAACTCTGGGAGTTGAACACAAACATCACAGAGAAGTTTCTGAGAATGCTTCTGTTTAGCTTTTCTGTGAAGATTCTCCCGTTTCCAACGAAATCTTCAAAGAGGTCCAAACATCCACTTGCAGATTCCACAGAAAGAGTGTTTGGAAACTGCTGTTTGAAAAGGAACCTTCAACTCTGTGAGTTGAATGCAATCATCACAAAGAAGTTTCTGACAATGCTTCTATCCAGCTTTTACGGGAAGATAATTCCTTTTCCACCACAGGCCTCAAAGCCCCCCAAATGTCCACTTGCAGATTCTGGAAAAAGAGTGTTTCAAAGCTTCTCTCTCGAAAGGAAAGTTCAACTCTGTGAGTTGAATGCAAGCATCACAAAGAAGTTTCTGAGAATGCTACTGTCTAGCTTGTCTATGAAGCTATTTCCTTTACTACCATAGTCCTCAAAGCATTCCATATCTCCACTTGCAGATTCTACACAAAGAGAGTTTCCAAACTGCTCTGTCAAAGGGAATGTTCAGCTCTGTGACTTGAATGCAATCATCACAAAGTAGTTTCTCAGAATGCTTCTGTTTTAGTTCTGTGCGGTTTATCCCATTTCCAACGAAATCCTCAGAGAGGCCCAAATATCCACTTGCAGATTCTACAAAGAGTGTGTTTCGAAACTGCTCCATCCAAAGGAATGTTCAGCTCTGTGAGTTAAACTCAGTCGTCACCAAGAGTTTTCTGTGAATGCTTCTGTTTAGTTCTGTGCGGTTTAACACGTTTCCAACGAAATCCTCAGAGAGGACCAAATATCCACTTGCAGTTTCTACAAAAACAGTGTTTCAAAGCTGAACTATCAAAGAAAGGTTAAGCACTGTGTGTTGAATGCAAACATCACGAAGACGGTTCTGAGAATTCTTCTGTCTTCTTTTTATAGGAAGTTATTTCCTTTACTACGGTAGGCCTCAAAGAAGTGCAATTATCCCCTTGCAGTTTCCACAAAAAGAGTGTTTCAAACCTGAACTATCAAAGAAAGGTTCCACACTGTGAGTTGAATGCAGACATCACGAAGAAGGTTCTGAGAATGCTTCTGTTTAGTCAGCTGAAATTATCCCGTTTCCAACGAATTCCTCAGAGAGGTCCAAATATGCCCTTGCAGATTCTGCAGAAAGTGTGTTTCTAAACTGCTACATCGCAAGGAATGTTCAGCTCTGTGAGTTCAACTCAATCATCCCAAAGAATTTTCTGAGAAAGCTTCTGTCTAGAGTCATGTGAAGATATACCCGTTTCGAACGAAGGACACAGAGTGGTCCAAATATCCACTTGTAGATCCTGCAAAAAGAGTGTTTCAAACGTGAACTTTGAAAGGAAAGTTCAACTCGGGGATTTGAATGCAAACATCACAAAGAAGATTCTGAGACTGCTTCTGTATAGTTTTTATGTGAAGATGATTCCGTTTCCAACGAAATCTTCAAAGAGGTCTACATGTCCCCTTGCAGATGCCACAGAAAGAGAGTTTCAAAACTGCGCTCTCAAAAGGAGTGTTCAACTCCGTGAGTTGAATGCAGTCATCACAGAGAAGACTTCTGAGGATGCTTCTATCTAGTATTTAGGTGAAGATATTTCCTTTTCCACCACAAACCACAAAGCCCTCCAAACGTCCACTTGCAGATTCTAGAAAAAGAATGTTTCATAGCTGCTCTTTCCAAAGGAAAGTTCAACTCTGGGAGTTGAATGCAAACATCACCAAAAAGTTCCTGAGAATGCACTGTCTAGTTTTTCTATGAAGCTATTCCCTTTACTACCATAGGCCTCAAAGCGCTCCAAATCTCCACTTGCACATTCCACAACAAGAGTGTTTCCAAACTGCTCTATCAATAGGAATGTTCAACTCTGTGAGGTGAATGCAATCATCACAAAGCAGTTTCTGAGAATGCTTTCCGTTTAGTTAGGTGCAGTTATCCCGTTTCCAACGAAATCCTCAGAGAGGTCCAAATATCCACTTGTAGATTCTACAAAAAGTGTGTCTCAAACCTGCTCCATCCAAAGGAATGGTCAGCTCTGTGATTTAAACTCAATCATCACAAAGTATTTTCTGAGAATGCTTCTGTCTAGATTTTATGCGAAGATATACCCGTTTCGAACGAAGGCCACAGAGTGGTCCAAATAGCCACTTGCAGATCCTACAGAAAGAGTGTTTCAAACCTGAACTATCAAAGGAAGGTTCAACTCTGGGATTTGAATGCAAACATCACCAAGAAGTTTCTGAGAATGCTTCTGTTTAGTTTTTATGTGAAGATATTCCCGTTTCCAAAGACATCTTCGGAGAGGTCCACATATCCACTTGCAGATTCCACAAAAAGAGAGTTTCAACACTGCTCTATCCATAGGAGGGTTCAACTCTGTGAGTTGAATGCAATCATCACAGAGAAGTTTCTGAGAAGGCTTCTCTCCAGTTTTTATGTGACCATAATTCGTTTTCCACCACAGGCCTGAAAGCGCTCCAAATGTCCACTTGCAGACACTACGAAAAGCATGTTTCAGAACTACTCTATGAAAAGCAACGTGAAACTCTGGGAGTTGAACACAAACATCACAGAGAAGTTTCTGAGAATGCTTCTGTTTTAGTTCTGTGCGTTTTATCCCGTTTCCAACGAAATCCTCAGAGAGGCCCAAATATCCACTTGCAGATTCCACAGAAAGAGTGATTGGAAACTGCTGTTTGAAAAGGAACCTTCAACTCTGTGAGTTGAATGCAATCATCACAAAGAAGTTTCTGACAATGCTTCTGTTTTAGTTCTGTGCGGTTTATCCCGTTTCCAACGAAATCCTCAGAGAGGACCAAACATCCACTTGCAGTTTCTACAAAAAGAGTGTTTCAAAGCTGCACTATCAAAGAAAGGTTCAGCACTGTGAGTTGAATGCAAACATCACGAAGAGGGCTCTGAGAATTCTTCTGTTTAGTTCTGCGTAGTTTATCCCGTTTCCAACGAAATCCTCAGAGAGGACCAAATATCCACTTGCAGTTTCTACAAAAAGAGTGTTTCAAAGCTGAACTATCAAAGAAAGGTTCAGCAGTGTGAGTTGAATGCAAACATCACGAAGAAGGTTCTGAGAATGCTTCTGTCTTCTTTCTATAGGAAGTTATTTCCTTTACTACGGGTAGGCCTCAAAGAAGTGCAATTATCCCCTTGCAGTTTCTACAAAAAGAGTGTTTCAAACCTGAACTATCAAAGAAAGGTTCCACACTGTGAGTTGAATGCAGACATCACGAAGAAGGTTCTGAGAATGCTTCTGTTTAGTCAGCTGAAATTATCCCGTTTCCAACGAATTCCTCAGAGAGGTCCAAATATGCACTTGCAGATTCTGCAGAAAGTGTGTTTCTAAACTGCTACATCGCAAGGAATGTTCAGCTCTGTGAGTTCCACTCAATCATCCCAAAGAATTTTCTGAGAAAGCTTCTGTCTAGATGTCGTGTGAAGATATACCCGTTTCGAACGAAGGACACAGAGTGGTCCAAATATCCACTTGTAGATCCTGCAAAAAGAGTGTTTCAAACGTGAACTTTGAAAGGAAAGTTCAACTGCTGGGATTTGAATGCAAACATCACAAAGAAGATTCTGAGACTGCTTCTGTATAGTTTTTATGTGAAGATGATTCCGTTTCCAACGAAATCTTCAAAGAGGTCTACATGTCCCCTTGCAGATGCCACAGAAAGAGAGTTTCAAAACTGCGCTCTCAAAAGGAGTGTTCAACTCCGTGAGTTGAATGCAGTCATCACAGAGAAGCTTCTGAGAATGCTTCTATCTAGTATTTAGGTGAAGATATTTCCTTTTCCACCACAAACCACAAAGCCCTCCAAACGTCCACTTGCAGATTCTAGAAAAAGAGTGTTTCATAGCTGCTCTTTCCAAAGGAAAGTTCAACTCTGGGAGTTGAATACAAACATCACCAAAAAGTTCCTGAGAATGCATCTGTCTAGTTTTTCTATGAAGCTATTCCCTTTACTACCATAGGCCTCAAAGCGCTCCAAATCTCCACTTGCACATTCCACAACAAGAGTGTTTCCAAACTGCTCTATCAATAGGAATGTTCAACTCTGTGAGGTGAATGCAATCATCACAAAGCAGTTTCTGAGAATGCTTCCGTTTAGTTAGGTGCAGTTATCCCGTTTCCAACGAAATCCTCAGAGAGGTCCAAATATCCACTTGTAGATTCTACAAAAAGTGTGTCTCAAACCTGCACCATCCAAAGGAATGTTCAGCTCTGTGAGTTAAACTCAATCATCACAAAGTATTTTCTGAGAATGCTTCTGTCTAGATTTTATGCGAAGATGTACCCGTTTCGAACGAAGGCCACAGAGTGGTCCAAATATCCACTTGCAGATCCTACAAAAAGAGTGTTTCAAACCTGAACTATCAAAGGAAGGTTCAACTCTGGGATTTGAATGCAAACATCACCAAGAAGTTTCTGAGAATGCTTCTGTTTAGTTTTTATGTGAAGATATTCCCGTTTCCAAAGACATCTTCGGAGAGGTCCACATATCCACTTGCAGATTCCACAAAAAGAGAGTTTCAACACTGCTCTATCCATAGGAGGGTTCAACTCTGTGAGTTGAATGCAATCATCACAGAGAAGTTTCTGAGAAGGCTTCTCTCCAGTTTTTATGTGACCATAATTCGTTTTCCACCACAGGCCTGAAAGCGCTCCAAATGTCCACTTGCAGACACTACGAAAAGCATGTTTCAGAACTACTCTATGAAAAGCAATGTGAAACTCTGGGAGTTGAACACAAACATCACAGAGAAGTTTCTGAGAATGCTTCTGTTTAGCTTTTCTGTGAATATTCTCCCGTTTCCAACGAAATCTTCAAAGAGGTCCAAATATCCACTTGCAGATTCCACAGAAAGAGTGATTGGAAACTGCTCTTTGAAAAGGAACCTTCAACTCTGTGACTTGAATGCAATCATCACAAAGAAGTTTCTGACAAAGCTTCTATCTAGCTTTTACGGGAAGATAATTCCTTTTCCACCACAGGCCTCAAAGCCCTCCAAATGTCCACTTGCAGATTCTGGAAAAAGAGTGTTTCAAAGCTTCTCTCTCGAAAGGAAAGTTCAACTCTGTGAGTTGAATGCAAGCATCACAAAGAAGTTTCTGAGAATGCTACTGTCTAGCTTTTATATGAAGCTATTTCCTTTACTACCATAGTCCTCAAAGCATTCCATATCTCCACTTGCAGATTCTACACAAAGAGAGTTTCCAAACTGCTCTGTCAAAGGGAATGTTCAGCTCTGTGACTTGAATGCAATCATCACAAAGTAGTTTCTGAGAATGCTTCTGTTTAGTTCTGTGCGGTTTATCCCGTTTCCATCGAAATCCTCAGAGAGGCCCAAATATCCACTTGCAGATTCTACAAATAGTGTGTTTCGAAACTGCTCCATCCAAAGGAATGTTCAGCTCTGTGAGTTAAACTCAGTCGTCACCAAGAGTTTTCTGTGAATGCTTCTGTTTTAGTTCTGTGCGGTTTATCCCGTTTCCAACGAAATCCTCAGAGAGGTCCAAATATCTACTTGCAGTTTCTACAGAAAGACCGTTTCAAACCTGAACTATCAAAGAAAGGTTCAACACTGTGAGTTGAATGCAAACATCACGAAGAAGTTCTGAGAATGCTTCTGTTTAGTTCTGTGCAGTTTATCCCGTTTCCAACGAAATCCTCAGAGAGGACCAAATATCCACTTGCAGTTTCTACAAAAAGTGTGTTTCAAAGCTGAACTATCAAAGAAAGGTTCAGCACTGTGAGTTGAATGCAAACATCACGAAGAGGGTTCTGAGAATGCTTCTGTCTTCTTTTTATAGGAAGTTATTTCCTTTACTACGGTACTCCTCAAAGAGTGCAATTATCCCCTTGCAGTTTCTACAAAAAGAGTGTTTCAAACCTGAACTATCAAAGAAAGGTTCCACACTGTGAGTTGAATGCAGACATCACGAAGAAGGTTCTGAGAATGCTTCTGTTTAGTCAGCTGAAATTATCCCGTTTCCAACGAATTCCTCACAGAGGTCCAAATATGCACTTGCAGATTCTGCAGAAAGTGTGTTTCTAAACTGCTACATCGCAAGGAATGCTCAGCTCTGTGAGTTCAACTCAATCATCCCAAAGAATTTTCTGAGAAAGCTTCTGTCTAGATGTCATGTGAAGATATACCCGTTTCGAACGAAGGACACAGAGTGGTCCAAATATCCACTTGTAGATCCTGCAAAAAGAGTGTTTCAAACGTGAACTTTGAAAGGAAAGTTCAACTCGGGGATTTGAATGCAAACATCACAAAGAAGATTCTGAGACTGCTTCTGTATAGTTTTGATGTGAAGATGATTCCGTTTCCAACGAAATCTTCAAAGAGGTCTACATGTCCCCTTGCAGATGCCACAGAAAGAGAGTTTCAAAACTGCGCTCTCAAAAGGAGTGTTCAACTCCGTGAGTTGAATGCAGTCATCACAGAGAAGCTTCTGAGAATGCTTCTATCTAGTATTTAGGTGAAGATATTTCCTTTTCCACCACAAACCACAAAGCCCTCCAAACGTCCACTTGCAGATTCTAGAAAAAGAGTGTTTCATAGCTGCTCTTTCCAAAGGAAAGTTCAACTCTGGGAGTTGAATACAAACATCACCAAAAAGTTCCTGAGAATGCATCTGTCTAGTTTTTCTATGAAGCTATTCCCTTTACTACCATAGGCCTCAAAGCGCTCCAAATCTCCACTTGCACATTCCACAAGAAGAGTGTTTCCAAACTGCTCTATCAATAGGAATGTTCAACTCTGTGAGGTGAATGCAATCATCACAAAGCAGTTTCTGAGAATGCTTCCGTTTAGTTAGGTGCAGTTATCCCGTTTCCAACGAAATCCTCAGAGAGGTCCAAATATCCACTTGTAGATTCTACAAAAAGTGTGTCTCAAACCTGCTCCATCCAAAGGAATGTTCAGCTCTGTGAGTTAAACTCAATCATCACAAAGTATTTTCTGAGAATGCTTCTGTCTAGATTTTATGCGAAGATGTACCCGTTTCGAACGAAGGCCACAGAGTGGTCCAAATATCCACTTGCAGATCCTACAAAAAGAGTGTTTCAAACCTGAACTCTCAAAGGAAGGTTCAACTCTGGGATTTGAATGCAAACATCACCAAGAAGTTTCTGAGAATGCTTCTGTTTAGTTTTTATGTGAAGATATTCCCGTTTCCAAAGACATCTTCGGAGAGGTCCACATATCCGCTTGCAGATTCCACAAAAAGAGAGTTTCAACACTGCTCTATCCATAGGAGGGTTCAACTCTGTGAGTTGAATGCAATCATCACAGAGAAGTTTCTGAGAAGGCTTCTCTCCAGTTTTTATGTGACCATAATTCGTTTTCCACCACAGGCCTGAAAGCGCTCCAAATGTCCACTTGCAGACACTACGAAAAGCATGTTTCAGAACTACTCTATGAGAAGCAATGTGAAACTCTGGGAGTTGAACACAAACATCACAGAGAAGTTTCTGAGAATGCTTCTGTTTAGCTTTTCTGTGAAGATTCTCCCGTTTCCAACGAAATCTTCAAAGAGGTCGAAATATCCACTTGCAGATTCCACAGAAAGAGTGATTGGAAATTGCTGTTTGAAAAGGAACCTTCAACTCTGTGAGTTGAATGCAATCATCACAAAGAAGTTTCTGACAATGCTTCTATCTAGCTTTTACCGGAAGATAATTCCTTTTCCACCACATGCCTCAAAGCCCACCAAATGTCCACTTGCACTTTCTGGAAAAAGAGTGTTTCAAAGCTTCTCTCTCGAAAGGAAAGTTCAACTCTGTGAGTTGAATGCAAGCATCACAAAGAAGTTTCTGAGAATGCTACTGTCTAGCTTTTATATGAAGCTATTTCCTTTACTACCATAGGCCACAAAGCGGTCCATATCTCAATTGCAGATTCTACACAAAGAGAGTTTCCAAACTGCTCTGTCAAAGGGAATGTTCAACTCTGTGACTTGAATGCAATCATCACAAAGTAGTTTCTGAGAATGCTTCTGTTTAGTTCTGTGCGGTTTATCCCGTTTCCAACGAAATCCTCAGAGAGGCCCAAATATCCACTTGCACATTCTACAAATAGTGTGTTTCGAAACTGCTCCATCCAAAGGAATGTTCAGCTCTGTGAGTTAAACTCAGTCGTCACCAAGAGTTTTCTGTGAATGCTTCTGTTTTAGTTCTGTGCGGGTTATCCCGTTTCCAACGAAATCCTCAGAGAGGTCCAAATATCTACTTGCAGTTTCTACAGAAAGACCGTTTCAAACCTGAACTATCAAAGAAAGGTTCAACACTGTGAGTTGAATGCAAACATCACGAAGAAGGTTCTGAGAATGCTTCTGTTTAGTTCTGTGCAGTTTATCCCGTTTCCAACGAAATGCTCAGAGAGGACCAAATATCCACTTGCAGTTTCTACAAAAAGAGTGTTTCAAAGCTGAACTATCAAAGAAAGGTTCAGCACTGTGAGTTGAATGCAAACATCACGAAGAGGGTTCTGAGAATGCTTCTGTCTTCTTTTTATAGGAAGTTATTTCCTTTACTACGGTACTCCTCAAAGAGTGCAATTATCCCCTTGCAGTTTCTACAAAAAGAGTGTTTCAAACCTGAACTATAAAAGAAAGGTTCCACACTGTGAGTTGAATGCAGACATCACGAAGAAGGTTCTGAGAATGCTTCTGTTTAGTCAGCTGAAATTATCCCGTTTCCAACGAATTCCTCAGAGAGGTCCAAATATGCACTTGCACATTCTGCAGAAAGTGTGTTTCTAAACTGCTACATCGCAAGGAATGTTCAGCTCTGTGAGTTCCACTCAATCATCCCAAAGAATTTTGCTGAGAAAGCTTCTGTCTAGATGTCGTGTGAAGATATACCCGTTTCGAACGAAGGACACAGAGTGGTCCAAATATCCACTTGTAGATCCTGCAAAAAGAGTGTTTCAAACGTGAACTTTGAAAGGAAAGTTCAACTCTGGGATTTGAATGCAAACATCACAAAGAAGATTCTGAGACTGCTTCTGTATAGTTTTTATGTGAAGATGATTCCGTTTCCAACGAAATCTTCAAAGAGGTCTACATGTCCCCTTGCAGATGCCACAGAAAGAGAGTTTCAAAACTGCGCTCTCAAAAGGAGTGTTCAACTCCGTGAGTTGAATGCAGTCATCACAGAGAAGCTTCTGAGAATGCTTCTATCTAGTATTTAGGTGAAGATATTTCCTTTTCCACCACAAACCACAAAGCCCTCCAAACGTCCACTTGCAGATTCTAGAAAAAGAGTGTTTCATAGCTGCTCTTTCCAAAGGAAAGTTCAACTCTGGGAGTTGAATACAAACATCACCAAAAAGTTCCTGAGAATGCATCTGTCTAGTTTTTCTATGAAGCTATTCCCTTTACTACCATAGGCCTCAAAGCGCTCCAAATCTCCACTTGCACATTCCACAACAAGAGTGTTTCCAAACTGCTCTATCAATAGGAATGTTCAACTCTGTGAGGTGAATGCAATCATCACAAAGCAGTTTCTGAGAATGCTTCCGTTTAGTTAGGTGCAGTTATCCCGTTTCCAACGAAATCCTCAGAGAGGTCCAAATATCCACTTGTAGATTCTACAAAAAGTGTGTCTCAAACCTGCTCCATCCAAAGGAATGGTCAGCTCTGTGATTTAAACTCAATCATCACAAAGTATTTTCTGAGAATGCTTCTGTCTAGATTTTATGCGAAGATATACCCGTTTCGAACGAAGGCCACAGAGTGGTCCAAATAGCCACTTGCAGATCCTACAGAAAGAGTGTTTCAAACCTGAACTATCAAAGGAAGGTTCAACTCTGGGATTTGAATGCAAACATCACCAAGAAGTTTCTGAGAATGCTTCTGTTTAGTTTTTATGTGAAGATATTCCCGTTTCCAAAGACATCTTCGGAGAGGTCCACATATCCACTTGCAGATTCCACAAAAAGAGAGTTTCAACACTGCTCTATCCATAGGAGGGTTCAACTCTGTGAGTTGAATGCAATCATCACAGAGAAGTTTCTGAGAAGGCTTCTCTCCAGTTTTTATGTGACCATAATTCGTTTTCCACCACAGGCCTGAAAGCGCTCCAAATGTCCACTTGCAGACACTACGAAAAGCATGTTTCAGAACTACTCTATGAAAAGCAACGTGAAACTCTGGGAGTTGAACACAAACATCACAGAGAAGTTTCTGAGAATGCTTCTGTTTTAGTTCTGTGCGTTTTATCCCGTTTCCAACGAAATCCTCAGAGAGGCCCAAATATCCACTTGCAGATTCCACAGAAAGAGTGATTGGAAACTGCTGTTTGAAAAGGAACCTTCAACTCTGTGAGTTGAATGCAATCATCACAAAGAAGTTTCTGACAATGCTTCTGTTTTAGTTCTGTGCGGTTTATCCCGTTTCCAACGAAATCCTCAGAGAGGACCAAACATCCACTTGCAGTTTCTACAAAAAGAGTGTTTCAAAGCTGCACTATCAAAGAAAGGTTCAGCACTGTGAGTTGAATGCAAACATCACGAAGAGGGCTCTGAGAATTCTTCTGTTTAGTTCTGTGCGGTTTATCCCGTTTCCAACGAAATCCTCAGAGAGGACCAAATATCCACTTGCAGTTTCTACAAGAAGAGTGTTTCAAAGCTGAACTATCAAAGAAAGGTTCAGCACTGTGAGTTGAATGCAAACATCACGAAGAGGGTTCTGAGAATGCTTCTGTCTTCTTTCTATAGGAAGTTATTTCCTTTACTACGGTAGGCCTCAAAGAAGTGCAATTATCCCCTTGCAGTTTCTACAAAAAGAGTGTTTCAAACCTGAACTATCAAAGAAAGGTTCCACACTGTGAGTTGAATGCAGACATCACGAAGAAGGTTCTGAGAATGCTTCTGTTTAGTCAGCTGAAATTATCCCGTTTCCAACGAATTCCTCAGAGAGGTCCAAATATGCACTTGCAGATTCTGCAGAAAGTGTGTTTCTAAACTGCTACATCGCAAGGAATGTTCAGCTCTGTGAGTTCCACTCAATCAACCCAAAGAATTTTCTGAGAAAGCTTCTGTCTAGATGTCATGTGAAGATATACCCGTTTCGAACGAAGGACACAGAGTGGTCCAAATATCCACTTGTAGATCCTGCAAAAAGAGTGTTTCAAACGTGAACTTTGAAAGGAAAGTTCAACTCTGGGATTTGAATGCAAACATCACAAAGAAGATTCTGAGACTGCTTCTGTATAGTTTTTATGTGAAGATGATTCCGTTTCCAACGAAATCTTCAAAGAGGTCTACATGTCCCCTTGCAGATGCCACAGAAAGAGAGTTTCAAAACTGCGCTCTCAAAAGGAGTGTTCAACTCCGTGAGTTGAATGCAGTCATCACAGAGAAGCTTCTGAGAATGCTTCTGTCTAGTATTTAGGTGAAGATATTTCCTTTTCCACCACAAACCACAAAGCCCTCCAAACGTCCACTTGCAGATTCTAGAAAAAGAGTGTTTCATAGCTGCTCTTTCCAAAGGAAAGTTCAACTGCTGGGAGTTGAATACAAACATCACCAAAAAGTTACCTGAGAATGCATCTGTCTAGTTTTTCTATGAAGTTATTCCCTTTACTACCATAGGCCTCAAAGCGCTCCAAATCTCCACTTGCACATTCCACAACAGGAGTGTTTCCAAACTCCTCTATCAATAGGAATGTTCAACTCTGTGAGGTGAATGCAATCATCACAAAGCAGTTTGCTGAGAATGCTTCCGTTTAGTTAGGTGCAGTTATCCCGTTTCCAACGAAATCCTCAGAGAGGTCCAAATATCCACTTGTAGATTCTATAAAAAGTGTGTCTCAAACCTGCTCCATCCAAAGGAATGTTCAGCTCTGTGAGTTAAACTCAATCATCACAAAGTATTTTCTGAGAATGCTTCTGTCTAGATTTTATGCGAAGATGTACCCGTTTCGAACGAAGGCCACAGAGTGGTCCAAATATCCACTTGCAGAACCTACAAAAAGAGTGTTTCAAACCTGAACTGTCAAAGGAATGTTCAACTCTGGGATTTGAATGCAAACATCACCAAGAAGTTTCTGAGAATGCTTCTGTTTAGCTTTTATGTGAAGATATTCCCGTTTCCAAAGACATCTTCGGAGAGGTCCACATATCCACTTGCAGATTTCACAAAAAGAGAGTTTCAACACTGCTCTATCCATAGGAGTGTTCAACTCTGTGAGTTGAATGCAATCATCACAGAGAAGTTTCTGAGAAGGCTTCTCTCCAGTTTTTATGTGACCATAATTCGTTTTCCACCACAGGCCTGAAAGCGCTCCAAATGTCCACTTGCAGACACTACGAAAAGCATGTTTCAGAACTACTCTATGAAAAGCAATGTGAAACTCTGGGAGTTGAACACAAACATCACAGAGAAGGTTCTGAGAATGCTTCTGTTTAGTCAGCTGAAATTATCCCGTTTCCAACGAATTCCTCAGAGAGGTCCAAATATGCACTTGCAGATTCCACAGAAAGGGTGTTTGGAAACTGCTGTTTGAAAAGGAACCTTCAACTCTGTGAGTTGAATGCAATCATCACAAAGAAGTTTCTGACAATGCTTCTGTCTAGATGTCATGTGAAGATATACCCGTTTCGAACGAAGGACACAGAGTGGTCCAAATATCCACTTGTAGATCCTGCAAAAAGAGTGTTTCAAACGTGAACTTTGAAAGGAAAGTTCAACTCTGGGATTTGAATGCAAACACCACAAAGAAGATTCTGAGACTGCTTCTGTATAGTTTTTATGTGAAGATGATTCCGTTTCCAACGAAATCTTCAAAGAGGTCTACATGTCCCCTTGCAGATGCCACAGAAAGAGAGTTTCAAAACTGCGCTCTCAAAAGGAGTGTTCAACTCCGTGAGTTGAATGCAGTCATCACAGAGAAGCTTCTGAGAATGCTTCTATCTAGTATTTAGGTGAAGATATTTCCTTTTCCACCACAAACCACAAAGCCCTCCAAACGTCCACTTGCAGATTCTAGAAAAAGAGTGTTTCATAGCTGCTCTTTCCAAAGGAAAGTTCAACTCTGGGAGTTGAATACAAACATCACCAAAAAGTTCCTGAGAATGCATCTGTCTAGTTTTTCTATGAAGCTATTCCCTTTACTACCATAGGCCTCAAAGCGCTCCAAATCTCCACTTGCACATTCCACAACAAGAGTGTTTCCAAACTGCTCTATCAATAGGAATGTTCAACTCTGTGAGGTGAATGCAATCATCACAAAGCAGTTTCTGAGAATGCTTCCGTTTAGTTAGGTGCAGTTATCCCGTTTCCAACGAAATCCTCAGAGAGGTCCAAATATCCACTTGTAGATTCTACAAAAAGTGTGTCTCAAACCTGCTCCATCCAAAGGAATGGTCAGCTCTGTGATTTAAACTCAATCATCACAAAGTATTTTCTGAGAATGCTTCTGTCTAGATTTTATGCGAAGATATACCCGTTTCGAACGAAGGCCACAGAGTGGTCCAAATAGCCACTTGCAGATCCTACAGAAAGAGTGTTTCAAACCTGAACTATCAAAGGAAGGTTCAACTCTGGGATTTGAATGCAAACATCACCAAGAAGTTTCTGAGAATGCTTCTGTTTAGTTTTTATGTGAAGATATTCCCGTTTCCAAAGACATCTTCGGAGAGGTCCACATATCCACTTGCAGATTCCACAAAAAGAGAGTTTCAACACTGCTCTATCCATAGGAGGGTTCAACTCTGTGAGTTGAATGCAATCATCACAGAGAAGTTTCTGAGAAGGCTTCTCTCCAGTTTTTATGTGACCATAATTCGTTTTCCACCACAGGCCTGAAAGCGCTCCAAATGTCCACTTGCAGACACTACGAAAAGCATGTTTCAGAACTACTCTATGAAAAGCAACGTGAAACTCTGGGAGTTGAACACAAACATCACAGAGAAGTTTCTGAGAATGCTTCTGTTTTAGTTCTGTGCGTTTTATCCCGTTTCCAACGAAATCCTCAGAGAGGCCCAAATATCCACTTGCAGATTCCACAGAAAGAGTGATTGGAAACTGCTGTTTGAAAAGGAACCTTCAACTCTGTGAGTTGAATGCAATCATCACAAAGAAGTTTCTGACAATGCTTCTGTTTTAGTTCTGTGCGGTTTATCCCGTTTCCAACGAAATCCTCAGAGAGGACCAAACATCCACTTGCAGTTTCTACAAAAAGAGTGTTTCAAAGCTGCACTATCAAAGAAAGGTTCAGCACTGTGAGTTGAATGCAAACATCACGAAGAGGGCTCTGAGAATTCTTCTGTTTAGTTCTGTGCGGTTTATCCCGTTTCCAACGAAATCCTCAGAGAGGACCAAATATCCACTTGCAGTTTCTACAAGAAGAGTGTTTCAAAGCTGAACTATCAAAGAAAGGTTCAGCACTGTGAGTTGAATGCAAACATCACGAAGAGGGTTCTGAGAATGCTTCTGTCTTCTTTCTATAGGAAGTTATTTCCTTTACTACGGTAGGCCTCAAAGAAGTGCAATTATCCCCTTGCAGTTTCTACAAAAAGAGTGTTTCAAACCTGAACTATCAAAGAAAGGTTCCACACTGTGAGTTGAATGCAGACATCACGAAGAAGGTTCTGAGAATGCTTCTGTTTAGTCAGCTGAAATTATCCCGTTTCCAACGAATTCCTCAGAGAGGTCCAAATATGCACTTGCAGATTCTGCAGAAAGTGTGTTTCTAAACTGCTACATCGCAAGGAATGTTCAGCTCTGTGAGTTCCACTCAATCATCCCAAAGAATTTTCTGAGAAAGCTTCTGTCTAGATGTCGTGTGAAGATATACCCGTTTCGAACGAAGGACACAGAGTGGTCCAAATATCCACTTGTAGATCCTGCAAAAAGAGTGTTTCAAACGTGAACTTTGAAAGGAAAGTTCAACTCTGGGATTTGAATGCAAACATCACAAAGAAGATTCTGAGACTGCTTCTGTATAGTTTTTATGTGAAGATGATTCCGTTTCCAACGAAATCTTCAAAGAGGTCTACATGTCCCCTTGCAGATGCCACAGAAAGAGAGTTTCAAAACTGCGCTCTCAAAAGGAGTGTTCAACTCCGTGAGTTGAATGCAGTCATCACAGAGAAGCTTCTGAGAATGCTTCTATCTAGTATTTAGGTGAAGATATTTCCTTTTCCACCACAAACCACAAAGCCCTCCAAACGTCCACTTGCAGATTCTAGAAAAAGAGTGTTTCATAGCTGCTCTTTCCAAAGGAAAGTTCAACTCTGGGAGTTGAATACAAACATCACCAAAAAGTTCCTGAGAATGCATCTGTCTAGTTTTTCTATGAAGCTATTCCCTTTACTACCATAGGCCCCAAAGCGCTCCAAATCTCCACTTGCACATTCCACAAGAAGAGTGTTTCCAAACTGCTCTATCAATACGAATGTTCAACTCTGTGAGGTGAATGCAATCATCACAAAGCAGTTTCTGAGAATGCTTCCGTTTAGTTAGGTGCAGTTATCCTGTTTCCAACGAAATCCTCAGAGAGGTCCAAATATCCACTTGTAGATTCTACAAAAAGTGTGTCTCAAACCTGCTCCATCCAAAGGAATGGTCAGCTCTGTGATTTAAACTCAATCATCACAAAGTATTTTCTGAGAATGCTTCTGTCTAGATTTTATGCGAAGATATACCCGTTTCGAACGAAGGCCACAGATTGGTCCAAATAGCCACTTGCAGATCCTACAAAAAGAGTGTTTCAAACCTGAACTATCAAAGGAAGGTTCAACTCTGGGATTTGAATGCAAACATCACCAAGAAGTTTCTGAGAATGCTTCTGTTTAGTTTTTATGTGAAGATATTCCCGTTTCCAAAGACATCTTCGGAGAGGTCCACATATCCACTTGCAGATTCCACAAAAAGAGAGTTTCAACACTGCTCTATCCATAGGAGGGTTCAACTCTGTGAGTTGAATGCAATCATCACAGAGAAGTTTCTGAGAAGGCTTCTCTCCAGTTTTTATGTGACCATAATTCGTTTTCCACCACAGGCCTGAAAGCGCTCCAAATGTCCACTTGCAGACACTACGAAAAGCATGTTTCAGAACTACTCTATGAAAAGCAACGTGAAACTCTGGGAGTTGAACACAAACATCACAGAGAAGTTTCTGAGAATGCTTCTGTTTTAGTTCTGTGCGTTTTATCCCGTTTCCAACGAAATCCTCAGAGAGGCCCAAATATCCACTTGCAGATTCCACAGAAAGAGTGATTGGAAACTGCTGTTTGAAAAGGAACCTTCAACTCTGTGAGTTGAATGCAATCATCACAAAGAAGTTTCTGACAATGCTTCTGTTTTAGTTCTGTGCGGTTTATCCCGTTTCCAACGAAATCCTCAGCAGAGGACCAAACATCCACTTGCAGTTTCTACAAAAAGAGTGTTTCAAAGCTGCACTATCAAAGAAAGGTTCAGCACTGTGAGTTGAATGCAAACATCACGAAGAGGGCTCTGAGAATTCTTCTGTCTTCTTTCTATAGGAAGTTATTTCCTTTACTACGGTAGGCCTCAAAGAAGTGCAATTATCCCCTTGCAGTTTCTACAAAAAGAGTGTTTCAAACCTGAACTATCAAAGAAAGGTTCCACACTGTGAGTTGAATGCAGACATCACGAAGAAGTTCTGAGAATGCTTCTGTTTAGTCAGCTGAAATTATCCCGTTTCCAACGAATTCCTCAGAGAGGTCCAAATATGCACTTGCAGATTCTGCAGAAAGTGTGTTTCTAAACTGCTACATCGCAAGGAATGTTCAGCTCTGTGAGTTCCACTCAATCATCCCAAAGAATTTTCTGAGAAAGCTTCTGTCTAGATGTCGTGTGAAGATATACCCGTTTCGAACGAAGGACACAGAGTGGTCCAAATATCCACTTGTAGATCCTGCAAAAAGAGTGTTTCAAACGTGAACTTTGAAAGGAAAGTTCAACTCTGGGATTTGAATGCAAACATCACAAAGAAGATTCTGAGACTGCTTCTGTATAGTTTTTATGTGAAGATGATTCCGTTTCCAACGAAATCTTCAAAGTAGGTCTACATGTCCCCTTGCAGATGCCACAGAAAGAGAGTTTCAAAACTGCGCTCTCAAAAGGAGTGTTCAACTCCGTGAGTTGAATGCAGTCATCACAGAGAAGCTTCTGAGAATGCTTCTATCTAGTATTTAGGTGAAGATATTTCCTTTTCCACCACAAACCACAAAGCCCTCCAAACGTCCACTTGCAGATTCTAGAAAAAGAGTGTTTCATAGCTGCTCTTTCCAAAGGAAAGTTCAACTCTGGGAGTTGAATACAAACATCACCAAAAAGTTCCTGAGAATGCATTCTGTCTAGTTTTTCTATGAAGCTATTCCCTTTACTACCATAGGCCTCAAAGCGCTCCAAATCTCCACTTGCACATTCCACAACAAGAGTGTTTCCAAACTGCTCTATCAATAGGAATGTTCAACTCTGTGAGGTGAATGCAATCATCACAAAGCAGTTTCTGAGAATGCTTCCGTTTAGTTAGGTGCAGTTATCCCGTTTCCAACGAAATCCTCAGAGAGGTCCAAATATCCACTTGTAGATTCTACAAAAAGTGTGTCTCAAACCTGCTCCATCCAAAGGAATGTTCAGCTCTGTGAGTTCAACTCAATCATCACAAAGTATTTTCTGAGAATGCTTCTGTCTAGATTTTATGCGAAGATGTACCCGTTTCGAACGAAGGCCACAGAGTGGTCCAAATATCCACTTGCAGATCCTACAAAAAGAGTGTTTCAAACCTGAACTATCAAAGGAAGGTTCAACTCTGGGATTTGAATGCAAACATCACCAAGAAGTTTCTGAGAATGCTTCTGTTTAGTTTTTATGTGAAGATATTCCCGTTTCCAAAGACATCTTCGGAGAGGTCCACATATCCACTTGCAGATTCCACAAAAAGAGAGTTTCAACACTGCTCTATCCATAGGAGGGTTCAACTCTGTGAGTTGAATGCAATCATCACAGAGAAGTTTCTGAGAAGGCTTCTCTCCAGTTTTTATGTGACCATAACTCGTTTTCCACCACAGGCCTGAAAGCGCTCCAAATGTCCACTTGCAGACACTACGAAAAGCATGTTTCAGAACTACTCTATGAGAAGCAATGTGAAACTCTGGGAGTTGAACACAAACATCACAGAGAAGTTTCTGAGAATGCTCTGTTTTAGTTCTGTGCGTTTTATCCCGTTTCCAACGAAATCCTCAGAGAGGCCCAAATATCCACTTGCAGATTCCACAGAAAGAGTGATTGGAAACTGCTGTTTGAAAAGGAACCTTCAACTCTGTGAGTTGAATGCAATCATCACAAAGAAGTTTCTGACAATGCTCTCTGTTTTAGTTCTGTGCGGTTTATCCCGTTTCCAACGAAATCCTCAGAGAGGACCAAACATCCACTTGCAGTTTCTACAAAAAGAGTGTTTCAAAGCTGCACTATCAAAGAAAGGTTCAGCACTGTGAGTTGAATGCAAACATCACGAAGAGGGCTCTGAGAATTCTTCTGTTTAGTTCTGTGCGGTTTATCCCGTTTCCAACGAAATCCTCAGAGAGGACCAAATATCCACTTGCAGTTTCTACAAGAAGAGTGTTTCAAAGCTGAACTATCAAAGAAAGGTTCAGCACTGTGAGTTGAATGCAAACATCACGAAGAGGGTTCTGAGAATGCTTCTGTCTTCTTTCTATAGGAAGTTATTTCCTTTACTACGGTAGGCCTCAAAGAAGTGCAATTATCCCCTTGCAGTTTCTACAAAAAGAGTGTTTCAAACCTGAACTATCAAAGAAAGGTTCCACACTGTGAGTTGAATGCAGACATCACGAAGAAGGTTCTGAGAATGCTTCTGTTTAGTCAGCTGAAATTATCCCGTTTCCAACGAATTCCTCAGAGAGGTCCAAATATGCACTTGCAGATTCTGCAGAAAGTGTGTTTCTAAACTGCTACATCGCAAGGAATGTTCAGCTCTGTGAGTTCCACTCAATCATCCCAAAGAATTTTCTGAGAAAGCTTCTGTCTAGATGTCGTGTGAAGATATACCCGTTTCGAACGAAGGACACAGAGTGGTCCAAATATCCACTTGTAGATCCTGCAAAAAGAGTGTTTCAAACGTGAACTTTGAAAGGAAAGTTCAACTCTGGGATTTGAATGCAAACATCACAAAGAAGATTCTGAGACTGCTTCTGTATAGTTTTTATGTGAAGATGATTCCGTTTCCAACGAAATCTTCAAAGAGGTCTACATGTCCCCTTGCAGATGCCACAGAAAGAGAGTTTCAAAACTGCGCTCTCAAAAGGAGTGTTCAACTCCGTGAGTTGAATGCAGTCATCACAGAGAAGCTTCTGAGAATGCTTCTATCTAGTATTTAGGTGAAGATATTTCCTTTTCCACCACAAACCACAAAGCCCTCCAAACGTCCGCTTGCAGATTCTAGAAAAAGAGTGTTTCATAGCTGCTCTTTCCAAAGGAAAGTTCAACTCTGGGAGTTGAATACAAACATCACCAAAAAGTTCCTGAGAATGCATCTGTCTAGTTTTTCTATGAAGCTATTCCCTTTACTACCATAGGCCTCAAAGCGCTCCAAATCTCCACTTGCACATTCCACAACAAGAGTGTTTCCAAACTGCTCTATCAATAGGAATGTTCAACTCTGTGAGGTGAATGCAATCATCACAAAGCAGTTTCTGAGAATGCTTCCGTTTAGTTAGGTGCAGTTATCCCGTTTCCAACGAAATCCTCAGAGAGGTCCAAATATCCACTTGTAGATTCTACAAAAAGTGTGTCTCAAACCTGCTCCATCCAAAGGAATGGTCAGCTCTGTGATTTAAACTCAATCATCACAAAGTATTTTCTGAGAATGCTTCTGTCTAGATTTTATGCGAAGATATACCCGTTTCGAACGAAGCCCACAGAGTGGTCCAAATAGCCACTTGCAGATCCTACAAAAAGAGTGTTTCAAACCTGAACTATCAAAGGAAGGTTCACCTCTGGGATTTGAATGCAAACATCACCAAGAAGTTCCTGAGAATGCATCTGTTTAGTTTTTAGGTGAAGATATTCCCGTTTCCAAAGACATCTTCGGAGAGGTCCACATATCCACTTGCAGATTCCACAAAAAGAGAGTTTCAACACTGCTCTATCCATAGGAGGGTTCAACTCTGTGAGTTGAATGCAATCATCACAGAGAAGTTTCTGAGAAGGCTTCTCTCCAGTTTTTATGTGACCATAATTCGTTTTCCACCACAGGCCTGAAAGCGCTCCAAATGTCCACTTGCAGACACTACGAAAAGCATGTTTCAGAACTACTCTATGAAAAGCAATGTGAAACTCTGGGAGTTGAACACAAACATCACAGAGAAGTTTCTGAGAATGCTTCTGTTTAGCTTTTCTGTGAAGATTCTCCCGTTTCCAACGAAATCTTCAAAATAGGTCCAAATATCCACTTGCAGATTCCACAGAAAGAGTGATTGGAAACTGCTGTTTGAAAAGGAACCTTCAACTCTGTGAGTTGAATGCAATCATCACAAAGTAGTTTCTCACAATGCTTCCATCTAGCTTTTACGGGAAGATAATTCCTTTTCCACCACAGGCCTCAAAGCCCTCCAAATGTCCACTTGCAGATTCTGGAAAAAGAGTGTTTCAAAGCTTCTCTCTCGAAAGGAAAGTTCAACTCTGTGAGTTGAATGCAAGCATCACAAAGAAGTTTCTGAGAATGCTACTGTCTAGCTTTTATATGAAGCTATTTCCTTTACTACCATAGGCCTCAAAGCGGTCCATATCTCCACTTGCAGATTCTACACAAAGAGAGTTTCCAAACTGCTCTGTCAAAGGGAATGTTCAACTCTGTGACTTGAATGCAATCATCACAAAGTAGTTTCTGAGAATGCTTCTGTTTAGTTCTGTGCGGTTTATCCCGTTTCCAACGAAATCCTCAGAGAGGCCCAAATATCCACTTGCACATTCTACAAATAGTGTGTTTCGAAACTGCTCCATCCAAAGGAATGTTCAGCTCTGTGAGTTAAACTCAGTCGTCACCAAGAGTTTTCTGTGAATGCTTCTGTTTTAGTTCTGTGCGGGTTATCCCGTTTCCAACGAAATCCTCAGAGAGGTCCAAATATCTACTTGCAGTTTCTACAGAAAGACCGTTTCAAACCTGAACTATCAAAGAAAGGTTCAACACTGTGAGTTGAATGCAAACATCACGAAGAAGGTTCTGAGAATGCTTCTGTTTAGTTCTGTGCAGTTTATCCCGTTTCCAACGAAATGCTCAGAGAGGACCAAATATCCACTTGCAGTTTCTACAAAAAGAGTGTTTCAAAGCTGAACTATCAAAGAAAGGTTCAGCACTGTGAGTTGAATGCAAACATCACGAAGAGGGTTCTGAGAATGCTTCTGTCTTCTTTTTATAGGAAGTTATTTCCTTTACTACGGTACTCCTCAAAGAGTGCAATTATCCCCTTGCAGTTTCTACAAAAAGAGTGTTTCAAACCTGAACTATCAAAGAAAGGTTCCACACTGTGAGTTGAATGCAGACATCACGAAGAAGGTTCTGAGAATGCTTCTGTTTAGTCAGCTGAAATTATCCCGTTTCCAACGAATTCCTCAGAGAGGTCCAAATATGCAATTGCAGATTCTGCAGAAAGTGTGTTTCTAAACTGCTCCATCGCAAGGAATGTTCAGCTCTGTGAGTTCAACTCAATCATCCCAAAGAATTTTCTGAGAAAGCTTCTGTCTAGATGTCATGTGAAGATATACCCGTTTCGAACGAAGGACACAGAGTGGTCCAAATATCCACTTGTAGATCCTGCAAAAAGAGTGTTTCAAACGTGAACTTTGAAAGGAAAGTTCAACTCTGGGATTTGAATGCAAACATCACAAAGAAGATTCTGAGACTGCTTCTGTATAGTTTTTATGTGAAGATGATTCCGTTTCCAACGAAATCTTCAAAGAGGTCTACATGTCCCCTTGCAGATGCCACAGAAAGAGAGTTTCAAAACTGCGCTCTCAAAAGGAGTGTTCAACTCCGTGAGTTGAATGCAGTCATCACAGAGAAGCTTCTGAGAATGCTTCTATCTAGTATTTAGGTGAAGATATTTCCTTTTCCACCACAAACCACAAAGCCCTCCAAACGTCCACTTGCAGATTCTAGAAAAAGAGTGTTTCATAGCTGCTCTTTCCAAAGGAAAGTTCAACTCTGGGAGTTGAATACAAACATCACCAAAAAGTTCCTGAGAATGCATCTGTCTAGTTTTTCTATGAAGCTATTCCCTTTACTACCATAGGCCTCAAAGCGCTCCAAATCTCCACTTGCACATTCCACAACAAGAGTGTTTCCAAACTGCTCTATCAATAGGAATGTTCAACTCTGTGAGGTGAATGCAATCATCACAAAGCAGTTTCTGAGAATGCTTCCGTTTAGTTAGGTGCAGTTATCCCGTTTCCAACGAAATCCTCAGAGAGGTCCAAATATCCACTTGTAGATTCTACAAAAGGTGTGTCTCAAACCTGCTCCATCCAAAGGAATGTTCAGCTCTGTGAGTTAAACTCAATCATCACAAAGTATTTTCTGAGAATGCTTCTGTCTAGATTTTATGCGAAGATGTACCCGTTTCGAACGAAGGCCACAGAGTGGTCCAAATATCCACTTGCAGATCCTACAAAAAGAGTGTTTCAAACCTGAACTATCAAAGGAAGGTTCAACTCTGGGATTTGAATGCAAACATCACCAAGAAGTTTCTGAGAATGCTTCTGTTTAGTTTTTATGTGAAGATATTCCCGTTTCCAAAGACATCTTCGGAGAGGTCCACATATCCACTTGCAGATTCCACAAAAAGAGAGTTTCAAAACTGCTCTATCCATAGGAGGGTTCAACTCTGTGAGTTGAATGCAATCATCACAGAGAAGTTTCTGAGAAGGCTTCTCTCCAGTTTTTATGTGACCATAATTCGTTTTCCACCACAGGCCTGAAAGCGCTCCAAATGTCCACTTGCAGACACTACGAAAAGCATGTTTCAGAACTACTCTATGAAAAGCAATGTGAAACTCTGGGAGTTGAACACAAACATCACAGAGAAGTTTCTGAGAATGCTTCTGTTTAGCTTTTCTGTGAAGATTCTCCCGTTTCCAACGAAATCTTCAAAATAGGTCCAAATATCCACTTGCAGATTCCACAGAAAGAGTGATTGGAAACTGCTCTTTGAAAAGGAACCTTCAACTCTGTGACTTGAATGCAATCATCACAAAGAAGTTTCTGACAATGCTTCTATCTAGCTTTTACGGGAAGATAATTCCTTTTCCACCACAGGCCTCAAAGCCCTCCAAATGTCCACTTGCAGATTCTGGAAAAAGAGTGTTTCAAAGCTTCTCTCTCGAAAGGAAAGTTCAACTCTGTGAGTTGAATGCAAGCATCACAAAGAAGTTTCTGAGAATGCTACTGTCTAGCTTTTATATGAAGCTATTTCCTTTACTACCATAGGCCTCAAAGCGGTCCATATCTCCACTTGCAGATTCTACACAAAGAGAGTTTCCAAACTGCTCTGTCAAAGGGAATGTTCAACTCTGTGACTTGAATGCAATCATCACAAAGTAGTTTCTGAGAATGCTTCTGTTTAGTTCTGTGCGGTTTATCCCGTTTCCAACGAAATCCTCAGAGAGGCCTAAATATCCACTTGCACATTCTACAAATAGTGTGTTTCGAAACTGCTCCATCCAAAGGAATGTTCAGCTCTGTGAGTTAAACTCAGTCGTCACCAAGAGTTTTCTGTGAATGCTTCTGTTTTAGTTCTGTGCGGGTTATCCCGTTTCCAACGAAATCCTCAGAGCGGTCCAAATATCTACTTGCAGTTTCTGCAGAAAGACCGTTTCAAACCTGAACTATCAAAGAAAGGTTCAACACTGTGAGTTGAATGCAAACATCACGAAGAAGGTTCTGAGAATGCTTCTGTTTAGTTCTGTGCAGTTTATCCCGTTTCCAACGAAATGCTCAGAGAGGACCAAATATCCACTTGCAGTTTCTACAAAAAGAGTGTTTCAAAGCTGAACTATCAAAGACAGGTTCAGCACTGTGAGTTGAATGCAAACATCACGAAGAGGGTTCTGAGAATGCTTCTGTCTTCTTTTTATAGGAAGTTATTTCCTTTACTACGGTACTCCTCAAAGAGTGCAATTATCCCCTTGCAGTTTCTACAAAAAGAGTGTTTCAAACCTGAACTATCAAAGAAAGGTTCCACACTGTGAGTTGAATGCAGACATCACGAAGAAGGTTCTGAGAATGCTTCTGTTTAGTCAGCTGAAATTATCCCGTTTCCAACGAATTCCTCACAGAGGTCCAAATATGCACTTGCAGATTCTGCAGAAAGTGTGTTTCTAAACTGCTACATCGCAAGGAATGCTCAGCTCTGTGAGTTCAACTCAATCATCCCAAAGAATTTTCTGAGAAAGCTTCTGTCTAGATGTCATGTGAAGATATACCCGTTTCGATCGAAGGACACAGAGTGGTCCAAATATCCACTTGTAGATCCTGCAAAAAGAGTGTTTCAAACGTGAACTTTGAAAGGAAAGTTCAACTCGGGGATTTGAATGCAAACATCACAAAGAAGATTCTGAGACTGCTTCTGTATAGTTTTTATGTGAAGATGATTCCGTTTCCAACGAAATCTTCAAAGAGGTCTACATGTCCCCTTGCAGATGCCACAGAAAGAGAGTTTCAAAACTGCGCTCTCAAAAGGAGTGTTCAACTCCGTGAGTTGAATGCAGTCATCACAGAGAAGCTTCTGAGGATGCTTCTATCTAGTATTTAGGTGAAGATATTTCCTTTTCCACCACAAACCACAAAGCCCTCCAAACGTCCACTTGCAGATTCTAGAAAAACAGTGTTTCATAGCTGCTCTTTCCAAAGGAAAGTTCAACTCTGGGAGTTGAATACAAACATCACCAAAAAGTTCCTGAGAATGCATCTGTCTAGTTTTTCTATGAAGCTATTCCCTTTACTACCATAGGCCTCGAAGCGCTCCAAATCTCCACTTGCACATTCCACAACAAGAGTGTTTCCAAACTGCTCTATCAATAGAAATGTTCAACTCTGTGAGGTGAATGCAATCATCACAAAGCAGTTTCTGAGAATGCTCCGTTTAGTTAGGTGCAGTTATCCCGTTTCCAACGAAATCCTCAGAGAGGTCCAAATATCCACTTGTAGATTCTACAAAAAGTGTGTCTCAAACCTGCTCCATCCAAAGGAATGGTCAGCTCTGTGATTTAAACTCAATCATCACAAAGTATTTTCTGAGAATGCTTTCTGTCTAGATTTTATGCGAAGATATACCCGTTTCGAACGAAGGCCACAGAGTGGTCCAAATAGCCACTTGCAGATCCTACAGAAAGAGTGTTTCAAACCTGAACTATCAAAGGAAGGTTCAACTCTGGGATTTGAATGCAAACATCACCAAGAAGTTTCTGAGAATGCTTCTGTTTAGTTTTTATGTGAAGATATTCCCGTTTCCAAAGACATCTTCGGAGAGGTCCACATATCCACTTGCAGATTCCACAAAAAGAGAGTTTCAACACTGCTCTATCCATAGGAGGGTTCAACTCTGTGAGTTGAATGCAATCATCACAGAGAAGTTTCTGAGAAGGCTTCTCTCCAGTTTTTATGTGACCATAATTCGTTTTCCACCACAGGCCTGAAAGCGCTCCAAATGTCCACTTGCAGACACTACGAAAAGCATGTTTCAGAACTACTCTATGAAAAGCAACGTGAAACTCTGGGAGTTGAACACAAACATCACAGAGAAGTTTCTGAGAATGCTTCTGTTTTAGTTCTGTGCGTTTTATCCCGTTTCCAACGAAATCCTCAGAGAGGCCCAAATATCCACTTGCAGATTCCACAGAAAGAGTGATTGGAAACTGCTGTTTGAAAAGGAACCTTCAACTCTGTGAGTTGAATGCAATCATCACAAAGAAGTTTCTGACAATGCTTCTGTTTTAGTTCTGTGCGGTTTATCCCGTTTCCAACGAAATCCTCAGAGAGGACCAAACATCCACTTGCAGTTTCTACAAAAAGAGTGTTTCAAAGCTGCACTATCAAAGAAAGGTTCAGCACTGTGAGTTGAATGCAAACATCACGAAGAGGGCTCTGAGAATTCTTCTGTTTAGTTCTGTGCGGTTTATCCCGTTTCCAACGAAATCCTCAGAGAGGACCAAATATCCACTTGCAGTTTCTACAAGAAGAGTGTTTCAAAGCTGAACTATCAAAGAAAGGTTCAGCACTGTGAGTTGAATGCAAACATCACGAAGAGGGTTCTGAGAATGCTTCTGTCTTCTTTCTATAGGAAGTTATTTCCTTTACTACGGTAGGCCTCAAAGAAGTGCAATTATCCCCTTGCAGTTTCTACAAAAAGAGTGTTTCAAACCTGAACTATCAAAGAAAGGTTCCACACTGTGAGTTGAATGCAGACATCACGAAGAAGGTTCTGAGAATGCTTCTGTTTAGTCAGCTGAAATTATCCCGTTTCCAACGAATTCCTCAGAGAGGTCCAAATATGCACTTGCAGATTCTGCAGAAAGTGTGTTTCTAAACTGCTACATCGCAAGGAATGTTCAGCTCTGTGAGTTCCACTCAATCATCCCAAAGAATTTTCTGAGAAAGCTTCTGTCTAGATGTCGTGTGAAGATATACCCGTTTCGAACGAAGGACACAGGAGTGGTCCAAATATCCACTTGTAGATCCTGCAAAAAGAGTGTTTCAAACGTGAACTTTGAAAGGAAAGTTCAACTCTGGGATTTGAATGCAAACATCACAAAGAAGATTCTGAGACTGCTTCTGTATAGTTTTTATGTGAAGATGATTCCCTTTCCAAAGAAATCTTCAAACAGGTCTACATGTCCCCTTGCGGATGCCACAGAAAGAGAGTTTCAAAACTGCGCTCTCAAAAGGAGTGTTCAACTCCGTGAGTTGAATGCAGTCATCACAGAGAAGCTTCTGAGAATGCTTCTATCTAGTATTTAGGTGAAGATATTTCCTTTTCCACCACAAACCACAAAGCCCTCCAAACGTCCACTTGCAGATTCTAGAAAAAGAGTGTTTCATAGCTGCTCTTTCCAAAGGAAAGTTCAACTCTTGGGAGTTGAATACAAACATCACCAAAAAGTTCCTGAGAATGCATCTGTCTAGTTTTTCTATGAAGCTATTCCCTTTACTACCATAGGCCTCAAAGCGCTCCAAATCTCCACTTGCACATTCCACAAGAAGAGTGTTTCCAAACTGCTCTATCAATAGGAATGTTCAACTCTGTGAGGTGAATGCAATCATCACAATGCAGTTTCTGAGAATGCTTCCGTTTAGTTAGCTGCAGTTATCCCGTTTCCAACGAAATCCTCAGAGAG
Organism: Homo sapiens; assembly: GCF_000001405.40. NCBI lineage: Eukaryota > Metazoa > Chordata > Mammalia > Primates > Hominidae > Homo > Homo sapiens. Next base: position 23,241,311 of record NC_000017.11, on the reverse strand, counting down.
GTCCAAATATCCACTTGTAGATTCTACAAAAAGTGTGTCTCAAACCTGCTCCATCCAAAGGAATGTTCAGCTCTGTGAGTTAAACTCAATCATCACAAAGTATTTTCTGAGAATGCTTCTGTCTAGATTTTATGCGAAGATGTACCCGTTTCGAACGAAGGCCACAGAGTGGTCCAAATATCCACTTGCAGATCCTACAAAAAGAGTGTTTCAAACCTGAACTCTCAAAGGAAGGTTCAACTCTGGGATTTGAATGCAAACATCACCAAGAAGTTTCTGAGAATGCTTCTGTTTAGTTTTTATGTGAAGATATTCCCGTTTCCAAAGACATCTTCGGAGAGGTCCACATATCCGCTTGCAGATTCCACAAAAAGAGAGTTACAACACTGCTCTATCCATAGGAGGGTTCAACTCTGTGAGTTGAATGCAATCATCACAGAGAAGTTTCTGAGAAGGCTTCTCTCCAGTTTTTATGTGACCATAATTCGTTTTCCACCAAAGGCCTGAAAGCGCTCCAAATGTCCACTTGCAGACACTACGAAAAGCATGTTTCAGAACTACTCTATGAAAAGCAATGTGAAACTCTGGGAGTTGAACACAAACATCACAGAGAAGTTTCTGAGAATGCTTCTGTTTAGCTTTTCTGTGAAGATTCTCCCGTTTCCAACGAAATCTTCAAAGAGGTCCAAATATCCACTTGCAGATTCCACAGAAAGAGTGATTGGAAACTGCTGTTTGAAAAGGAACCTTCAACTCTGTGAGTTGAATGCAATCATCACAAAGAAGTTTCTGACAATGCTTCTCTCTAGCTTTTACGGGAAGATAATTCCTTTTCCACCACAGGCCTCAAAGCCCTCCAAATGTCCACTTGCAGATTCTGGAAAAAGAGTGTTTCAAAGCTTCTCTCTCGAAAGGAAAGTTCAACTCTGTGAGTTGAATGCAAGCATCACAAAGAAGTTTCTGAGAATGCTACTGTTTAGCTTTTATATGAAGCTATTTCCTTTACTACCATAGTCCTCAAAGCGGTCCATATCTCCACTTGCAGATTCTACACAAAGAGATTTTCCAAACTGCTCTGTCAAAGGGAATGTTCAACTCTGTGACTTCAATGCAATCATCACGAAGTAGTTTCTGAGAATGCTTCTGTTTAGTTCTGTGTGGTTTATCCCGTTTCCAACGAAATCCTCAGAGAGGCCCAAATATCCACTTGCACATTCTACAAATAGTGTTTTTCGAAACTGCTCCATCCAAAGGGATTTTCAGCTCTGTGAGTTAAACGCAGTCGTCACCAAGTGTTTTCTGTGAATGCTTCTGTTTTAGTTCTGTGCGGTTTATCCCGTTTCCAACGAAATCCTCAGAGAGGTCCAAATATCCACTTGCAGTTTCTACAAAAAGAGTGTTTCAAAGCTGAACTATCAAAGAAAGGTTCAGCACTGTGAGTTGAATGCAAACATCACGAAGAAGGTTCTGAGGATGCTTCTGTTTAGTTCTGTGCGGTTTATCCCGTTTCCAACGAAATCCTCAGAGAGGACCAAATATCCACTTGCAGTTTCTACAAAAAGAGTGTTTCAAAGCTGAACTATCAAAGAAAGGTTCAGCACTGTGAGTTGAATGCAAACATCACGAAGAGGGTTCTGAGAATGCTTCTGTCTTCTTTTTATAGGAAGTTATTTCCTTTACTACGGTAGGCCTCAAAGAAGTGCAATTATCCCCTTGCAGTTTCTACAAAAAGAGTGTTTCAAACCTGAACTATCAAAGAAAGGTTCCACACTGTGAGTTGAATGCAGACATCACGAAGAAGGTTCTGAGAATGCTTCTGTTTAGTCAGCTGAAATTATCCCGTTTCCAACGAATTCCTCAGAGAGGTCCAAATATGCACTTGCAGATTCTGCAGAAAGTGTGTTTCTAAACTGCTACATCGCAAGGAATGTTCAGCTCTGTGAGTTCAACTCAATCATCGCAAAGAATTTTCTGAGAAAGCTTCTGTCTAGATGTCATGTGAAGATATACCCGTTTCGAACGAAGGACACAGAGTGGTCCAAATATCCACTTGTAGATCCTGCAAAAAGAGTGTTTCAAACGTGAACTTTGAAACGAAAGTTCAACTCTGGGATTTGAATGCAAACATCACAAAGAAGATTCTGAGACTGCTTCTGTATAGTTTTTATGTGAAGATGATTCCGTTTCCAACGAAATCTTCAGAGAGGTCTACATGTCCCCTTGCAGATGCCACAGAAAGAGAGTTTCAAAACTGCACTCTCAAAAGGAGTGTTCAACTCCGTGAGTTGAATGCAGTCATCACAGAGAAGCTTCTGAGAATGCTTCTATCTAGTATTTAGGTGAAGATATTTCCTTTTCCACCACAAACCACAAAGCCCTCCAAACGTCCACTTGCAGATTCTACAAAAAGTGTTTCATAGCTGCTCTTTCCAAAGGAAAGTTCAACTCTGGGAGTTGAATACAAACATCACCAAAAAGTTCCTGAGAATGCATCTGTCTAGTTTTTCTATTAAGCTATTCCCTTTACTACCATAGGCCTCAAAGCGCTCCAAATCTCCACTTGCACATTCCACAACAAGAGTGTTTCCAAACTGCTCTATCAATAGGAATGTTCAACTCTGTGAGGTGAATGCAATCATCACAAAGCAGTTTCTGAGAATGCTTCCGTTTTGTTAGGTGCAGTTATCCCGTTTCCAACGAAATCCTCAGAGAGGTCCAAATATCCACTTGTAGATTCTACAAAAAGTGTGTCTCAAACCTGCTCCATCCAAAGGAATGTTCAGCTCTGTGAGTTAAACTCAATCATCACAAAGTATTTTCTGAGAATGCTTCTGTCTAGATTTTATGCGAAGATATACCCGTTTCGAACGAAGGCCACAGAGTGGTCCAAATAGCCACTTGCAGATCCTACAGAAAGAGTGTTTCAAACCTGAACTATCAAAGGAAGGTTCAACTCTGGGATTTGAATGCAAACATCACCAAGAAGTTTCTGAGAATGCTTCTGTTTAGTTTTTATGTGAAGATATTCCCGTTTCCAAAGACATCTTCGGAGAGGTCCACATATCCACTTGCAGATTCCACAAAAAGAGAGTTTCAACACTGCTCTATCCATAGGAGGGTTCAACTCTGTGAGTTGAATGCAATCATCACAGAGAAGTTTCTGAGAAGGCTTCTCTCCAGTTTTTATGTGACCATAATTCGTTTTCCACCACAGGCCTGAAAGCGCTCCAAATGTCCACTTGCAGACACTACGAAAAGCATGTTTCAGAACTACTCTATGAAAAGCAACGTGAAACTCTGGGAGTTGAACACAAACATCACAGAGAAGTTTCTGAGAATGCTTCTGTTTTAGTTCTGTGCGTTTTATCCCGTTTCCAACGAAATCCTCAGAGAGGCCCAAATATCCACTTGCAGATTCCACAGAAAGAGTGATTGGAAACTGCTGTTTGAAAAGGAACCTTCAACTCTGTGAGTTGAATGCAATCATCACAAAGAAGTTTCTGACAATGCTTCTGTTTTAGTTCTGTGCGGTTTATCCCGTTTCCAACGAAATCCTCAGAGAGGACCAAACATCCACTTGCAGTTTCTACAAAAAGAGTGTTTCGAAGCTGCACTATCAAAGAAAGGTTCAGCACTGTGAGTTGAATGCAAACATCACGAAGAGGGCTCTGAGAATTCTTCTGTTTAGTTCTGTGCGGTTTATCCCGTTTCCAACGAAATCCTCAGAGAGGACCAAATATCCTCTTGCAGTTTCTACAAAAAGAGTGTTTCAAAGCTGAACTATCAAAGAAAGGTTCAGCACTGTGAGTTGAATGCAAACATCACGAAGAGGGTCCTGAGAATGCTTCTGTCTTCTTTTTATAGGAAGTTATTTCCATTACTACGGTGGGCCTCAAAGAAGTGCAATTATCCCCTTGCAGTTTCCACAAATAGAGTGTTTCAAACCTGAACTATCAAAGAAAGGTTCCACACTGTGAGTTGAATGCAGACATCACGAAGAAGGTTCTGAGAATGCTTCTGTTTAGTCAGCTGAAATTATCCCGTTTCCAACGAATTCCTCAGAGAGGTCCAAATATGCACTTGCAGATTCTGCAGAAAGTGTGTTTCTAAACTGCTACATCGCAAGGAATGTTCAGCTCTGTGAGTTCCACTCAATCATCCCAAAGAATTTTCTGAGAAAGCTTCTGTCTAGATGTCGTGTGAAGATATACCCGTTTCGAACGAAGGACACAGAGTGGTCCAAATATCCACTTGTAGATCCTGCAAAAAGAGTGTTTCAAACGTGAACTTTGAAAGGAAAGTTCAACTCTGGGATTTGAATGCAAACATCACAAAGAAGATTCTGAGACTGCTTCTGTATAGTTTTTATGTGAAGATGATTCCGTTTCCAACGAAATCTTCAAAGAGGTCTACATGTCCCCTTGCAGATGCCACAGAAAGAGAGTTTCAAAACTGCGCTCTCAAAAGGAGTGTTCAACTCCGTGAGTTGAATGCAGTCATCACAGAGAAGCTTCTGAGAATGCTTCTATCTAGTATTTAGGTGAAGATATTTCCTTTTCCACCACAAACCACAAAGCCCTCCAAACGTCCACTTGCAGATTCTAGAAAAAGAGTGTTTCATAGCTGCTCTTTCCAAAGGAAAGTTCAACTCTGGGAGTTGAATACAAACATCACCAAAAAGTTCCTGAGAATGCATCTGTCTAGTTTTTCTATGAAGCTATTCCCTTTACTACCACAGGCCTCAAAGCGCTCCAAATCTCCACTTGCACATTCCACAACAAGAGTGTTTCCAAACTGCTCTATCAATAGGAATGTTCAACTCTGTGAGGTGAATGCAATCATCACAAAGCAGTTTCTGAGAATGCTTCCGTTTAGTTAGGTGCAGTTATCCCGTTTCCAACGAAATCCTCAGAGAGGTCCAAATATCCACTTGTAGATTCTACAAAAAGTGTGTCTCAAACCTGCTCCATCCAAAGGAATGTTCAGCTCTGTGATTTTAACTCAATCATCACAAAGTATTTTCTGAGAATGCTTCTGTCTAGATTTTATGCGAAGATATACCCGTTTCGAACGAAGGCCACAGAGTGGTCCAAATAGCCACTTGCAGATCCTACAAAAAGAGTGTTTCAAACCTGAACTATCAAAGGAAGGTTCAACTCTGGGATTTGAATGCAAACATCACCAAGAAGTTTCTGAGAATGCTTCTGTTTAGTTTTTATGTGAAGATATTCCCGTTTCCAAAGACATCTTCGGAGAGGTCCACATATCCACTTGCAGATTCCACAAAAACAGAGTTTCAACACTGCTCTATCCATAGGAGGGTTCAACTCTGTGAGTTGAATGCAATCATCACAGAGAAGTTTCTGAGAAGGCTTCTCTCCAGTTTTTATGTGACCATAATTCGTTTTCCACCACAGGCCTGAAAGCGCTCCAAATGTCCACTTGCAGACACTACGAAAAGCATGTTTCAGAACTACTCTATGAAAAGCAACGTGAAACTCTGGGAGTTGAACACAAACATCACAGAGAAGTTTCTGAGAATGCTTCTGTTTAGCTTTTCTGTGAAGGTTCTCCCGTTTCCAACGAAATCTTCAAAGAGGTCGAAATATCCACTTGCAGATTCCACAGAAAGAGTGATTGGAAACTGCTGTTTGAAAAGGAACCTTCAACTCTGTGAGTTGAATGCAATCATCACAAAGAAGTTTCTGACAATGCTTCTATCTAGCTTTTACGGGAAGATAATTCCTTTTCCACCACAGGCCTCAAAGCCCTCCAAATGTCCACTTGCACATTCTGGAAAAAGAGTGTTTCAAAGCTTCTCTCTCGAAAGGAAAGTTCAACTCTGTGAGTTGAATGCAAGCATCACAAAGAAGTTTCTGAGAATGCTACTGTCTAGCTTTCATATGAAGCCATTTCCTTTACTACCATAGGCCTCAAAGCGGTCCATATCTCCACTTGCAGACTCTACACAAAGAGAGTTTCCAAACTGCTCTGTCAAAGGGAATGTTCAACTCTGTGACTTGAATGCAATCATCACAAAGTAGTTTCTGAGAATGCTTCTGTTTTAGTTCTGTGCGGTTTATTCCGTTTCCAACGAAATCCTCAGAGAGGCCCAAATATCCACTTGCAGATTCTACAAAGAGTGTGTTTCGAAACTGCTCCATCCAAAGGAATGTTCAGCTCTGTGAGTTAAACTCAGTCGTCACCAAGAGTTTTCTGTGAATGCTTCTGTTTAGTTCTGTGCGGTTTATCCCGTTTCCAACGAAATCCTCAGAGAGGTCCAAATATCTACTTGCAGTTTCTACAGAAAGACCGTTTCAAACCTGAACTATCAAAGAAAGGTTCAACACTGTGAGTTGAATGCAAACATCACGAAGAAGGTTCTGAGAATGCTTCTGTCTTCTTTTTATAGGAAGTTATCTCCTTTACTACGGTAGGCCTCAAAGAAGTGCAATGATCCCCTTGCAGTTTCTACAAAAAGAGTGTTTCAAACCTGAACTATCAAAGAAAGGTTCCACACTGTGAGTTGAATGCAGACATCACGAAGAAGGCTCTGAGAATGCTTCTGTTTAGTCAGCTGAAATTATCCCGTTTCCAACGAATTCCTCAGAGAGGTCCAAATATGCACTTGCAGATTCTGCAGAAAGTGTGTTTCTAAACTGCTACATCGCAAGGAATGTTCAGCTCTGTGAGTTCCACTCAATCATCCCAAAGAATTTTCTGAGAAAGCTTCTGTCTAGATGTCGTGTGAAGATATACCCGTTTCGAACGAAGGACACAGAGTGGTCCAAATATCCACTTGTAGATCCTGCAAAAAGAGTGTTTCAAACGTGAACTTTGAAAGGAAAGTTCAACTCTGGGATTTGAATGCAAACATCACAAAGAAGATTCTGAGACTGCTTCTGTATAGTTTTTATGTGAAGATGATTCCGTTTCCAACGAAATCTTCAAAGAGGTCTACATGTCCCCTTGCAGATGCCACAGAAAGAGAGTTTCAAAACTGCGCTCTCAAAAGGAGTGTTCAACTCCGTGAGTTGAATGCAGTCATCACAGAGAAGCTTCTGAGAATGCTTCTATCTAGTATTTAGGTGAAGATATTTCCTTTTCCACCACAAACCACAAAGCCCTCCAAACGTCCACTTGCAGATTCTAGAAAAAGAGTGTTTCATAGCTGCTCTTTCCAAAGGAAAGTTCAACTCTGGGAGTTGAATACAAACATCACCAAAAGGTTCCTGAGAATGCATCTGTCTAGTTTTTCTATGAAGCTATTCCCTTTACTACCATAGGCCTCAAAGCGCTCCAAATCTCCACTTGCACATTCCACAACAAGAGTGTTTCCAAACTGCTCTATCAATAGGAATGTTCAACTCTGTGAGGTGAATGCAATCATCACAAAGCAGTTTCTGAGAATGCTTCCGTTTAGTTAGGTGCAGTTATCCCGTTTCCAACGAAATCCTCAGAGAGGTCCAAATATCCACTTGTAGATTCTACAAAAAGTGTGTCTCAAACCTGCTCCATCCAAAGGAATGGTCAGCTCTGTGATTTAAACTCAATCATCACAAAGTATTTTCTGAGAATGCTTCTGTCTAGATTTTATGCGAAGATATACCCGTTTCGAACGAAGGCCACAGAGTGGTCCAAATAGCCACTTGCAGATCCTACAGAAAGAGTGTTTCAAACCTGAACTATCAAAGGAAGGTTCAACTCTGGGATTTGAATGCAAACATCACCAAGAAGTTTCTGAGAATGCTTCTGTTTAGTTTTTATGTGAAGATATTCCCGTTTCCAAAGACATCTTCGGAGAGGTCCACATATCCACTTGCAGATTCCACAAAAAGAGAGTTTCAACACTGCTCTATCCATAGGAGGGTTCAACTCTGTGAGTTGAATGCAATCATCACAGAGAAGTTTCTGAGAAGGCTTCTCTCCAGTTTTTATGTGACCATAATTCGTTTTCCACCACAGGCCTGAAAGCGCTCCAAATGTCCACTTGCAGACACTACGAAAAGCATGTTTCAGAACTACTCTATGAAAAGCAACGTGAAACTCTGGGAGTTGAACACAAACATCACAGAGAAGTTTCTGAGAATGCTTCTGTTTTAGTTCTGTGCGTTTTATCCCGTTTCCAACGAAATCCTCAGAGAGGCCCAAATATCTACTTGCAGATTCCACAGAAAGAGTGATTGGAAACTGCTGTTTGAAAAGGAACCTTCAACTCTGTGAGTTGAATGCAATCATCACAAAGAAGTTTCTGACAATGCTTCCATCTAGCTTTTACGGGAAGATAATTCCTTTTCCACCACAGGCCTCAAAGCCCTCCAAATCTACACTTGCAGATTCTGGAAAAAGAGTGTTTCAAAGCTTCTCTCTCGAAAGGAAAGTTCAACTCTGTGAGTTGAATGCAAGCATCACAAAGAAGTTTCTGAGAATGCTACTGTCTAGCTTTTATATGAAGCTATTTCCTTTACTACCATAGGCCTCAAAGCGGTCCATATCTCCACTTGCAGATTCTACACAAAGAGAGTTTCCAAACTGCTCTGTCAAAGGGAATGTTAAACTCTGTGACTTGAATGCAATCATCACAAAGTAGTTTCTGAGAATGCTTCTGTTTAGTTCTGTGCGGTTTATCCCGTTTCCAACGAAATCCTCAGAGAGGCCCAAATATCCACTTGCACATTCTACAAATAGTGTGTTTCGAAACTGCTCCATCCAAAGGAATGTTCAGCTCTGTGAGTTAAACTCAGTCATCACCAAGAGTTTTCTGTGAATGCTTCTGTTTTAGTTCTGTGCGGTTTATCCCGTTTCCAACGAAATCCTCAGAGAGGTCCAAATATCTACTTGCAGTTTCTACAGAAAGACCGTTTCCAACCTGAACTATCACAGAAAGGTTCAACACTGTGAGTTGAATGCAAACATCACGAAGAATGTTCTGAGAATGCTTCTGCTTAGTTCTGTGCGGTTTATCCCGTTTCCAACGAAATCCTCAGAGAGGACCAAATATCCACTTGCAGTTTCTACAAAAAGAGTGTTTCAAAGCTGAACTATCAAAGAAAGTTTCAGCACTGTGAGTTGAATGCAAACATCATGAAGAGGGTTTTGAGAATGCTTCTGTCTTCTTTTTATAGGAAGTTATTTCCTTTACTACGGTACTCCTCAAAGAGTGCAATTATCCCCTTGCAGTTCCTACAAAAAGAGTGTTTCAAACCTGAACTATCAAAGAAAGGTTCCACACTGTGAGTTGAATGCAGACATCAAGAAGAAGGTTCTGAGAATGCCTCTGTTTAGTCAGCTGAAATTATCCCGTTTCCAACGAATTTCTCAGAGAGGTCCAAATATGCACTTGCAGATTCTGCAGAAAGTGTGTTTCTAAACTGCTACATCGCAAGGAATGCTCAGCTCTGTGAGTTCAACTCAATCATCCCAAAGAATTTTCTGAGAAAGCTTCTGTCTAGATGTCATGTGAAGGTATAACTGTTTCGAACGAAGGACACAGAGTGGTCCAAATATCCACTTGTAGATCCTGCAAAAAGAGTGTTTCAAACGCGAACTTTGAAAGGAAAGTTCAACTCTGGGATTTGAATGCAAACATCACAAAGAAGATTCTGAGACTGCTTCTGTATAGTTTTTATGTGAAGATGATTCCGTTTCCAACGAAATCTTCAAAGAGGTCTACATGTCCCCTTGCAGATGCCACAGAAAGAGAGTTTCAAAACTGCGCTCTCAAAAGGAGTGTTCAACTCCGTGAGTTGAATGCAGTCATCACAGAGAAGCTTCTGAGAATGCTTCTATCTAGTATTTAGGTGAAGATATTTCCTTTTCCACCACAAACCACAAAGCCCTCCAAACGTCCACTTGCAGATTCTAGAAAAAGAATGTTTCATAGCTGCTCTTTCCAAAGGAAAGTTCAACTCTGGGAGTTGAATGCAAACATCACCAAAAAGTTCCTGAGAATGCACTGTCTAGTTTTTCTATGAAGCTATTCCCTTTACTACCATAGGCCTCAAAGCGCTCCAAATCTCCACTTGCACATTCCACAACAAGAGTGTTTCCAAACTGCTCTATCAATAGGAATGTTCAACTCTGTGAGGTGAATGCAATCATCACAAAGCAGTTTCTGAGAATGCTTTCCGTTTAGTTAGGTGCAGTTATCCCGTTTCCAACGAAATCCTCAGAGAGGTCCAAATATCCACTTGTAGATTCTACAAAAAGTGTGTCTCAAACCTGCTCCATCCAAAGGAATGTTCAGCTCTGTGATTTTAACTCAATCATCACAAAGTATTTTCTGAGAATGCTTCTGTCTAGATTTTATGCGAAGATGTACCCGTTTCGAACGAAGGCCACAGAGTGGTCCAAATATCCACTTGCAGATCCTACAAAAAGAGTGTTTCAAACCTGAACTATCAAAGGAAGGTTCAACTCTGGGATTTGAATGCAAACATCACCAAGAAGTTTCTGAGAATGCTTCTGTTTAGTTATTATGTGAAGATATTACCGTTTCCAAAGACATCTTCGGAGAGGTCCACATATCCACTTGCAGATTCCACAAAAAGAGAGTTTCAACACTGCTCTATCCATAGGAGCGTTCAACTCTGTGAGTTGAATGCAATCATCACAGAGAAGTTTCTGAGAAGGCTTCTCTCCAGTTTTTATGTGACCATAATTCGTTTTCCACCACAGGCCTGAAAGCGCTCCAAATGTCCACTTGCAGACACTACGAAAAGCATGTTTCAGAACTACTCTATGAAAAGCAATGTGAAACTCTGGGAGTTGAACACAAACATCACAGAGAAGTTTCTGAGAATGCTTCTGTTTAGCTTTTCTGTGAAGATTCTCCCGTTTCCAACGAAATCTTCAAAGAGGTCGAAATATCCACTTGCAGATTCCACAGAAAGAGTGATTGGAAACTGCTGTTTGAAAAGGAACCTTCAACTCTGTGAGTTGAATGCAATCATCACAAAGAAGTTTCTGACAATGCTTCTATCTAGCTTTTACGGGAAGATAATTCCTTTTCCACCACAGGCCTCAAAGCCCTGCAAATATCCACTTGAACATTCTGGAAAAAGAGTGTTTCAAAGCTTCTCTCTCGAAAGGAAATTTCAACTCTGTGAGTTGAATGCAAGCATCACAAAGAAGTTTCTGAGAATGCTACTGTCTAGCTTTTATATGAATCTATTTCCTTTACTACCATAGGCCTCAAAGCGGTCCATATCTCCACTTGCAGATTCTACACAAAGAGGGTTTCCAAACTGCTCTGTCAAAGGGAATGTTCAACTCTGTGACTTGAATGCAATCATCACAAAGTAGTTTCTGAGAATGCTTCTGTTTAGTTCTGTGCGGTTTATCCCGTTTCCAACGAAATCCTCAGAGAGGCCCAAATATCCACTTGCACATTCTACAAATAGTGTGTTTCGAAACTGCTCCATTCAAAGGAATGTTCAGCTCTGTGAGTTAAACTCGGTCGTCACCAAGAGTTTTCTGTGAATGCTTCTGTTTAGTTCTGTGCGGTTTATCCCGTTTCCAACGATATCCTCAGAGAGGTCCAAATATCTACTTGCAGTTTCTACAGAAAGACCGTTTCAAACCTGAACTATCAAAGAAAGGTTCAACACTGTGAGTTGAATGCAAACATCACGAAGAAGGTTCTGAGAATGCTTCTGTCTTCTTTCTATAGGAAGATACTTCCTTTACTACGGTAGGCCTCAAAGAAGTGCAATTATCCCCTTGCAGTTTCTACAAAAAGAGTGTTTCAAACCTGAACTATCAAAGAAAGGTTCCACACTGTGAGTTGAATGCAGACATCAGGAAGAAGGTTCTGAGAATGCTTCTGTTTAGTCAGCTGAAATTATCCCGTTTCCAACGAATTCCTCAGAGAGGTCCAAATATGCACTTGCAGATTCTGCAGAAAGTGTGTTTCTAAACTGCTACATCGCAAGGAATGTTCAGCTCTGTGAATTCCACTCAATCATCCCAAAGAATTTTCTGAGAAAGCTTCTGTCTAGATGTCATGTGAAGATATACCCGTTTCGAACGAAGGACACAGAGTGGTCCAAATATCCACTTGTAGATCCTGCAAAAAGAGTGTTTCAAACGTGAACTTTGAAAGGAAAGTTCAACTCTGGGATTTGAATGCAAACATCACAAAGAAGATTCTGAGACTGCTTCTGTATAGTTTTTATGTGAAGATGATTCCGTTTCCAACGAAATCTTCAAAGAGGTCTACATGTCCCCTTGCAGATGCCACAGAAAGAGAGTTTCAAAACTGCGCTCTCAAAAGGAGTGTTCAACTCCGTGAGTTGAATGCAGTCATCACAGAGAAGCTTCTGAGGATGCCTCTATCTAGTATTTAGGTGAAGATATTTCCTTTTCCACCACAAACCACAAAGCCCTCCAAACGTCCACTTGCAGATTCTAGAAAAAGAGTGTTTCATAGCTGCTCTTTCCAAAGGAAAGTTCAACTCTGGGAGTTGAATACAAACATCACCAAAAAGATGTTCCATGAGAATGCATCTGTCTAGTTTTTCTATGAAGCTATTCCCTTTACTACCACAGGCCTCAAAGCGCTCCAAATCTCCACTTGCACATTCCACAACAAGAGTGTTTCCAAACTGCTCTATCAATAGGAATGTTCAACTCTGTGAGGTGAATGCAATCATCACAAAGCAGTTTCTGAGAATGCTTCCGTTTAGTTAGGTGCAGTTATCCCGTTTCCAACGAAATCCTCAGAGAGGTCCAAATATCCACTTGTAGATTCTACAAAAAGTGTGTCTCAAACCTGCTCCATCCAAAGGAATGGTCAGCTCTGTGATTTAAACTCAATCATCACAAAGTATTTTCTGAGAATGCTTCTGTCTAGATATTATGCGAAGATGTACCCGTTTTGAACGAAGGCCACAGAGTGGTCCAAATATCCACTTGCACATCCTACAAAAAGAGTGTTTCAAACCTGAACTATCAAAGGAAGGTTCAACTCTGGGATTTGAATGCAAACATCACCAGGAAGTTTCTGAGAATGCTTCTGTTTAGTTTTTATGTGAAGATATTCCCGTTTCCAAAGACATCTTCGGCGAGGTCCACATATCCACTTGCAGATTCCACAAAAAGAGAGTTTCAACACTGCTCTATCCATTGGAGGGTTCAACTCTGTGAGATGAATGCAATCATCACAGAGAAGTTTCTCAGAAGGCTTCTCTCCAGTTTTTATGTGACCATAATTCGTTTTCCACCGCAGGCCTGAAAGCGCTCCAAACGTCCACTTGCAGACACTACGAAAAGCATGTTTCAGAACTACTCTATGAAAAGCAATGTGAAACTCTGGGAGTTGAACACAGACATCACAGAGAAGTTTCTGAGAAAGCTTCTGTTTAGCTTTTCTGTGAAGATTCTCCCGTTTCCAACGAAATCTTCAAAGAGGTCCAAACATCCACTTGCAGATTCCACAGAAAGAGTGTTTGGAAACTGCTGTTTGAAAAGGAACCTTCAACTCTGTGAGTTGAATGCAATCATCACGAAGAAGTTTCTGACAATGCTTCTATCTAGCTTTTACGGGAAGATAATTCCTTTTCCACCACAGGCCTCAAAGCTCCCCAAATGTCCACTTGCACATTCTGGAAAAAGAGTGTTTCAAAGCTTCTCTCTCGAAAGGAAAGTTCAACTCTGTGAGTTGAATGCAAGCATCACAAAGAAGTTTCTGAGAATGCTACTGTCTAGCTTTTATATGAAGCTATTTCCTTTACTACCATAGGCCTCAAAGCGGTCCATATCTCCACTTGCAGATTCTACACAAAGAGAGTTTCCAAACTGCTCTGTCAAAGGGAATGTTCAGCTCTGTGACTTGAATGCAATCATCACAAAGTAGTTTCTGAAAATGCTTCTGTTTATTTCTGTGCCGTTTATCCCGTTTCCAACGAAATCCTCAGAGAGGCCCTAATATCCAGTTGCACATTCTACAAATACTGTGTTTCGAACCTGCTCCCTCCAAAGGAATGTTCAGCTCCGTGAGTTAAACTCAGTCGTCACCAAGAGTTTTCTGTGAATGCTTCTGTTTTAGTTCTGTGCGGTTTATCCCGTTTCCAATGAAATCCTCAGAGAGGTCAAAATATCTACTTGCAGTTTCTACAGAAAGACCGTTTCAAACCTGAACTATCAAAGAAAGGTTCAACACTGTGAGTTGAATGCAAACATCACGAAGAAGGATTTGAGAATGCTTCTGTTTAGTTCTGTGCGGTTTATCCCGTTTCCAACGAAATCCTCAGAGAGGACCAAATATCCACTTGCAGTTTCTACAAAAAGAGTGTTTGAAAGCTGAACTATCAAAGAAAGGTTCAGCAGTGTGAGTTGAATGCAAACATCACGAAGAGGGTTCTGAGAATGCTTCTGTCTTCTTTTTATGGGAAGTTATTTCCTTTACTACGGTAGGCCTCAAAGAAGTGCAATTATCCCCTTGCAGTCTCTACAAAAAGAGTGTTTCAAACCTGAACTATCAAAGAAAGGTTCCACACTGTGAGTTGAATGCAGACATCACGAAGAAGGTTCTGAGAATGTTTCTGTTTAGTCAGCTGAAATTATCCCGTTTCCAACGAATTCCTCAGAGAGGTCCAAATATGCACTTTCAGATTCTGCAGAAAGTGTGTTTCTAAACTGCTACATCGCAAGGAATGTTCAGCTCTGTGAGTTCAACTCAATCATCCCAAAGAATTTTCTGAGAAAGCTTCTGTCTAGATGTCGTGTGAAGATATACCCGTTTCGAACGAAGGACACAGAGTGGTCCAAATATCCACTTGTAGATCCTGCAAAAAGAGTGTTTCAAACGTGAACTTTGAAAGGAAAGTTCAACTCTGGGATTTGAATGCAAACATCACAAAGAAGATTCTGAGACTGCTTCTGTATAGTTTTTATGTGAAGATGATTCCGTTTCCAACGAAATCTTCAAAGAGGTCTACATGTCCCCTTGCAGATGCCACAGAAAGAGAGTTTCAAAACTGCGCTCTCAAAAGGAGTGTTCAACTCCGTGAGTTGAATGCAGTCATCACAGAGAAGCTTCTGAGAATGCTTCTATCTAGTATTTAGGTGAAGATATTTCCTTTTCCACCACAAACCACAAAGCCCTCCAAACGTCCACTTGCAGATTCTAGAAAAAGAGTGTTTCATAGCTGCTCTTTCCAAAGGAAAGTTCAACTCTGGGAGTTGAATACAAACATCACCAAAAGGTTCCTGAGAATGCATCTGTCTAGTTTTTCTATGAAGCTATTCCCTTTACTACCATAGGCCTCAAAGCGCTCCAAATCTCCACTTGCACATTCCACAACAAGAGTGGTTCCAACCTGCTCTATCAATAGGAATGTTCAACTCTGTGAGGTGAATGCAATCATCACAAAGCAGTTTCTGAGAATGCTTCCGTTTAGTTAGGTGCAGTTATCCCGTTTCCAACGAAATCCTCAGAGAGGTCCAAATATCCACTTGTAGATTCTACAAAAAGTGTGTCTCAAACCTGCTCCATCCAAAGGAATGTTCAGCTCTGTGAGTTCAACTCAATCATCACAAAGTATTTTCTGAGAATGCTTCTGTCTAGATTTTATGCGAAGATATACCCGTTTTGAACGAATGCCACAGAGTGGTCCAAATAGCCACTTGCAGATCCTACAAAAAGAGTGTTTCAAACCTGAACTATCAAAGGAAGGTTCAACTCTGGGATTTGAATGCAAACATCACCAAGAAGTTTCTGAGAATCCTTCTGTTTAGTTTTTATGTGAAGATATTCCCGTTTCCAAAGACATCTTCGGAGAGGTCCACATATCCACTTGCAGATTCCACAAAAAGAGAGTTTCAACACTGCTCTATCCATAGGAGGGTTCAACTCTGTGAGTTGAATGCAATCATCACAGAGAAGTTTCTGAGAAGGCTTCTCTCCAGTTTTTATGTGACCATAATTCGTTTTCCACCACAGGCCTGAAAGCGCTCCAAATGTCCACTTGTAGACACTACGAAAAGCATGTTTCAGAACTACTCTATGAAAAGCAATGTGAAACTCTGGGAGTTGAACACAAACATCACAGAGAAGTTTCTGAGAATGCTTCTGTTTAGCTTTTCTGTGAAGATTCTCCCGTTTCCAATGAAATCTTCAAAATAGGTCGAAATATCCACTTGCAGATTCCACAGAAAGAGTGATTGGAAACTGCTCTTTGAAAAGGAACCTTCAACTCTGTGAGTTGAATGCAATCATCACAAAGAAGTTTCTGACAATGCTTCTATCTAGCTTTTACGGGAAGATAATTCCTTTTCCACCACAGGCCTCAAAGCCCTCCAAATGTCCACTTGCAGATTCTGGAAAAAGAGTGTTTCAAAGCTTCTCTCTCGAAAGGAAAGTTCAACTCTGTGAGTTGAATGCAAGCATCACAAAGAAGTTTCTGAGAATGCTACTGTCTAGCTTTTATATGAAGCTATTTCCTTTACTACCATAGGCCTCAAAGCGGTCCATATCTCCACTTGCAGATTCTACACAAAGAGAGTTTCCAAACTGCTCTGTCAAAGGGAATGTTCAACTCTGTGACTTGAATGCAATCATCACAAAGTAGCTTCTGAGAATGCTTCTCTTTAGTTCTGAGCGGTTTATCCCGTTTCCAACGAAATCCTCAGACAGGCCCAAATATCCACTTGCAGATTCTACAAATAGTGTGTTTCGAAACTGCTCCATCCAAAGGAATGTTCAGCTCTGTGAGTTAAACTCAGTCGTCACCAAGAGTTTTCTGTGAATGCTTCTGTTTTAGTTCTGTGCGGTTTATCCCGTTTCCAACGAAATCCTCAGAGAGGTCCAAATATCTACTTGCAGTTTCTACAGAAAGACCGTTTCCAACCTGAACTATCAAAGAAAGGTTAAACACTGTGAGTTGAATGCAAACATCACGAAGAAGGTTCTGAGAATGCTTCTGTTTAGTTCTGTGTATTTTATCCCGTTTCCAACGAAATCCTCAGAGAGGACCAAATATCCACTTGCAGTTTCTACAAAAAGAGTGTTTCAAAGCTGAACTATCAAAGAAAGGTTCAGCACTGTGAGTTGAATGCAAACATCACGAAGAGGGTTCTGAGAATGCTTCTGTCTTCTTTCTATAGGAAGTTATTTCCTTTACTACGGTAGGCCTCAAAGAAGTGCAATTATCCCCTTGCAGTTTCTACAAAAAGAGTGTTTCAAAGCTGAACTATCAAGGAAAGGTTCAGCACTGTGAGTTGAATGCAAACATCACGAAGAGGGTTCTGAGAATGCTTCTGTTTAGTCAGCTGAAATTATCCCGTTTCCAACGAATTCCTCAGAGAGGTCCAAATATGCACTTGCAGGTTCTGCAGAAGGTGTGTTTCTAAACTGCTACATCGCAAGGAATGTTCAGCTCTGTGAGTTCCACTCAATCATCCCAAAGAATTTTCTGAGAAAGCTTCTGTCTAGATGTCGTGTGAAGATATACCCGTTTCGAACGAAGGACACAGAGTGGTCCAAATATCCACTTGTAGATCCTGCAAAAAGAGTGTTTCAAACGTGAACTTTGAAAGGAAAGTTCAACTCTGGGATTTGAATGCAAACATCACAAAGAAGATTCTGAGACTGCTTCTGTATAGTTTTTATGTGAAGATGATTCCGTTTCCAACGAAATCTTCAAAGAGGTCTACATGTCCCCTTGCGGATGCCACAGAAAGAGAGTTTCAAAATTGCGCTCTCAAAAGGAGTGTTCAACTCCGTGAGTTGAATGCAGTCATCACAGAGAAGCTTCTGAGAATGCTTCTATCTAGTATTTAGGTGAAGATATTTCCTTTTCCACAACAAACCAAAAAAGACCTCCAAACGTCCACTTGCAGATTCTAGAAAAAGAGTGTTTCATAGCTGCTCTTTTCAAAGGAAAGTTCAACTCTGGGAGTTGAATACAAACATCACCAAAAAGTTCCTGAGAATGCATCTGTCTAGTTTTTCTATGAAGCTATTCCCTTTACTACCATAGGCCTCAAAGCGCTCCAAATCTCCACTTGCACATTCCACAACAAGAGTGTTTCCAAACTGCTCTATCAATAGGAATGTTCAACTCTGTGAGGTGAATGCAATCATCACAAAGCAGTTTCTGACAATGCTTCCGTTTAGTTAGGTGCAGTTATCCCGTTTCCAACGAAATCTTCAGAGAGGTCCAAATATCCACCTGTAGATTCTACAAAAAGTGTGTCTCAAACCTGCTCCATCCAAAGGAATGTTCAGCTCTGTGAGTTCAACTCAATCATCACAAAATATTTTCTGAGAATGCTTCTGTCTAGATTTTATATGAAGATATACCCGTTTCGAACGAAGGCCACAGAGTGGTCCAAATACCCACTTGCAGATCCTACAAAAACAGTGTTTCAAACCTGAACTATCAAAGGAAGGTTCAGCTCTGGGATTTGAATGCAAACATCACCAAGAACTTTCTGAGAATGCTTCTGTTTAGTTTTTATGTGAAGATATTCCCGTTTCCAAAGACATCTTCGGAGAGGTCCACATATCCACTTGCAGAAAACACAAAAAGAGAGTTTCAACACTGCTCTATCCATAGGAGGGTTCAACTCTGTGAGTTGAATGCAATCATCACAGAGAAGTTTCTGAGAAGGCTTCTCTCCAGTTTTTATGTGACCATAATTCGTTTTCCACCACAGGCCTGAAAGCGCTCCAAATGTCCACTTGCAGACACTACGAAAAGCATGTTTCAGAACTACTCTATGAAAAGCAACGTGAAACTCTGGGAGTTGAACACAAACATCACAGAGAAGTTTCTGAGAATGCTTCTGTTTTAGTTCTGTGCGTTTTATCCCGTTTCCAACGAAATCCTCAGAGAGGCCCAAATATCCACTTGCAGATTCCACAGAAAGAGTGATTGGAAACTGCTGTTTGAAAAGGAACCTTCAACTCTGTGAGTTGAATGCAATCATCACAAAGAAGTTTCTGACAATGCTTCTGTTTTAGTTCTGTGCGGTTTATCCCGTTTCCAACGAAATCCTCAGAGAGGACCAAACATCCACTTGCAGTTTCTACAAAAAGAGTGTTTCAAAGCTGCACTATCAAAGAAAGGTTCAGCACTGTGAGTTGAATGCAAACATCACGAAGAGGGCTCTGAGAATTCTTCTGTTTCGTTCTGTGCGTTTTATCCCTTTTCCAACGAAATCCTCAGAGAGGACCAAATATCCATTTGCAGTTTCTACAAAAAGAGTGTTTCAAAGCTGAACTATCAAAGAAAGGTTCAGCACTGTGAGTTGAATGCAAACATCACGAAGAGGGTTCTGAGAATGCTTCTGTCTTCTTTCTATAGGAAGTTATTTCCTTTACTACGGTAGGCCTCAAAGAAGTGCAATTATCCCCTTGCAGTTTCTACAAAAAGAGTGTTTCAAACCTGAACTATCAAAGAAAGGTTCCACACTGTGAGTTGAATGCAGACATCACGAAGAACGTTCTGAGAATGCTTCTGTTTAGTCAGCTGATATTATCCCGTTTCCAACGAATTCCTCAGAGAGGTCCAAATATGCACTTGCAGATTCTGCAGAAAGTGTGTTTCTAAACTGCTCCATCCAAAGGAATGTTCAGCTCTGTGAGTTAAACTCAGTCGTCACCAAGAGTTTTCTGTGAATGCTTCTGTCTAGATGTCGTGTGAAGATATACCCGTTTCGAACGAAGGACACAGAGTGGTCCAAATATCCACTTGTAGATCCTGCAAAAAGAGTGTTTCAAACGTGAACTTTGAAAGGAAAGTTCAACTCTGGGATTTGAATGCAAACATCACAAAGAAGATTCTGAGACTGCTTCTGTATAGTTTTGATGTGAAGATGATTCCGTTTCCAACGAAATCTTCAAAGAGGTCTACATGTCCCCTTGCAGATGCCACAGAAAGAGAGTTTCAAAACTGCGCTCTCAAAAGGAGTGTTCAACTCCGTGAGTTGAATGTAGTCATCACAGAGAAGCTTCTGAGAATGCTTCTGTCTAGTATTTAGGTGAAGATATTTCCTTTTCCACCACAAACCACAAAGCCCTCCAAACGTCCACTTGCAGATTCTAGAAAAAGAGTGTTTCATAGCTGCTCTTTCCAAAGGAAAGTTCAACTCTGGGAGTTGAATACAAACATCACCAAAAGGTTCCTGAGAATGCATCTGTCTAGTTTTTCTATGAAGCTATTCCCTTTACTACCATAGGCCTCAAAGCGCTCCAAATCTCCACTTGCACATTCCACAACAAGAGTGTTTCCAAACTGCTCTATCAATAGGAATGTTCAACTCTGTGAGGTGAATGCAATCATCACAAAGCAGTTTCTGAGAATGCTTCCGTTTAGTTAGGTGCAGTTAACCCGTTTCCAACAAAATCCTCAGAAAGGTCGAAATATCCACTTGTAGATTCTACAAAAAGTGTGTCTCAAACCTGCTCCATCCAAAGGAATGTTCAGCTCTGTGAGTTAAACTCAATCATCACAAAGTATTTTCTGAGAATGCTTCTGTCTAGATTTTATGCGAAGATGTACCCGTTTCGAACGAAGGCCACAGAGTGGTCCAAATATCCACTTGCAGATCCTACAAAAAGAGTGTTTCAAACCTGAACTATCAAAGGAAGGTTCAACTCTGGGATTTGATTGCAAACATCACCAAGAATTTTCTGAGAATGCTTCTGTTTAGTTTTTATGTGAAGATAGTCCCGTTTCCAAAGACATCTTCGGAGAGGTCCACATATACACTTGCAGATTCCACAAAAAGAGAGTTTCAACACTGCTCTATCCATAGGAGGGTTCAACTCTGTGAGTTGAATGCAATCATCACAGAGAAGTTTGCTCAGAAGGCTTCTCTCCAGTTTTTATGTGACCATAATTCGTTTTCCACCACAGGCCTGAAAGCGCTCCAAATGTCCACTTGCAGACACTACGAAAAGCATGTTTCAGAACTACTCTATGAGAAGCAATGTGAAACTCTGAGAGTTGAACACAAACATCACAGAGAAGTTTCTGAGAATGCTTCTGTTTTAGTTCTGTGCGTTTTATCCCGTTTCCAACGAAATCCTCAGAGAGGCCCAAATATCCACTTGCAGATTCCACAGAAAGAGTGATTGGAAACTGCTGTTTGAAAAGGAACCTTCAACTCTGTGAGTTGAATGCAATCATCACAAAGAAGTTTCTGACAATGCTTCTGTTTTAGTTCTGTGCGGTTTATCCCGTTTCCAACGAAATCCTCAGAGAGGACCAAACATCCACTTGCAGTTTCTACAAAAAGAGTGTTTCAAAGCTGCACTATCAAAGAAAGGTTCAGCACTGTGAGTTGAATGCAAACATCACGAAGAGGGCTCTGAGAATTCTTCTGTTTAGTTCTGTGCGTTTTATCCCTTTTCCAACGAAATCCTCAGAGAGGACCAAATATCCATTTGCAGTTTCTACAAAAAGAGTGTTTCAAAGCTGAACTATCAAAGAAAGGTTCAGCACTGTGAGTTGAATGCAGACATCACGAAGAGGGTTCTGAGAATGCTTCTGTCTTCTTTTTATAGGAAGTAATTTCCTTTACTACGGTAGGCCTCAAAGAAGTGCAATAATCCCCTTACAGTTTCTACAAAAAGAGTGTTTCAAAGCTGAACTATCAAAGAAAGGTTCCACACTGTGAGTTGAATGCAGACATCACGAAGAAGGTTCTGAGAATGCTTCTGTTTAGTCAGCTGAAATTATCCCGTTTCCAACGAATTCCTCAGAGAGGTCC
Organism: Homo sapiens; assembly: GCF_000001405.40. Lineage (NCBI taxonomy): Eukaryota > Metazoa > Chordata > Mammalia > Primates > Hominidae > Homo > Homo sapiens. Next base: position 23,219,591 of record NC_000017.11, on the reverse strand, counting down.
ACATATGCACTTGCAGATTCTGCAGAAAGGGTGTTTCTAAACTGCTACATCGCAAGGAGTGTTCAGCTCTGTTTGCTCAACTCAATCATCACAAAGAATTTTCTGAGAAAGCTTCTGTCTAGATGTCATGTGAAGATATACCCGTTTCGAACGAAGGACACAGAGTGGTCCAAATATCCACTTGTAGATCCTGCAAAAAGAGTGTTTCAAACGTGAACTTTGAAAGGAAAGTTCAACTCTGGGATTTGAATGCAAACATCACAAAGAAGATTCTGAGACTGCTTCTGTATAGTTTTTATGTGAAGATGATTCCGTTTCCAACGAAATCTTCAAAGAGGTCTACATGTCCCCTTGCAGATGCCACAGAAAGAGAGTTTCAAAACTGCGCTCTCAAAAGGAGTGTTCAACTCCGTGAGTTGAATGCAGTCATCACAGAGAAGCTTACTGAGAATGCTTTCTATCTAGTATTTAGGTGAAGATATTTCCTTTTCCACCACAAACCACAAAGCCCTCCAAACGTCCACTTGCAGATTCTAGAAAAAGAGTGTTTCATAGCTGCTCTTTCCAAAGGAAAGTTCAAATCTGGGAGTTGAATACAAACATCACCAAAAAGTTCCTGAGAATGCATCTGTCTAGTTTTTCTATGAAGCTATTCCCTTTACTACCATAGACCTCAAAGCGCTCCAAATCTCCACTTGCACATTCCACAACAAGAGTGTTTCCAAACTGCTCTATCAATAGGAATGTTCAACTCTGTGAGGTGAATGCAATCATCACAAAGCAGTTTCTGAGAATGCTTCCGTTTAGTTAGGTGCAGTTATCGCGTTTCCAACGAAATCCTCAGAGAGGTCCAAATATCCACTTGTAGATTCTACAAAAAGTGTGTCTCAAACCTGCTCCATCCAAAGGAATGTTCAGCTCTGTGAGTTAAACTCAATCATCACAAAGTATTTTCTGAGAATGCTTCTGTCTAGATTTTATGTGAAGATGTACCCGTTTCGAACGAAGGCCACAGAGTGGTCCAAATATCCACTTGCAGATCCTACAAAAAGAGTGTTTCAAACCTGAACTATCACAGGAAGGTTCAACTCTGGGATTTGAATGCAAACATCACCAAGAAGTTTCTGAGAATGCTTCTGTTTAGTTTTTATGTGAAGATATTCCCGTTTCCAAAGACATCTTCGGAGAGGTCCACATATCCACTTGCAGATTCCACAAAAAGAGAGTTTCAACAATGCTCTATCCATAGGAGGGTTCAAATCTGTGAGTTGAATGCAATCATCACAGAGAAGTTTCTGAGAAGGCTTCTCTCCAGTTTTTATGGGACCATAATTCGTTTTCCACCACAGGCCTGAAAGCGCTCCAAATGTCCACTTGCAGACACTACGAAAAGCATGTTTCAGAACTACTCTATGAAAAGCAATGTGAAACTCTGGGAGTTGAACACAAACATCACAGAGAAGTTTCTGAGAATGCTTCTGTTTAGCTTTTCTGTGAAGATTCTCCCGTTTACAACGAAATCTTCAAAGAGGTCCAAATATCCACTTGCAGATTCCACAGAAAGAGTGTTTGGAAACTGCTGTTTGTAAAGGAACCTTCATCTCTGTGAGTTGAATGCAATCATCACAAAGAAGTTTCTGACAATGCTTCTATCTAGCTTTTACGGGAAGTTAATTCCTTTTCCACCACAGGCCTCAAAGCCCTCCAAATGTCCACTTGCAGATTCTGGAAAAAGAGTGTTTCAAAGCTTCTCTCTCGAAAGGAAAGTTCAACTCTGTGAGTTGAATGCAAGCATCACAAAGAAGTTTCTGAGAATGCTACTGTCTAGCTTTTATATGAAGCTATTTCCTTTACTACCATAGGCCTCAAAGCGGTCCATATCTCCACTTGCAGATTCTACACAAAGAGAGTTTCCAAACTGCTCTGTCAAAGGGAATGTTCAACTCTGTGACTTGAATGCAATCATCACAAAGTAGTTTCTGAGAATGCTTCTGTTTTAGTTCTGTGCGGTTTATCCCGTTTCGAACGAAATCCTCAGAGAGGCCCACATATCCACTTGCAGATTCTACAAATAGTGTGTTTCGAAACTGCTCCATCCAAAGGAATGTTCAGCTCTGTGAGTTAAACTCAGTCGTCACCAAGAGTTTTCTGTGAATGCTTCTGTTTAGTTCTGTGCGGTTTATGCCGTTTCCAACGAAATCCTCAGAGAGGACCAAATATCCACTTGCAGTTTCTACAAAAAGAGTGTTTCAAAGCTGAACTATCAAAGAAAGGTTCAGCACTGTGAGTTGAATGCAAACATCACGAAAAGGGTTCTGAGAATGCTTCTGTTTAGTTCTGTGCAGTTTATCCCGTTTCCAACGAAATCCTCAGAGAGGACCAAATATCCACTTGCAGTTTCTACAAAAAGAGTGTTTCAAAGCTGAACTATCAAAGAAAGGTTCAGCACTGTGAGTTGAATGCAAACATCACGAAGAGGGTTACTGAGAATGCTTCTGTCTTCTTTTTATAGGAAGTTATTTCCTTTACTACGGTACTCCTCAAAGAGTGCAATTATCCCCTTGCAGTTTCTACAAAAAGAGTGTTTCAAACCTGAACTATCAAAGAAAGGTTCCACACTGTGAGTTGAATGCAGACATCACGAAGAAGGTTCTGAGAATGCTTCTGTTTAGTCAGCTGAAATTATCCCGTTTCCAACGAATTCCTCACAGAGGTCCAAATATGCACTTGCAGATTCTGCAGAAAGTGTGTTTCTAAACTGCTACATCGCAAGGAATGCTCAGCTCTGTGAGTTCAACTCAATCATCCCAAAGAATTTTCTGAGAAAGCTTCTGTCTAGATGTCATGTGAAGATATACCCGTTTCGAACGAAGGACACAGAGTGGTCCAAATATCCACTTGTAGATCCTGCAAAAAGAGTGTTTCAAACGTGAACTTGGAAAGGAAAGTTCAACTCTGGGATTTGAATGCGAAACATCACAAAGAAGATTCTGAGACTGCTTCTGTGTAATTTTTATGTGAAGATGATTCTGTTTCCAACAAAACCTTCAAAGAGGTCTACATGTCCCCTTGCAGATTCCACAGAAAGAGAGTTTCAAAACTGCGCTCTCAAAAGGAGTCTTCAACTCTGTGAGTTGAATGCAGTCATCACAGAAAAGTTTCTGAGAAGGCTTCTATCTAATATTTATGTGAAGATATTACCTTTTCCACCACAGACCTCAAAGCCCTCCTCATGTCCACTTGCAGATTCTAGAAAAAGAGTGTTTCATAGCTGCTCTTTCCGAAGGAAAGTTCAACTCTGGAAGTTGAATACAAACAACATCAAGGAGTTCCTGAGAACGCTTCTGTCTAGTTTTTCTATGAAGCTATTCCCTTTACTACCATAGGCCTCAAAGCGCTCCAAATCTCCACTTGCACATTCCACAACAAGAGTGTTTCCAAACTGCTCTATCAATAGGAATGTTCAACTCTGTGAGGTGAATGCAATCATCACAAAGCAGTTTCTGAGAATGCTTCCGTTTAGTTAAGTGCAGTTATCCCGTTTCCAATGAAATCCTCGGAGAGGTCCAAATATCCACTTGTAGATTCTACAAAAAGTGTGTCTCAAACCTGCTCCATCCAAAGGAATTTTCAGCTCTGTGAGTTAAACTCAATCATCACAAAGTATTTTCTGAGAATGCTTCTGTCTAGATTTTATGCGAAGATATACCCGTTTCGAACGAAGGCCACAGAGTGGTCCAAATATCCACTTGCAGATCCTACAAAAAGAGTGTTTCAAACCTGAACTATCAAAGGAAGGTTCAACTCTGGGATTTGAATGCAAACATCAACAAGAAGTTTCTGAGAATGCTTCTGTTTAGTTTTTATGTGAAGATATTCCCGTTTCCAAAGACATCTTCGGAGAGGTCCACATATCCACTTGCAGATTCCACAAAAAGAGAGTTTCAACACTGCTCTATCCGTAGGAGGGTTCAACTCTGTGAGTTGAATGCAATCATCACAGAGAAGTTTATGAGAAGGCTTCTCTCCAGTTTTTATGTGACCATAATTCGTTTTCCACCACAGGCCTGAAAGCGCTCCAAATGTCCACTTGCAGACACTACGAAAAGCATGTTTCAGAACTACTCTATGAAAAGCAACGTGAAACTCTGGGAGTTGAACACAAACATCACAGAGAAGTTTCTGAGAATGCTTCTGTTTTAGTTCTGTGCGTTTTATCCCGTTTCCAACGAAATCCTCAGAGAGGCCCAAATATCCACTTGCAGATTCCACAGAAAGAGTGATTGGAAACTGCTGTTTGAAAAGGAACCTTCAACTCTGTGAGTTGAATGCAATCATCACAAAGAAGTTTCTGACAATGCTTCTGTTTAGTTCTGTGCGGTTTATCCCGTTTCCAACGAAATCCTCAGAGAGGACCAAATATCCACTTGCAGTTTCTACAAGAAGAGTGTTTCAAAGCTGAACTATCAAAGAAAGGTTCAGCACTGTGAGTTGAATGCAAACATCACGAAGAGGGCTCTGAGAATTCTTCTGTCTTCTTTTTATAGGAAGTTATTTCCTTTACTACGGTAGGCCTCAAAGAAGTGCAATGATCCCCTTGCAGTTTCTACAAAAAGAGTGTTTCAAACCTGAACTATCAAAGAAAGGTTCCACACTGTGAGTTCAATGCAGACATCACGAAGAAGGTTCTGAGAATGCTTCTGTTTAGTCAGCTGAAATTATCCCGTTTCCAACGAATTCCTCAGGAGAGGTCCAAATATGCACTTGCAGATTCTGCAGAAACTGTGTTTCTAAACTGCTACATCGCAAGGAATGTTCAGCTCTGTGAGTTCAACTCAATCATCCCAAAGAATTTTCTGAGAAAGCTTCTGTCTAGATGTCATGTGAAGATATACCCGTTTCGAACGAAGGACACAGAGTGGTCCAAATATCCACTTGTAGATGTTGCAAAAAGAGTGTTTCAAACGTGAACTTTGAAAGGAAAGTTCAACTCTGGGATTTGAATGCAAACATCACAAAGAAGATTCTGAGACTGCTTCTGTATAGTTTTTATGTGAAGATGATTCCGTTTCCAACGAAATCTTCAAAGAGGTCTACATGTTCCCTTGCAGATGCCACAGAAAGAGAGTTTCAAAACTGCGCTCTCAATAGGAGTGTTCAACTCCGTGAGTTGAATGCAGTCATCACAGAGAAGCTTCTGAGAATGCTTCTGTCTAGTATTTAGGTGAAGATATTTCCTTTTCCACCACAAACCACAAAGCCCTCCAAACGTCCACTTGCAGATTCTAGAAAAAGAGTGTTTCATAGCTGCTCTTTCCAAAGGAAAGTTCAACTCTGGGAGTTGAATACAAACATCACCAAAAAGTTCCTGAGAATGCATCTGTCTAGTTTTTCTATGAAGCTATTCCCTTTACTTCCACAGGCCTCAAAGCGCTCCAAATCTCCACTTGCACATTCCACAACAAGAGTGTTTCCAAACTGCTCTATCAATAGGAATGTTCAACTCTGTGAGGTGAATGCAATCATCACAAAGCAGTTTCTGAGAATGCTTCCGTTTAGTTCGGTGCAGTTATCCCGTTTCCAACGAAATCCTCAGAGAGGACCAAATATCCACTTGTGGATTCTACAAAAAGTGTGTCTCGAACCTGCTCCATCCAAAGGAATGTTCAGCTCTGTGAGTTAAACTCAATCATCACAAAGTATTTTCTGAGAATGCTTCTGTCTAGATTTTATGTGAAGATGTACCCGTTTCGAACGAAGGCCACAGAGTGGTCCAAATATCCACTTGCAGATCCTACAAAAAGAGTGTTTCAAACCTGAACTATCAAAGGAAGCTTCAACTCTGGGATTTGAATGCAAACATCACCAAGAAGTTTCTGAGAATGCTTCTGTTTAGTTTTTATGTGAAGATATTCCCGTTTCCAAAGACATCTTCGGAGAGGTCCACATATCCAATTGCAGATTCCACAAAAAGAGAGTTTCAACAATGCTCTATCCATAGGAGGGTTCAACTCTGTGAGTTGAATGCAATCATCACAGAGAAGTTTCTGAGAAGGCTTCTCTCCAGTTTTTATGTGACCATAATTCGTTTTCCACCACAGGCCTGAAAGCGCTCCAAATGTCCACTTGCAGACACTACGAAAAGCATGTTTCAGAACTACTCTATGAAAAGCAACGTGAAACTCTGGGAGTTGAACACAAACATCACAGAGAAGTTTCTGAGAATGCTTCTGTTTAGCTTTTCTGTGAAGATTCTCCCGTTTCCAACGAAATCTTCAAAGAGGTCCAAATATCCACTTGCAGATTCCACAGAAAGAGTGTTTGGAAACTGCTGTTTGAAAAGGAACCTTCAACTCTGTGACTTGAATGCAATCATCACAAAGAAGTTTCTGACAATGCTTCTATCTAGGCTTTTACGGGAAGATAATTCCTTTTCCACCACAGGCCTCAAAGCCCTCCAAATGTCCACTTGCAGATTCTGGAAAAAGAGTGTTTCAAAGCTTCTCTCTCGAAAGGAAAGTTCAACTCTGTGAGTTGAATGCAAGCATCACAAAGAAGTTTCTGAGAATGCTACTGTCTAGCTTTTATATGAAGCTATTTCCTTTACTACCATAGGCCTCAAAGCGGTCCATATCTCCACTTGCAGATTCTACACAAAGAGAGTTTCCAAACTGCTCTGTCAAAGGGAATGTTCAACTCTGTGTCTTGAATGCAATCATCACAAAGTAGTTTCTGAGAATGCTTCTGTTTTAGTTCTGTGCGTTTTATCCCGTTTCCAACGAAATCCTCAGAGAGGCCCAAATATCCACTTGCAGATTCTACAAATAGTGTGTTTCGAAACTGCTCCATCCAAAGGAATGTTCAGCTCTGTGAGTTAAACTCAGTCGTCACCAAGAGTTTTACTGTGAATGCTATCTGTTTTAGTTCTGTGCGGTTTATCCCGTTTCCAACGAAATCCTCAGAGAGGACCAAACATCCACTTGCAGTTTCTACAAAAAGAGTGTTTCAAAGCTGCACTATCAAAGAAAGGTTCAGCACTGTGAGTTGAATGCAAACATCACGAAGAGGGCTCTGAGAATTCTTCTGTTTAGTTCTGTGCGGTTTATCCCGTTTCCAACGAAATCCTCAGAGAGCACCAAATATCCACTTGCAGTTTCTACAAAAAGAGTGTTTCAAAGCTGAACTATCAAAGAAAGGTTCAGCACTGTGAGTTGAATGTAAACATCACGAAGAGGGTTCTGAGAATGCTTCTGTCTTCTTTTTATAGGAAGTTATTTCCTTTACTACGGTAGGCCTCAAAGAAGTGCAATTATCCCCTTGCAGTTTCCACAAAAAGAGTGTTTCAAACCTGAACTATCAACGAAAGGTTCCACACTGTGAGTTGAATGCAGACATCACGAAGAAGGTTCTGAGAATGCTTCTGTTTAGTCAGCTGAAATTATCCCGTTTCCAACGAATTTCTCAGAGAGGTCCACATATGCACTTGCAGATTCTGCAGAAAGTGTGTTCCTAAACTGCTACATCGCAAGGAGTGTTCAGCTCTGTTTGCTCAACTCAATCATCCCAAAGAATTTTCTGAGAAAGCTTCTGTCTAGATGTCATGTGAAGATATACCCGTTTCGAACGAAGGACACAGAGAGGTCCAAATATCCACTTGTAGATCCTGCAAAAACAGTGTTTCAAACGTGAACTTTGAAAGGAAAGTTCAACTCTGGGATTTGAATGCAAACATCACAAAGAAGATTCTGAGACTGCTTCTGTATAGTTTTTATGTGAAGATGATTCCGTTTCCAACGAAATCTTCAAAGAGGTCTACATGTCCCCTTGCGGATGCCACAGAAAGAGAGTTTCAAAACTGCGCTCTCAAAAGGAGTGTTCAACTCCGTGAGTTGAATGCAGTCATCACAGAGAAGCTTCTGAGAATGCTTCTCTCTAGTATTTAGGTGAAGATATTTCCTTTTCCACCACAAACCACAAAGCCCTCCAAACGTCCACTTGCAGATTCTAGAAAAAGAGTGTTTCATAGCTGCTCTTTCCAAAGGAAAGTTCAACTCTGGGAGTTGAATACAAACATCACCAAAAAGTTCCTGAGAATGCATCTGTCTAGTTTTTCTATGAAGCTATTCCCTTTACTACCATAGGCCTCAAAGCGCTCCAAATCTCCACTTGCACATTCCACAACAAGAGTGTTTCCAAACTGCTCTATCAATAGGAATGTTCAACTCTGTGAGGTGAATGCAATCATCACAAAGCAGTTTCTGAGAATGCTTCCGTTTAGTTAGGTGCAGTTATCCCGTTTCCAACGAAATCCTCAGAGAGGTCCAAATATCCACTTGTAGATTCTACAAAAAGTGTGTCTCAAACCTGCTCCATCCAAAGGAATGTTCAGCTCTGTGAGTTCAACTCAATCATCACAAAGTATTTTCTGAGAATGCTTCTGTCTAGATTTTATGCGAAGATATACCCGTTTCGAACGAAGGCCACAGAGTGGTCTAAATAGCCAATTGCAGATCCTACAAAAAGAGTGTTTCAAACCTGAACTATCAAAGGAAGGTTCAACTCTGGGATTTGAATGCAAACATCACCAAGAAGTTTCTGAGAATGCTTCCGTTTAGTTTTTATGTGAAGATATTCCCGTTTCCAAAGACATCTTCGGAGAGGTCCACATATCCGCTTGCAGATTCCACAAAAAGAGAGTTTCAACACTGCTCTATCCATAGGAGGGTTCAACTCTGTGAGTTGAATGCAATCATCACAGAGAAATTTCTGAGAAGGCTTCTCTCCAGTTTTTCTGTGACCATAATTCGTTTTCCACCACAGGCCTGAAAGCGCTCCAAATGTCCACTTGCAGACACTACGAAAAGCATGTTTCAGAACTACTCTATGAGAAGCAATGTGAAACTCTGGGAGTTGAACACAAACATCACAGAGAAGTTTCTGAGAATGCTTCTGTTTAGCTTTCCTGTGAAGATTCTCCCGTTTCCAACGAAATCTTCAAAATAGGTCCAAATATCCACTTGCAGATTCCACACAAAGAGTGATTGGAAACTGCTCTTTGAAAAGGAACCTTCAACTCTGTGAGTTGAATGCAATCATCACAAAGAAGTTTCTGACAATGCTTCTATCCAGCTTTTATGGGAAGATAATTCCTTTTCCACCACAGGCCTCAAAGCCCTCCAAATGTCCACTTGCAGATTCTGGAAAAAGAGTGTTTCAAAGCTTCTCTCTCGAAGGGAAAGTTCAACTCTGTGAGTTGAATGCAAGCATCACAAAGAAGTTTCTGAGAATGCTACTGTCTAGCATTTATATGAAGCTATTTCCTTTACTACCATAGTCCTCAAAGCATTCCATATCTCCACTTGCAGATTCTACACAAAGAGAGTTTCCAAACTGCTCTGTGAAAGGGAATGTTCAGCTCTGTGACTTGAATGCAATCATCACAAAGTAGTTTCTCAGAATGCTTCTGTTTTAGTTCTGTGCGGTTTATCCCGTTTCAATCGAAATCCTAAGAGAGGCCCAAATATCCACTTGCAGATTCTACAAATAGTGTGTTTCGAAACTGCTCCATCCAAAGGAATGTTCAGCTCTGTGAGTTAAACTCAGTCGTCACCAAGAGTTTTCTGTGAATGCTTCTGTTTTAGTTCTGTGCGGGTTATCCCGTTTCCAACGAAATCCTCAGAGCGGTCCAAATATCTACTTGCAGTTTCTGCAGAAAGACCGTTTCAAACCTGAACTATCAAAGAAAGGTTCAACACTGTGAGTTGAATGCAAACATCACGAAGAAGGTTCTGAGAATGCTTCTGTTTAGTTCTGTGCAGTTTATCCCGTTTCCAACGAATTCCTCAGAGAGGACCAAATATCCACTTGCAGTTTCTACAAAAAGAGTGTTTCAAAGCTGAACTATCAAAGAAAGGTTCAGCACTGTGAGTTGAATGCAAACATCACGAAGAGGGTTCTGAGAATGCTTCTGTCTTCTTTTTATAGGAAGTTATTTCCTTTACTACGGTACTCCTCAAAGAGTGCAATTATCCCCTTGCAGTTTCTACAAAAAGAGTGTTTCAAACCTGAACTATCAAAGAAAGGTTCCACACTGTGAGTTGAATGCAGACATCACGAAGAAGGTTCTGAGAATGCTTCTGTTTAGTCAGCTGAAATTATCCCGTTTCCAACGAATTCCTCACAGAGGTCCAAATATGCACTTGCAGATTCTGCAGAAAGTGTGTTTCTAAACTGCTACATCGCAAGGAATGCTCAGCTCTGTGAGTTCAACTCAATCATCCCAAAGAATTTTCTGAGAAAGCTTCTGTCTAGATGTCATGTGAAGATATACCCGTTTCGATCGAAGGACACAGAGTGGTCCAAATATCCACTTGTAGATCCTGCAAAAAGAGTGTTTCAAACGTGAACTTTGAAAGGAAAGTTCAACTCGGGGATTTGAATGCAAACATCACAAAGAAGATTCTGAGACTGCTTCTGTGTAGTTTTTATGTGAAGATGATTCCGTTTCCAACGAAATCTTCAAAGAGGTCTACATGTCCCCTTGCAGATGCCACAGAAAGAGAGTTTCAAAACTGCGCTCTCAAAAGGAGTGTTCAACTCCGTGAGTTGAATGCAGTCATCACAGAGAAGCTTCTGAGGATGCTTCTCTCTAGGATTTAGGTGAAGATATTTCCTTTTCCACCACAAACCACAAAGCCCTCCAAACGTCCACTTGCAGATTCTAGAAAAAGAGTGTTTCATAGCTGCTCTTTCCAAAGGAAAGTTCAACTCTGGGAGTTGAATACAAACATTACCAAAAAGTTCCTGAGAATGCATCTGTCTAGTTTTTCTATGAAGCTATTCCCTTTACTACCATAGTCCTCAAAGCGCTCCAAATCTCCACTTGCACATTCCACAACAAGAGTGTTTCCAAACTGCTCTATCAATAGGAATGTTCAACTCTGTGAGGTGAATGCAATCATCACAAAGCAGTTTCTGAGAATGCTTCCGTTTAGTTAGGTGCAGTTATCCCGTTTCCAACGAAACCCTCAGAGAGGTCCAAATATCCACTTGTAGATTCTACAAGAAGTGTGTCTCAAACCTGCTCCATCCAAAGGAATGTTCAGCTCTGTGAGTTCAACTCAATCATCACAAAGTATTTTCTGAGAATGCTTCTGTCTAGATTTTATGCGAAGATGTACCCGTTTCGAACGAAGGCCACAGAGTGGTCCAAATATCCACTTGCAGATCCTACAAAAAGAGTGTTTCAAACCTGAACTCTCAAAGGATGGTTCAACTCTGGGATTTGAATGCAAACATCACCAAGAAGTTTCTGAGAATGCTTCTGTTTAGTTTTTATGTGAAGATATTCCCGTTTCCAAAGACATCTTCGGAGAGGTCCACATATCCGCTTGCAGATTCCACAAAAAGAGAGTTTCAACACTGCTCTATCCAGAGGAGGGTTCAACTCTGTGAGTTGAATGCAATCATCACAGAGAAGTTTCTGAGAAGGCTTCTCTCCAGTTTTTATGTGACCATAATTCGTTTTCCACCACAGGCCTGAAAGCGCTCCAAATGTCCACTTGCAGACACTACGAAAAGCATGTTTCAGAACTACTCCATGAAAAGCAACGTGAAACTCTGGGAGTTGAACACAAACATCACAGAGAAGTTTCTGAGAATGCTTCTGTTGAGCTTTTCTGTGAAGATTCTCCCGTTTCCAACGAAATCTTCAAAGAGGTCGAAATATCCACTTGCAGATTCCACAGAAAGAGTGATTGGAAACTGCTGTTTGAAAAGGAACCTTCAACTCTGTGAGTTGAATGCAATCATCACAAAGAAGTTTCTGACAATGCTTCTATCTAGCTTTTACGGGAAGATAATTCCTTTTCCTCCACAGGCCTCAAAGCTCCCCAAATGTCCACTTGCACATTCTGGAAAAAGAGTGTTTCAAAGCTTCTCTCTCGAAAGGAAAGTTCAACTCTGTGAGTTGAATGCAAGCATCACAAAGAAGTTTCTGAGAATGCTACTGTCTAGCTTTTATATGAAGCTATTTCCTTTACTACCATAGGCCTCAAAGCGGTCCATATCTCCACTTGCAGATTCTACACAAAGAGAGTTTCCAAACTGCTCTGTCAAAGGGAATGTTCAACTCTGTGACTTGAATGCAATAATCACAAAGTAGTTTCTGAGAATGCTTCTGTTTTAGTTCTGTGCGTTTTATCCCGTTTCCAACGAAATCCTCAGAGAGGCCCAAATATCCACTTGCAGATTCTACAAATAGTGTGTTTCGAAACTGCTCCATCCAAAGGAATGTTCAGCTCTGTGAGTTAAACTCAGTCGTCACCAAGAGTTTTCTGTGAATGCTTCTGTTTTAGTTCTGTGCGGTTTATCCCGTTTCCAACGAAATCCTCAGAGAGGACCAAACATCCACTTGCAGTTTCTACAAAAAGAGTGTTTCAAAGCTGCACTATCAAAGAAAGGTTCAGCACTGTGAGTTGAATGCAAACATCACGAAGAGGGCTCTGAGAATTCTTCTGTCTTCTTTCTATAGGAAGTTATTTCCTTTACTACGGTAGGCCTGAAAGAAGTGCAATTATCCCCTTGCAGTTTCTACAAAAAGAGTGTTTCAAACCTGAACTATCAAAGAAAGGTTCCACACTGTGAGTTGAATGCAGACATCACGAAGAAGGTTCTGAGAATGCTTCTGTTTAGTCAGCTGAAATTATCCCGTTTCCAACGAATTCCTCAGAGCGTTCTCAATATGCACTTGCAGATTCTGCAGAAAGTGTGTTTCTAAACTGCTACATCGCAAGGAATGTTCAGCTCTGTGAGTTCAACTCAATCATCCCAAAGAATTTTCTGAGAAAGCTTCTGTCTAGATGTCATGTGAAGATATGCCGTTTCGAACGAAGGACACAGAGTGGTCCAAATATCCACTTGTAGATCCTGCAAAAAGAGTATTTCAAACGTGAACTTTGAAAGGAAAGTTCAACTCTGGGATTTGAATGCAAACATCACAAAGAAGATTCTGAGACTGCTTCTGTATTGTTTTTATGTGAAGATGATTCCGTTTCCAACGAAATCTTCAAAGAGGTCCACATGTCCCCTTGCAGATGCCACAGAAAGAGAGTTTCAAAACTGCGCTCTCAAAAGGAGTGCTCAACTCCGTGAGTTGAATGCAGTCATCACAGAGAAGCTTCTGAGAATGCTTCTATCTAGTATTTAGGTGAAGATATTTCCTTTTCCACCACAAACCACAAAGCCCTCCAAACGTCCACTTGCAGATTCTAGAAAAAGAGTGTTTCATAGCTGCTCTTTCCAAAGGAAAGTTCAACTCTAGGAGTTGAATACAAACATCACCAAAAAGTTCCTGAGAATGCATCTGTCTAGTTTTTCTATAAAGCTATTCCCTTTACTACCATAGGCCTCAAAGCGCTCCAAATCTCCACTTGCACATTCCACAACAAGAGTGTTTCCAAACTGCTCTATCAATAGGAATGTTCAACTCTGTGAGGTGAATGCAATCATCACAAAGCAGTTTCTGAGAATGCTTCTGTTTAGTTCTGTGCAGTTTATCCCGTTTCCAACGGAATCCTCAGAGAGGTCCAAATATCCACTTGTAGATTCTACAAAAAGTGTGTCTCAAACCTGCTCCATCCAAAGGAATGTTCAGCTCTGTGAGTTAAACTCAATCATCACAAAGTATTTTCTGAGAATGCTTCTGTCTAGATTTTATGCGAAGATGTACCCGTTTCGAACGAAGGCCACAGAGTGGTCCAAATATCCACTTGCAGATCCTACAAAAAGAGTGTTTCAAACCTGAACTCTCAAAGGAAGGTTCAACTCTGGGATTTGAATGCAAACATCACCAAGAAGTTTCTGAGAATGCTTCTGTTTAGTTTTTATGTGAAGATATTCCCGTTTCCAAAGACATCTTCGGAGTAGGTCCACATATCCACTTGCAGATTCCACAAAAAGAGAGTTTCAACACTGCTCTATCCATAGGAGGGTTCAACTCTGTGAGTTGAATGCAATCATCACAGAGAAGTTTCTGAGAAGGCTTCTCTCCAGTTTTTATGTGACCATAATTCGTTTTCCACCACAGGCCTGAAAGCGCTCCAAATGTCCACTTGCAGACACTACGAAAAGCATGTTTCAGAACTACTCTATGAAAAGCAACGTGAAACTCGGGGAGTTGAACACAAACATCACAGAGAAGTTTCTGAGAATGCTTCTGTTTAGCTTTTCTGTGAAGATTCTCCCGTTTCCAACGAAATCTTCAAAGAGGTCCAAATATCCAGTTGCAGATTCCACAGAAAGAGTGATTGGAAACTGCTCTTTGAAAAGGAACCTTCAACTCTGTGAGTTGAATGCAATCATCACAAAGAAGTTTCTGACAATGCTTCTATCTAGTTTTTACAGGAAGATATTCCCTTTTCCACCACAGGCCTCAAAGCCCTCCAAATGTCCACTTGCAGATTCTAGAAAAAGAGTGTTTCAAAGCTTCTCTCTCAAAAGGAAAGTTCAACTCTGTGAATTGAATGCAAACATCACAAAGAAGTTTCTGAGAATGCTACTGTCTAGTTTTTAGATGAAGTTATTTCCTTTACTACCATAGGTCTCAAAGCGATCCAAATCTCCACTTGCAGATTCTACAAAAAGAGTGTTTCCAAACTGCTCTATCAAAGGGAATGTTCAACTCTGTGACTTGAATGCAATCATCCCAAAGTAGTTTCTGAGAATACTTCTGTTTAGTTCTGTGTGGTTTATCCCGTTTCCAACGAAATCCTCAGAGAGTCCCCAATATCCACTTGCACATTCTACAAATAGTGTTTTTCGAAACTGCTCCATCCAAAGGGATTTTCAGCTCTGTGAGTTAAACGCAGTCGTCACCAAGAGTTTTCTGTGAATGCTTCTGTTTTAGTTCTGTGTGGTTTATCCCGTTTCCAACGAAATCCTCAGAGAGGTCCAAATATCCACTTGCAGTTTCTACAAAAAGAGTGTTTCAAAGCTGAACTATCAAAGAAAGGTTCAGCACTGTGAGTTGAATGCAAACATCACGAAGAAGGTTCTGAGGATGCTTCTGTTTAGTTCTGTGCAGTTTATCCCGTTTCCAACGAAATGCTCAGAGAGGACCAAATATCCACTTGCAGTTTCTACAAAAAGAGTGTTTCAAAGCTGAACTATCAAAGAAAGGTTCAGCACTTGTGAGTTGAATGCAAACATCACGAAGAGGGTTCTGAGAATGCTTCTGTCTTCTTTTTATAGGAAGTTATTTCCTTTACTACGGTACTCCTCAAAGAGTGCAATTATCCCCTTGCAGTTTCTACAAAAAGAGTGTTTCAAACCTGAACTATCAAAGAAAGGTTCCACACTGTGAGTTGAATGCAGACATCACGAAGAAGGTTCTGAGAATGCTTCTGTTTAGTCAGCTGAAATTATCCCGTTTCCAACGAATTCCTCACAGAGGTCCAAATATGCACTTGCAGATTCTGCAGAAAGTGTGTTTCTAAACTGCTACATCGCAAGGAATGCTCAGCTCTGTGAGTTCAACTCAATCATCCCAAAGAATTTTCTGAGAAAGCTTCTGTCTAGATGTCATGTGAAGATATACCCGTTTCGAACGAAGGACACAGAGTGGTCCAAATATCCACTTGTAGATCCTGCAAAAAGAGTGTTTCAAACGTGAACTTTGAAAGGAAAGTTCAACTCCTGGGATTTGAATGCAAACATCACAAAGAAGATGCTGAGACTGCTTCTGTGTAGTTTTTATGTGAAGATGATTCCGTTTCCAACGAAATCTTCAAAGAGGTCTACATGTCCCCTTGCAGATGCCACAGAAAGAGAGTTTCAAAACTGCGCTCTCAAAAGGAGTGTTCAACTCCGTGAGTTGAATGCAGTCATCACAGAGAAGCTTCTGAGGATGCTTCTATCTAGTATTTAGGTGAAGATATTTCCTTTTCCACCACAAACCACAAAGCCCTCCAAACGTCCACTTGCAGATTCTAGAAAAACAGTGTTTCATAGCTGCTCTTTCCAAAGGAAAGTTCAACTCTGGGAGTTGAATACAAACATCACCAAAAAGTTCCTGAGAATGCATCTGTCTAGATTTTATGTGAAGCTCTTCCCTTTACTACCATAGGCCTCAAAGCGCTCCAAATCTCCACTAGCCGATTCTACAAGAAGAGTGTTTCCAAACTGCTCTGTCAATAGGAATGCTCCAATCCGTGAGGTGAATGCAATCATCACAAAGTAGTTTCTGAGAAGGCTTCCGTTTAGTTAGGTGCAGTTATCCCGTTTCCAACGAAATCCTCAGAGAGGTCCAAATATCCACTCGCAGATTCTACAGAAAGTGTGTTTCAAACCTTCTCCATCCAAAGGAATGTTCAGCTCTGTGTGTTAAACTCAATCATCACAAAGTATTTTCTGAGAATGCTTCTGTCTAGATTTTATTTGAAGATGTACCCTTTTCGAACGAAGGCCAAAGAGTGGTCCAAATATCCACCTGCAGACCCTACAAAAAGAGTGTTTCAAAGCTGAACTATCAAAGGAAGGTTCAACTCTGGGATTTGAATGCAAACATCACAAAGAATTTTGTGAGAATGCTTCTGTTTAGTTTTTATGTGAAGATATTCCCGTTGCCAAAGACATCTTCGGAAAGGTCCACATATCTGCTTGCAGATTCCACAAAAAGAGAGTTTCAACACTGCTCTATCCATAGGAGGGTTCAACTCTGTGAGTTGAATGCAATCATCCCAGAGAAGTTTCTGAGAAGGCTTCTCTCCAGTTTTTATGTAACCATAATTCGTTTTCCACCACAGGCCTGAAAGCGCTCCAAATGTCCACTTGCAGACACTACGAAAAGCATGTTTCAGAACTACTCTATGAAAAGCAATGTGAAACTGCTGGGAGTTGAACACAAACATCACAGAGAAGTTTCTGAGAATGCTTCTGTTTAGCTTTCCTGTGAAGATTCTCCCGTTTCCAACGAAATCTTCAAAATAGGTCCAAATATCCACTTGCAGATTCCACACAAAGAGTGATTGGAAACTGCTCTTTGAAAAGGAACCTTCAACTCTGTGAGTTGAATGCAATCATCACAAAGAAGTTTCTGACAATGCTTCTATCCAGCTTTTACGGGAAGATAATTCCTTTTCCACCACAGGCCTCAAAGCCCTCCAAATATCCACTTGCAGATTCTAGAGAAAGAGTGTTTCAAAGCTTGTCTCTCAAAAGGAATGTTCAACTCTGTGAGTTGAATGCAAACATCACAAAGGAGTTTCTGAGAATGCTACTGTCTAGCTTTTATATGAAGCTATTTCCTTTACTACCATAGTCCTCAAAGCATTCCATATCTCCACTTGCAGATTCTACACAAAGAGAGTTTCCAAACTGCTCTGTCAAAGGGAATGTTCAGCTCAGTGACTTGAATGCAATCATCACAAAGTAGTTTCTGAGAATGCTTCTGTTTTAGTTCTGTGCGTTTTATCCCGTTTCCAACGAAATCCTCAGAGAGGCCCAAATATCCACTTGCAGATTCTACAAATAGTGTGTTTCGAAACTGCTCCATCCAAAGGAATGTTAAGCTCTGTGAGTTAAACTCAGTCGTCACCAAGAGTTTTCTGTGAATGCTTCTGTTTTAGTTCTGTGCGGTTTATCCCGTTTCCAACGAAATCCTCAGAGAGGTCCAAATATCTACTTGCAGTTTCTACAGAAAGACCGTTTCAAACCTGAACTATCAAACAAAGGTTCAACACTGTGAGTTGAATGCAAACATCACGAAGAAGGTTCTGAGAATGCTTCTGTTTAGTTCTGTGCGTTTTATCCCGTTTCCAACGAAATCGTCAGAGAGGACCAAATATCCACTTGCAGTTTCTACAAGAAGAGTGTTTCAAAGCTGAACTATCAAAGAAAGCTTCACCACTGTGAGTTGAATGCAAACATCACGAAGAGGGTTCTGAGAATGCTTCTGTCTTCTTTTTATAGGAAGTTATTTCCTTTACTACGGTACTCCTCAAAGAGTGCAATTATCCCCTTGCAGTTTCTACAGAAAGAGTGTTTCAAACCTGAACTATCAAAGAAAGGTTCCACACTGTGAGTTGAATGCAGACATCACGAAGAAGGTTCTGAGAATGCTTCTGTTTAGTCAGCTGAAATTATCCCGTTTCCAACGAATTCCTCACAGAGGTCCAAATATGCACTTGCAGATTCTGCAGAAAGTGTGTTTCTAAACTGCTACATCGCAAGGAATGCTCAGCTCTGTGAGTTCAACTCAATCATCCCAAAGAATTTTCTGAGAAAGCTTCTGTCTAGATGTCATGTGAAGATATACCCGTTTCGAACGAAGGACACAGAGTGGTCCAAATATCCACTTGTAGATCCTGCAAAAAGAGTGTTTCAAACGTGAACTTTGAAAGGAAAGTTCAACTCGGGGATTTGAATGCAAACATCACAAAGAAGATTCTGAGACTGCTTCTGTATAGTTTTTATGTGTTAGATGATTCCGTTTCCAACGAAATCTTCAAAGAGGTCTACATGTCCCCTTGCAGATGCCACAGAAAGAGAGTTTCAAAACTGCGCTCTCAAAAGGAGTGTTCAACTCCGTGAGTTGAATGCAGTCATCACAGAGAAGCTTCTGAGAATGCTTCTATCTAGTATTTAGGTGAAGATATTTCCTTTTCCACCACAAACCACAAAGCCCTCCAAACGTCCACTTGCAGATTCTAGAAAAAGAGTGTTTCATAGCTGCTCTTTCCAAAGGAAAGTTCAACTCTGGGAGTTGAATACAAACATCACCAAAAAGTTACCTGAGAATGCATCTGTCTAGTTTTTCTATGAAGCTATTCCCTTTACTACCATAGGCCTCAAAGCGCTCCAAATCTCCACTTGCACATTCCAGATGAAGAGTGTTTCCAAACTGCTCTATCAATAGGAATGTTCAACTCTGTGAGGTGAATGCAATCATCACAAAGCAGTTTCTGAGAAGGCTTCCGTTTAGTTAGGTGCAGTTATCCCGTTTCCAACGAAATCCTCAGAGAGGTCCAAATATCCACTTGTAGATTCTACAAAAAGTGTGTCTCAAACCTGCTCCATCCAAAGGAATGTTCAGCTCTGTGAGTTAAACTCAATCATCACAAAGTATTTTCTGAGGATGCTTCTGTCTAGATTTTATGCGAAGCATATACCCGTTTCGAACGAAGGCCACAGCAGTGGTCCAAATAGCCACTTGCAGATCCTACAAAAAGAGTGTTTCAAACCTGAACTATCAAAGGAAGGTTCAACTCTGGGATTTGAATGCAAACATCACCAAGAAGTTTCTGAGAATGCTTCTGTTTAGTTTTTATGTGAAGATATTCCCGTTTCCAAAGACATCTTCGGAGAGGTCCACATATCCGCTTGCAGATTCCACAAAAAGAGAGTTTCAACACTGCTCTATCCATAGGAGGGTTCAACTCTGTGAGTTGAATGCAATCATCACAGAGAAGTTTCTGAGAAGGCTTCTCTCCAGTTTTTATGTGACCATAATTCGTTTTCCACCACAGGCCTGAAAGCGCTCCAAATGTCCCCTTGCAGACACTACGAAAAGCATGTTTCAGAACTACTCTATGAGAAGCAATGTGACACTCTGGGAGTTGAACACAAACATCACAGAGAAGTTTCTGAGAATGCTTTCTGTTTAGCTTTTCTGTGAAGATTCTCCCGTTTCCAACGAAATCTTCAAAGAGGTCCAAATATCCACTTGCAGATTCCACAGAAAGAGTGATTGGAAACTGCTCTTTGAAAAGGAACCTTCAACTCTGTGTGTTGAATGCAATCATCACAAAGAAGTTTCTGACAATGCTTCTATCTAGCTTTAACGGGAAGATAATTCCTTTTCCACCACAGGCCTCAAAGCCCTCCAAATGTCCACTTGCAGATTCTGGAAAACGAGTGTTTCAAAGCTTCTCTCTCGAAAGGAAAGTTCAACTCTGTGAGTTGAATGCAAGCATCACAAAGAAGTTTCTGAGAATGCTTCTGTTTAGTTCTGTGCGGTTTATCCCGTTTCCAACGAAATCCTCAGAGAGCACCAAATATCCACTTGCAGTTTCTACAAAAAGAGTGTTTCAAAGCTGAACTATCAAAGAAAGGTTCAGCACTGTGAGTTGAATGCAAACATCACGAAGAGGGTTCTGAGAATGCTTCTGTCTTCTTTCTATAGGAAGTTATTTCCTTTACTACGGTAGGCCTCAAAGAAGTGCAATTATCCCCTTGCAGTTTCTACAAAAAGAGTGTTTCAAACCTGAACTATCAAAGAAAGGTTCCACACTGTGAGTTGAATTCAGACATCACGAAGAAGGTTCTGAGAATGCTTCTGTTTAGTCAGCTGAAATTATCCCGTTTCCAACGAATTCCTCAGAGAGGTCCAAATATGCACTTGCAGATTCTGCAGAAAGTGTGTTTCTAAACTTCTACATCGCAAGGAATGTTCAGCTCTGTGAGTTCAACTCAATCATCCCAAAGAATTTTCTGAGAAAGCTTCTGTCTAGATGTCATGTGAAGATGTACCCGTTTCGAACGAAGGACACAGAGTGGTCCAAATATCCACTTGTAGATCCTGCAAAAAGAGTGTTTCAAACGTGAACTTTGAAAGGAAATTTCAACTCTGGGATTTGAATGCAAACATCACAAAGAAGATTCTGAGACTGCTTCTGTATAGTTCTTATGTGAAGATGATTCCGTTTCCAACGAAATCTTCAAAGAGGTCTACATGTCCCCTTGCAGATGCCACAGAAAGAGAGTTTCAAAACTGTGCTCTCAAAAGGAGTGTTCAACTCCGTGAGTTGAATGCAGTCATCACAGAGAAGCTTCTGAGAATGCTCCCATCTAGTGTTTATGTGAAGATATTTCCTTTTCCACCACAAACCTCAAAGCCCTCCAAATATCCACTTGCAGATTCTAGAAAAAGAGTGTTTCATAGCTGCTCTTTCCGAAGGAAAGTTCAACTCTGGAAGTTGAATACAATCAGCACCAAGGGGTTCCTGAGAATGCTTCTGTCTAGTTTTTCTATGAAGCTATTCCCTTTACTACCATAGGCCTCAAGCGCTCCAAATCTCCACTTGCACATTCCACAACAAGAGTGTTTCCAAACTGCTCTATCAATAGGAATGTTCAACTCTGTGAGGTGAATGCAATCATCACAAAGCAGTTTCTGAGAATGCTTCCGTTTAGTTAGGTGCAGTTATGCCGTTTCCAACGAAATCCTCCGAGAGGTCCAAATATCCACTTGTAGATTCTACAAAAAGTGTGTCTCAAACCTGCTCCATCCAAAGGAATGTTCAGCTCTGTGAGTTAAACTCAATCATCACAAAGTATTTTCTGAGAATGCTTCTGTCTAGATTTTATGCGAAAATGTACCCGTTTCGAACGAAGGCCACAGAGTGGTCCAAATATCCACTTGCAGATCCTACAAAAAGAGTGTTTCAAACCTGAACTGTCAAAGGAAGGTTCAACTCTGGGATTTGAATGCAAACATCACCAAGAAGTTTCTGAGAATGCTTCTGTTTACTTATTATGTGAAGATATTCCCGTTTCCAAAGACATCTTCGGAGAGGTCCACATATCCACTTGCAGATTCCACAAAAAGAGAGTTTCAACACTGCTCTATCCATAGGAGGGTTCAACTCTGTGAGTTGAATGCAATCATCACAGAGAAGTTTCTGAGAAAGCTTCTCTCCAGTTTTTATGTGACCATAATTCGTTTTCCACCACAGGACTGGAAGCGCTCCAAATGTCCACTTGTAGACACTACGAAAAGCATGTTTCAGAACTACTCTATGAAAAGCAATGTGAAACTTTGGGAGTTGAACACAAACATCACAGAGAAGTTTCTGAGAATGCTTCTGTTTTAGTTCTGTGCGTTTTATCCCGTTTCCAACGAAATCCTCAGAGAGGCCCAAATATCCACTTGCAGATTCCACAGAAAGAGTGATTGGAAACTGCTGTTTGAAAAGGAACCTTCAACTCTGTGAGTTGAATGCAATCATCACAAAGAAGTTTCTGACAATGCTCTGTTTTAGTTCTGTGCGGTTTATCCCGTTTCCAACGAAATCCTCAGAGAGGACCAAACATCCACTTGCAGTTTCTACAAAAAGAGTGTTTCAAAGCTGCACTATCAAAGAAAGGTTCAGCACTGTGAGTTGAATGCAAACATCACGAAGAGGGCTCTGAGAATTCTTCTGTTTAGTTCTGTGCGGTTTATCCCGTTTCCAACGAAATCCTCAGAGAGGACCAAATATCCACTTGCAGTTTCTACAAGAAGAGTGTTTCAAATCTGAACTATCAAAGAAAGGTTCAGCACTGTGAGTTGAATGCAAACATCACGAAGAGGGTTCCGAGAATGCTTCTGTCTTCTTTTTATAGGAAGTTATCTCCTTTACTACGGTAGGCCTCAAAGAAGTGCAAGGATCCCCTTGCAGTTTCTACAAAAAGAGTGTTTCAAACCTGAACTACCAAAGAAAGGTTCCACACTGTGAGTTGAACGCAGACATCACGAAGAAGGTTCTGAGAATGCTTCTGTTTAGTCAGCTGAAATTATCCCGTTTCCAACGAATTCCTCAGAGAGGTCCAAATATGCACTTGCAGATTCTGCAGAAAGTGTGTTTCTAAACTGCTCCATCGCAAGGAATGTTCAGCTCTGTGAGTTCAACTCAATCATCACAAAGAATTTTCTGAGAAAGTTTCTGTCTAGATGTCATGTGAAGATATACCCGTTTCGAACGAAGGACACAGAGTGGTCCAAATATCCACTTGTAGATCCTGCAAAAAGAGGGTTTCAAACCTGAACTTTGAAAGGAAAATTCAACTCTGGGATTTGAATGCAAACTTCACAAAGAAGATTCTGAGACTGCTCTGTATAGATTTTATGTGAAGATGATTCCGTTTCCAACGAAATCTTCAAAGAGGTCTACATGTCCCCTTGCAGATGCCACAGAAGGAGAGTTTCAAAACTGCGCTCTCAAAAGGAGTGTTCAACTCCGTGAGTTGAATGCAGTCATCTCAGAGAAGCTTCTGAGAATGCTTTCTATCTAGTATTTAGGTGAAGATATTTCCTTTTCCACCACAAACCACAAAGCCCTCCAAACGTCCACTTGCAGATTCTAGAAAAACAGTGTTTCATAGCTGCTCTTTCCAAAGGAAAGTTCAACTCTGGGAGTTGAATACAAACGTCACCAAAAAGTTCCTGAAAATGCATCTGTCTAGTTTTTCTATGAAGCTATTCCCTTTACTACCATAGGCCTCAAAGCGCTCCAAATCTCCACTTGCACATTCCACAACAAGGGTGTTTCCAAACTGCTCTATCAATAGGAATGGTCAACTCTGTGAGGTGAATGCAATCATCAAAAAGCAATTTCTGAGAATGCTTCCGTTTAGTTAGGTGCAGTTATCCCGTTTCCAACGAAATCTTCAGAGAGGTCCAAATATCCACTTGTAGATTCTACAAAAAGTGTGTCTCAAACCTGCTCCATCCAAAGGAATGTTCAGCTCTGTGAGTTAAACTCAATCATCACAAAGTATTTTCTGAGAATGCTTCTGTCTAGATTTTATGCGAAGATGTACCCGTTTCGAACGAAGGCCACAGAGTGGTCCAAATATCCACTTGCAGATCCTACAAAAAGAGTGTTTCAAACCTGAACTCTCAAAGGAAGGTTCAACTCTGGGATTTGAATGCAAACATCACCAAGAAGTTTCTGAGAATGCTTCTGTTTAGTTTTTATGTGAAGATATTCCCGTTTCCAAAGACATCTTCGGAGGGGTCCACATATCCACTTGCAGATTCCACAAAAAGAGAGTTTCAACACTGCTCTATCCATAGGAGGGTTCAACTCTGTGAGTTGAATGCAATCATCTCAGAGAAGTTTCGCAGAAGGCTTCTCTCCAGTTTTTATGTGACCATAATTCGATTTCCACCACAGGCCTGAAAGCGCTCCAAATGTCCACTTGCAGACAGTATGAAAAGCATGTTTCAGAACTACTCTATGAGAAGCAATGTGAAACTCTGGGAGTTGAACACAAACATCACAGAGAAGTTTCTGAGAATGCTTCTGTTTAGCTTTTCTGTGAAGATTCTCCCGTTTCCAACGAAATCTTCAAAGAGGTCCAAATATCCACTTGCAGATTCCACAGAAAGAGTGATTGGAAACTGCTGTTTGAAAAGGAACCTTCAACTCTGTGAGTTGAATGCAATCATCACAAAGAAGTTTCTGACAATGCTTCTATCTAGCTTTTAGGGAAGATAATTCCTTTTCCACCACAGGCCTCAAAGCCCTCCAAATGTCCACTTGCAGATTCTGGAAAAAGAGTGTTTCAAAGCTTCTCTCTCGAAAGGAAAGTTCAACTCTGTGAGTTGAATGCAAGCATCACAAAGAAGTTTCTGAGAATGCTACTGTCTAGCTTTTCTATGAAGCTATTTCCTTTACTACCATAGTCCTCAAAGCATTCCATATCTCCACTTGCAGATTCTACACAAAGAGAGTTTCCAAACTGCTCTGTCAAAGGGAATGTTCAGCTCTGTGACTTGAATGCAATCATCACAAAGTAGTTTCTCAGAATGCT